>NC_000004.12:154375926-154678956 GCF_000001405.40 Homo sapiens | reverse complement strand
AAAAAGGAAAATGTGGGGAAGTGTTAATTAGTGGAAGTCAGTGAATGGCATGGGGGGTGTTCACTGTACTACTTTTTCAAGTTTTCTATATATTTGAAAGTTTTTAAAATAAAAAGCTGTGGGGAAAAAATCCACATAAATATATATGTAAATTTATGAGACATACCTATAACAAAACAAGTAGGTAATGATTTATACAGCATAAACACATTTTAAAAAAATTAAAATATGAATTTTATACAAACAGAATTCAAAATCAAAAGCATTCAGTAGGATGTTTTATATTCACAAGAAGTATAATACAAATGAAGAATAATATTCTCATTGTCTGGTCATCACTCTTTGATAAGTCACATAATTCTCTAGGCATGTGCCCTATCAATCTCTAATCGCTAATTAAATCTCAGTGTAGTTCAGAGATCACTGTTTCATCAGTCCCGCGTTTCAAGTTCTCCAAAGAGGACATTTCCTATTTTTCACCACTCTCAAAAGTTATATTCCTGACTTCACAGATTATCTTATTTCCAATTTTAGAGACAACAGAACTATCAGATGGCAAGTCCTTCACCTGCGTGCTACCAAATTTACAAATTATCTGCATTTGCTCTGTGGTAGATGCTGCTATTTAACTAATCTGTCATTCCCAAATCTTATCTCTCTTGACTTCTCCCACTATGAGGGTAAAAAAAATCTTTCCCAGTCTCCCTTGTCGTTATGAGTGGCCATGGGACACCGTACTGGCCAATGAGATGCAAGCAGAAGTCTCCCGGAGGCCTCTGGAGACACTTTCCTGTTTAAATGACCAAGTGCAGCTAATACCATCCCTTCCCCCCTTTTCCTGCCTTGAGCACAGTTTGAAAGGAAAAGATGAAGGGAAATGCAGTGATGTCAACCCCTTAGTGCTGATATCAACTTGCAGAAGCAATGTCAGCAATTGCTTACTCTAAATTGCTTGTCATACAAGAAAAATGAATATCTGCTTGAGTGAGGCACTATTGGTAGCTGGGTTTTCTGTTATTTGCAAGTGAAAGCACTCCTAACTGCTACTGATCCCACTCTTTCCTCCCTTTACAATTGAAGACAGCCCCCTTATCTGGGACGATGGATCCCATCATTCCCACCTTCTCAGAGGCCCCCTTCTATTGATTGCAACCCTCCCCAAAGCCCCTCAGTGTCTTCGGCCTTCCCCTCTCCTCCGGTTATTTCACATCACCAGTGGTTAAACACACTCAGGTCTCTCTCATATTAAATAAAAAATGAAACTGTCCCTTGGCCTCCCATCTTCCTCCAGCTACAGCCTTATCTTTATCTCCCTTTCATTAACATTCTTCTTACAAGAGCTGTCTACATTCACTATCTCCAATTCCTTATTTCCCATTCATTTCTCAACCCGCTGCATCTGGATTCACCCTTGACCACTTGACTGAAACTGTCAAGTGGTCAACAGCAACATCCTCAGTGCAAAATCCAATGGGAACTGTTTTGTTCTTATCTTGTTTGACCTCTGTGTAACATTTGGCATGATGACCATTCAGTCCCATTTGAAAGACTTTCTTTCCTTCAATGTTTAAAAGCATTCTGTCTTTGCTTTTCTTCTCCTCTCTGGCAGATACTTCTAAGCCTCCTCTTCTTTTGCAAACCCTTTGGGTATTGGTATGAAATTACTATTTTTACGCTGATGTCTCCTCAGTCTTTATCACCAAAGCAGCTCCCCACTGGACATCCTGAAATGTCCCAAAGACTCCCCCTAAATCTGCTTCTTCTCCTGTGCTGTCTTCCTCCACGCACAGCACCACATCCACCCAGTTGCCCAAGGTGTCTGGAAAAATCCTTGATTCCCCTCCTCTCCCTTGTTTCTCGAAACCTGTTAATCAGTAGGTCCTCCTCTTGAATCTGCCTATTTCGCTTAGTGCCACTAATCTCATCCCAGGTCAGGCTTTTTCTGTTATCAGTTCCCTAACACCTCTCTCTTGCTTGACCCCATCTCTCTGCTGCAGCTGAAGGGAACTTATTTTAGTTTCTCCATAGCTGCCAACCTCTCTTTCACCTCTGGGCTTTCATACATGTTATTTCCTCTAACTATGATTCTTTCCACAAGGCTCAGCATCATTACTAATAATCTTTCCATTCTCCGTTTAAGCATTACTTCCCTGGTACCCGAGGCTGCACTGGATGCTTCTGCTGTGTATTGCTATAACATATTAGACTCCCACTATCGATGTTTCTGTTTTGTTCCACAAGGATACTTTTCATCTTTAGTAACCAGTCTCTTCCAATAGACTTTTCAATTCGATTATAATGCTAGGCTTTTAATTTTATTTGCACCAAACCAACAACTATCTATATACGATTGGCACTCATCAAAGGTTGTGGATCAACTTCATGGAATATGAAAGATTTCCATTTATGTTTAAGAACCACTTACTGTAAAATGAAAAAGAAACAAAAATGCTGGAACACATACACATTAAAATGACTTTGGTCACATTAAAAATAGTTATATTCCACTTACTGGAATGGATATATCCAATGTTTAAAAGCAAAGAGTGATCCTCCATTATCGCTGAAGTATATAAATTAGTTATTTCCTATCACAATACAAATTTCTAGAAAGAATAACTATACAGCATATGTATATTTCATTATATCTATAGACATTGTTCAAGTAGAAAAATGTATAAAATGCACTCAAGAGCCTTGACATGACATATAAATATAAAATCTAATTAAATCATATAGTTATTAATAATCATCAGAGAAACAGAGGCCAACAAGACTTAAAACAATGTAAAAACAAAACCCTTATGTAACAGTGTTACAAGTAAATTCAGAAAAAACAATGTGACATTATTGAAACATCCAGATTGTTTCCAGGATTTACTGCAATTAGTTTTCTCTACTTAATATGCATGTGCTTCAGATTATTAAACTAAGAAGCACATTTGTATGATGAACCAAAGGCTGAAACTTTGATCAGCTGAAACTTTTCACACATTTTCAACAATCTAATTGCCAACAAAGTATAACTTAGTGTGCAAAATGCTACTAAAGTACAGATATATTTTAGGGTGCACTACCAATTTTTTTTATTTCAAGGAGGAAATATATTTTTTTCCTGTTATATAAGCTATGTTGATAAAGCATAAGACCAAAAGGCTATATTGTCATATTTATTGCTGAAGCAAAACATATTCCAGTACAGTAATGTAACTTCCCAAAGGAAGAGGCTCTCTAAATACCAACACAGTCAACATCCAAAAAAAAAAAAAATAGATAAAAAAGCAAAAAGTTCAAGGAAAAAAAATCAATTTTAGATTTTACCTGTGATCTTTTAAGTCAAATATGAGTTGGCTTAGGAATATGACTTGGAGCAAAATCCTTGGCAAAAAAAAAAGCCAGTCTCTTCCTTCAAGTTCCATATTCACCTGCTTTAGGATTCAGATCATTCCCTAAAAACACTATTATATAGTTTATTTGCAGATAAGGCTCCATACTGTGTTTGCTTTTATCTATAGAATTCAATTTATGCTCCCTGAATGCAGGTTGCAATGATGTCTTACTGCCCATTAAGCCCCACACAACATTATCACACATAATAAGGGCCTGAAAACAAATTAATAAACCCCACATTACATATCGTAGCACACTACGTTTTGGAATCTGCATTGGTCACTGATTGAGGTGGCTGACTGCCTCAAAACACTTCTCTGTTAGCCTGCCTTTCTCTAGTTAAAGACTCCACTCCCTGACCACAGGACTGGGCACACAAACCAAGCTTAGCTAAGCATCCTTCTGAAACTTAGAAACTGATTCAGAAAAAGAGGAGCTCTTTTCCTCTCTGACCTCAGAGCTATTTGGATATGAGCCTTGGTACCATAAGCAGCTGCTTCTCCAGCTTGAAGGACAAGCTGGTTTCTATAGTCCACACCCAGAGAAAGCAGAGAGGGGAGGCAGGCCAGATGGGCCAGACAACCCTAAAGCCAGCTTCACCCCTGATCTTCCACAGTTAGGTTAGGAGAGCCAATAAATTCTACTTACTTAATTTCACAGGGTCATGTAAGGATTCCATCACTAGAAGCCAGAATTCTAACTAGTACAGACCCAGAATTGTATTACGGTAAGAACTCTTGGAATTCATGGGGTCCAAATCCTCATGTTACGTATTAGAACATGGATTAGTTAGAGAGGTTAAGTATCTTGCCCCAAGTCCCACAGTGAAATGTAAGGAAGCAAGACACTGTGGCGGATTCTGTAGGCTGGCTCACTCTGCACTCATTCTAACTCCTCTGTTGCTGCCTTACTGTACTATAGAGGCTGGGAAGTGAAAACATTTCCCCATCTTCCTGAAGCTAGAGTGCAGGCATGTGGCCTAAGCTTCTGACAAACAGAGGTGTCTGCCCAGGACTCGGATGAGAAATAAGCATCAAGATGGAATTTGTGTCTTCTGGGGAGCACGGAGGTGGAGCCACGTGGTTCTGAAAATACTGAGGTGGACTCTCTGGCATGCTGTGTCCTACCTGCCGAGGGCAGCAGTAGTTCCCTAGAACCCTTGGTATTTTCAGTTTTTGTTTTGACTGACTAGTATCCAAAATGGTTGATACGGTGCTCCCAAAATTCTGTAAGCCACCTAATAACTTCCAATAAACCCCTTTCGGGTTAAATTAGTTAGAATGCTGTTTGAGACCAAGAACTTTGACTTATATAGAATTTAGTCCCTGGAAATGGGGTGCAGCCACCTGAAATGTAGAACGGATTACTGAAGGAGGTGGGGATTTGAGAAAAGATACAAATATTGGAAACCAGAAAGCTGTAACTCTTGTGATGCAGTAACATCAAAGTGTGTCAAACTGTCCCACCCTGCCCCTCGGAAAGCAGACAACGTGCTGCAAATGTTCTGTTAGAAGAAAGAGTAAGAAAAATTTGGTCCAGCATGAAAATGTTTAATAGGATTTCGAAAATAATTCTTTGTACGCAGAGTTCCCAAATTCCTTCCCAAAATCAGTATCATTTAGATTATTTTTAACTACGTCAAAAACTGAAAAACCAACCAACCAACCACATAAAACCCCCAGTGACTTAAACAAAGTGGGGGTTTATTTTTCTCAGACCTGCAGAATAATGGACATTAAAGGGAGAATTAATCTATCCATTTCATGTGCTCAACAGAGCAATCCTAAATCATCAATTAAAAAGTAAAACGATGGGTAATATGCTAAGAAGAGACAGGAGGAGGTCACATGCTGCAGAAATATTTCATTAAGATCACTTTGTATTTTGCTCATGTATATTGCTTTGTAGCTCAAAACATACTTTCACATTCTCTCCCCTGTCCCTTTCCATCCTTCTTCCTTCCTCTTGTCCCCTTCTCCCTGCTGTCTTTCTTTTACAACCCCACAAACCTACATGCATCTGAGCAAGCATGATTATTATTCTTCTCATTTCAGACACAAAGAAACTGAGACTTTAAAAAGTTTGGTAACTTCCTCAACATTGAAAATTATGTTAACTAGACTCAGTATTAACCATAAATAGAATAGATCCAGGTTTTTGTGAGGCCTGAAGCTAATACAAGTTATGGAAGCTTTGTTAAAAACTGCAGATAAAATATCTTATTCTTAGAAAACTTACAAAAACATCTTGACTGTGTGAGCACAATGGTAAGGCCTTGGAAGGGGACCACACCAATGAGGGGCCTGGAGTTTAAATTTCACTAGCTTTACAGTTAATATGCCTCTGCTCTTTCTATAACGTGGTTCTTGTTTTAATTTTAAAATGTAATATTATTTTGTATTTTAACTATATTTTAGCCAACATTCGATTTCTCTCTCCATTTTTAATCATCGGGAGAGGAAGAGGGAAGTGGAAACAGAACAGAAATTTTCCCCTGGCACCAGTATTTCTAGGAAATTTTACTTCTCTTTATAGGAGTCAGAGTAGGGTTCCTGCCTTCTCCCATCCCCCACTTCACCTCTCTAAGCCTCAACCTCTCCGTATTTAAACATGGAAGCTTGAGGTATATCGAATGTTATAGTCCAGTGAAAAATTAGTTCATTGGATAAACTGAACTGAAGCCTTGAGAGGCCTGGTCCTTTAATGATCAGATCCAAATCAAGTCCATTTCAGTTGTAGTGTGCGGAAAGCAAGGGCAGTGTGGGGAAAGCAAGGGCACTGTGGTAAAGGGCCCAGTGTGCCTAGGGCTGCACAGCCCAGGACACATGAGACCTCTTTAGAGGGCACTAGGAAGGAAGAGAGGCTTGCGGGGACATGGGATCCTAATGTAGAGGAAACTGGAACATAGGATGGGGATGCAGGTGGGGCAGAGGAAACCAAAGTGAACTTTACCAGGTTTTTTTCTGTCTGGGATCATCACCCTAAATTCACAATTCAGCTTACACAGAATCTACAAACATATACTGCCATAATTAATGTCAGCACTTGATAAACTTGAAATAAATATTACAAAAATGGGTATATTCTTGACAAATGCTTAAAGGTATTAACATGCTCACAGGCAGCAGGTTATGAGTATTGCATAACCCATGTATTTAGCACACATTGCCAAGTTCAGAAGGGCTAACTAATGAGTATCATAACTGATGATGGTGAGAAAAAGTAGAGACTCTTAGAGTTGTAACTGTAAAAATATGTGTAGTTACCCATTCCAGTCCCTGCTAGTGCAGTTTCTCTAGAAAAGATTTCCACTGCCATCTTCTGTTTATGATGGACTGAAAGACAAAAGACACCTTCTAAAGGACCGTAATAACAAAGAATAGAAACTAACAAGAGCATACCTCAAAATAAGGCACAAATTTGTATTTGCATACCATGAAAGAGCATTTTTTTCTGGGTCATCTAGTTTGTATGATTACTATGAGAAGGTTATAAATTTTTGTAATTATGCCACACATGTACACACAAGATAAACAACTTACTGAAAACAGAGGATAACCCTTTTGGTCCCTCATAAATTAATAATAATTAATTTTATCTTAGGAATACAACTTGACACACAATAATGAAAGCTAGAAAAAAATCATATAAATTATATTTGTAAAATTCCTTTGTTTTTTACTCTTTTATTTAACTGATACCCATTGCTTTGTTTCATATGACTGCTGATTTTAAATGATATGTATGTAACTGAGACAGCTCTATTTCCTCTATAGAGTATCTGCAACAAAGATGGTCTGTAGTAAATAGATAGCTTATTATAGAATAAATCAGTTCTCCTAGTTTGAAACAGACTTATGGTATAAATATGTACATTAAAGTATCTAATTTGAAAATTTTAAGAACTTGTCAATCACCTTTGAAATGTGCAGTCATTTGGAAAGTCTCTGGAAAGGAGTGGAAGTCTAAGGTCTAGTTCTGCTTCTTATTCTAAATACCTGCTTGTCCTTAATTAAGTCAGTTCATTTCTTCATAACTTAATTTGCCTTTTCGGCAAAACACAGATCATATCAGCTTCCTAAGTGCTTCTTAGAGCTATTATGATGAAAAAAAATGTTCCATCAGATGTGAAACACTTCTTCAAGTACAAATATGAGATATAGTTATTTTAATCAGACCAATAATCAAAGTAAATTAATACCTTTCCCATCATGTTTATTGTCACTCACTCTCTCTCAAAATCCAACTTAAAGAATCCATTTGACAATTTAATTATGTGACTAAATTGGAGTTTATAGTCAGACCATGAAAAATAGACATAGGTAATGTTTTCAAGCATGTTTAATAAAGAGAAACTTACAAGATACAATAAGTTGCTTTCATAATAAATAACCTTTCATTTTAAGTTCAATATTTACTAATTTTAATTTAGTGAATTAAAATATGGCAATTACACTGCCAGGCAACTAACAGAGCACATATTCCTGTGTATAGAGAAATATCCGCACTGTGACGCCTGGTTTCTGTTTCTGGATTTTATCAAGCATCTAAAATTTCCCATATAATTCTAAATAGTCCCTAAGTTTATGTCTTGACCTTACCACACACTAGTCTACAAAATAAAACACAAGAAGTTCTTGTCATTTTTAGAGCTTGATAAATAAAATTAATAACAGATTGCAAAAATTATGAAAACAAGAAGCCTTTCTCCAAAAAGTGTTTTGAAGTAAAATATTTAGCCAATAGTTTGTTGAGTTTATTTTTATATAGAAGAGTAAATTTTCTAAATAGAAAAACGTCTCAATAAAGATACTTGAGTTATTTTTACTTTAATATATCTAGGACTCTAAAATACATTATTTTAATTTTATTCTCTTCTAAAATTTAATAAATGATCTTTTCATGTTATTCAAGCTTTCATAATTCAGCTACGACAGTTTTATATATTTTTAATTGATTCTTTACACTAAATGAATTTTGTGATAAATGGAACTAGACTGTAGGGGATTCAATATCTGGCCCTGTCCCTCGTTAGCTGCAACATCTTATGTATGACTTAGGTATAACCTCATGTATATATGTAGGACTCAATCTCTCTACGCCTCTTTTCTCATCTTTAAAAGGAACTACGAACAGAACCTACCTAAAAGAAAGTTGTCAGGGCACTAAATGACTTAACACAAATAAAACACTTAACAATAGCGCCTGCCACATACTAATCCCTCAATTAGTGTTAATTTGTTTTTTAATAATAATGTTTGTTATTATGCTATAAGAGCATAATTATTATTATTTTTTTACAGAAATCACTTCTGGATTTTGATACTTGAAACTAGGACAAAGTGATCTTCCCTCTTTCTAACCCTTTCCCTTTTAACATTCACCCACTTTTGTCTAGTGCAAACCATATACCAATGTAAACTGCTTCACAAAAGCCATAAAAATTACTTTAGTAAAATGTTATTCAAATTAACTTTTGTTTAGAACTTACTTAAATTATATGCATTGATACCAGTTTAGTTTTGAGAAATACCAGTCAGATATTTGTAGAATGTCCCCTACCTACATTTTAAAAATATCAACTTCCACAGGATAAACAATAGAAGATCATTTACACAATTGGCAGTTTCTGGTGTTTAATAAACAAGGGTTTATGCTTCAATTCAGTGATTTAGGGGATATGATGTTGAAGGCTTAGAGAAAATAATAAAAATTAATAACATTCTATATCCATCACATCAGGAACAGGAAAGTCTCTTTTCATTCCATTAAAACAGAGCACACGATCAACCAGGTGAAGGTAATTAACTCTGCACTGCAAGTATTCCTATTTATGCAATTTAAGGAAAAGTCATCACATACTGTACCTCGAGTCAAGAAAACAATGGCTTTAGTTAACACCTGTTTCTAGGAATTGAGCTAATGGTTTATTTTAAAAGCAAATTTCTACCTCTGTTACTTTCAGCAACTTAAGCTGGTATTCAATACATATAAATTTTAAGTGTTAATTGTTATTGTTATTGTTGTCATTGTTATTTATAAACATTTTCCTATCTTTGATTAACATTTATTAAATGAAAATAATCACTATAGACCAAAATGTCTATAAATAATCCCAGAATTAGTAAGATGACCAAACCTTCGTGAATATGATTACTGGCATTAAAAGTTCTAAAAAATATTCAAACAGATAAAAGATGTGAATAGAAAGCTTATAAGTAATACAAGATGTGTAATAATGCTGCTAGGAATAAATATATGGATAGAGGAAAGAAACTACCTAGACAAGGTCAAATTTATTATCCATAATTTAATAAGATATTGATTATACTTTAATTCTCTCATTTATATTTTTAAAGTAATCTCAAAAAGCCTCAAATTAAACTAGATTAATGAAATTAATTTTTAATGGGTAGTCACAATAGATTAAGACATGCTTTATAGTTAAAAATTTTTTTTAAGATAAGCAAAAAAAATCTTAATTCTGAATATTTGATCCCTTTTCTAGTGAAAAGCTAGAAAACTTTCAGCAAAAATAGAATATTACTTCTGTTTTTACTGATAAAGAACAGCATATATTAAGAAGTAGAAGTTGAAAATTTAAAGATTCACAGTTCCTTAAGAATTTTTTAAGAAAATCACATACGTGACACCCCAGTGCTTGAACATAGCACAAATATAAAGGTGGAGCAAGAAAGGAAGAGAATAGAATGAAAAGAGACTTTCTTGTTCCTGATGTGATGGATATAGAATGGTATTAATTTTTATTATTTTCTCTAAGCCTTCAACATCATATCTCCTAAATCACTGAATTGAAGCATAAACCCTTGTTTATTAAACACCAGAAACTGCCAATTGTACAAATGATCTTCTATTGTTTATCCTATGGAAGTTGGTATTTTCAAAAAGTAGGTAGGGGACATTCTACAAAATATGGTTTGCCATAGACAAATATAAAATTCAAACTTGTCATAGAAATACAGATCTTTTAAAATACACACACTGTATATATATATATATAAAATAAACTTGTCATAGAAATATAGACCTTTTAAAAAATACACACTGTGAAATAGAAGTAGTCCAAAATGTATAACCCATTAAACCTTAACTGGGTTGGCCTGTACAATAAGTATTTTTATACATAAGTGATTAACAATATGCCAACACATTCATTTATACTGGAATAAGAAATCTGTTCTGCTTACTCCATTTAAATTTATTGTAGCTTATGCCACATATGTTTTTTCAGATCCTAAAATCTGAATGTGAACCTCACTATAATCTAAACCAGCTTCTTGAAACGTAACACTAGTTCTGCACCAAAGTATATGTAATAAAATATATCCATGAATGTGTGGTAGATCAATTCTAACATTCCCTTAGTTTGGGTTCCTGATAGAGTTTACCCATTTTGGATCTCAATAACAATTACAGTTAAAGCAACAGGGCAATCTAAATCATTTAAGGCTTATAAGTTATATTCTAGTATAGTTTTAGCTTCAAACCACATTTGATATGTCATAGACTCAATATCCTTATTTTGTCATTAGTCTAAAATTGAACATTTCCCCTTTGATCCAATAGTTACATATGCCAGCGCTTTTTATATCTATAAAGGATTAGAATTTATTTTTGTTGTTGCTTAAGGTTTAATTATTAATTTGTTGTACTACACATGGCCAAAAAAGGGGTCTATAAAATATCTGCTTTCTGAAAAGAATTAAGGTAGTTTTGAGGATACTTGGAAACAAGGTGTATGCTTGGTTTGATGGGGGAATGTTCTATCTGCAGCTATGAATTCAATACTATTATATTATTCTAATATTTTGTGTCCTGTTAAAAATCAACTTGATAAAATATTAAGATATGGTAAAAATCTTCCATAGTAATTGTATTTCTCTTCGTTTCTCTTTAGGTATCTAATAGATCTGACTTAAGTGCCTCTGTGCTATGTTATTTGGCACATGAAAATGCATGACCACGTTATCTTCATTGTGAATATTTTACGCCACTTGAATCCAGCTTTACTATTGTTAACGCAAAATATCTGAGACAAGTCTCAGCCAGTTTAGGAAGTTTATGTTGCCAAAGTTAAGGATATGCCTGTGACACAGTCCGATTGTCCTAAACAGTTCCCAGCCTGACTTTTCCCTTTAGCTTAGTGATTTTGGGGTCCCAAAATTTATTTTCCCTTCACACTATTAATACCATCTCCATCTCCACTATTTTTCCCCCTCCCATTCTCCTCCTCCTCCTCCTTTTCTTGCTCCTCTGCCTTTTTCTTCTTGTTCCGTGCCCATTCTGGTTTTTTTTTCAACTTTCCTGCACTTTTTTGTTTCAATGTGCTTCCCAGCACTTAGTTGGGCTCTGATTTTAATCAACTGCAAGACACTATCTGTCTTGCAGTATTATAGTATTTGTTTATTTCCACTATTCTAATTTTGATTTAACTTGAGACATCTTGTTTTATGCTTTCTCTTTTAACACTTACTTTGTTTTCTCATGTTTTGGAAGAGGTATTTATTGATTCAACAATATTTACTCAAGAATAAATGTCATATATTGTGACATATACCTATGTTTTCATTGCTTTTATTTTATTTTAAGTGCCTAAGAAGGTAACTCATACTCATCTTTCAGGTTTCTCTGTTTTCAAAAAAAAATTACTTAGGTAAAGCCTTACTTTGCTGCCAAATTAAATTATGTTCCCCTATTATTCTTTTTCACAGCATCCTTTAATTTTTCCTCAAAGTATTTTGCAATTCTTTGTTTGTGAGGTTATTAGTATAATTTCTATCCACTCACTACATCCCAAGAGGTTAGGTACCTTGTGTGTCCTGCTCAGAACTATATACCAAGGGCCTAGAAGGGATTGCCATGTAGCAAGGCACTCAATAATGTTAGTTAAAAGAATAAATGACTGAATGTATGAATTAACGATATAGATAGTCTTAAACATTCAACTGTGATTATCTTGAATTTAAAAACACTTTGATTCTCTACTGAGTGATGAGATCAAAGACTGTTTTCATTTATTTTCCTGTTTACATTTTTTTGTATTATTAAATGTTTTATGATGTTCATTTTTGAAAAAAAATGACATGATTTGATATGAGTCTCTTTTCATATAAAGAAAAAATAGAATTTTTTAAATATCTCTCACCAACACTTATTTTTATTAATAGGGCTTGCCTTTTTAAACCTAGGTTTTCTTGATTAACTCTATAACATACTTTAAATACATGATATAATTCAATTTGGTTACAGAAATAATACAAAATTTCTTTATCTGGATATTTTTAAGAAAAAGAGAAGTGTCTAAAACAAATGAAGAGCTCTCCAGACACCAAACAGTTGGATGTAACATGTAAGTGGCAAATAGGTCTGTTAGTTCTGATTCCACCACCTGTGTACATTATGTTACCTTTCTGAACATAATCTCTAAGTCAAGACAAAAAATGTACAGGTTTTTCTGGTAAAACTTGGCATCTATAAAACTTTCCTAATACTTAACTTTTTTCTAGGTCTGTGCGTTACTAAACTGTAAAGTTGTTAGTATAGGGCTCATTTGTATTGCCAGTAGTACCTGTTGCTTAATGTATAATGTGCTGAGTGAATACATAAATACTCTGGGAGAAAACATTGACTGTAATAATGACTTTTGTCAAATAATTTGATCACTATGACACTTTAAATTTAGTTAGTCCCAGCTACTCAGAAGGCTTAGATGGGAGGATCATTTGAGCCCAGGAGTTTCAGTGCAACCTGGGCAACACAGCAAGACCCTGTCCATAAAAAAAAACAATTAGCTAGACTGGACGTTCGGTCTTTTTGCTTCACATACACACCTTTAAAAAATACTTTCAGCTGTTCTCATTTCCTTTTCCATTGCTTTGGGGCTCTCCTATCATGCAGACTGCAGTTGCTCTGAAACCATCATGGTAACAAGCATTCGCCTGAACCATTTTTGAGTCAAAACTAACTTTAATAAACAATTTAAAATTGTCAAAGCTTACAAATATAAACAATGAGATTACATAGGAATAACATGCCCTAGAATGGATCATACTACTGTACATGAGAAGCTTTTTTAAATAAACAAAAACTATTCTAAATATATAAATCAATAATTATGTTTTCTTAAATAATGAAATAATAATGATATTTACAGAGATAAAATAGAGATTTGAAAAAACTGTGGGAGATTATAATAGAAACATAATTTCATTGTAGAAAATTAGAAAAATACAATTAAAAACTGTTTTAATCCTATGTGGCTTTATTTTTTAATAAAGGCATATATAGAGAATACATCTATAGCAAAATTTCAAGTAACTCATGGCTCTAAAAGTGTAACTGCAAACTTTAGCATAAATGTTATTGATACTGGTTAAAATTATATGCAGAAAATTTGAAAGGCTGGCACAATGCAAACTGACAAAAGCCCAAAACAAAAACCAAAAGTAAATTGAGACTTAAAGTTCATTATAAGAAATGTGTTCTTTAAAAACTATTTTTGAGTCCCACTGAATTTAATAAACAATTGAAAATATTCACTAGTGGCCGGGTGCAGTGGCTCATGCCTGTAATCTTAGCACTTTGGGAGGCCGAGGCAGGCGGATCATGAAGTCAGGAGATCAAAACCATCCTGGCCAACACGGCGAAACCCCGTCTCTACTTAAAATACAAAACATTAGCTGGGCATGGTGGCAGGCGCCTGTAGTCCCAGTTACTCAGGAGGCTGAGGCAGGAGAACCAGGAAGGCAGAGGTTGCCGTGAGCCGAGATCATGCCACTGCACTCCAGTCTGGCAAAAGAGCGAGACTCTGTCTCAAGGGGAAAAAAAAAAAAAATTCACTAGCTAAATACTACATAACTAATTACAGCTGCCTTTGAGTGTTATTTCTGAATTCAGACAAATATTCTGTGGCTTCAAATTTCACTGCTGTTTAAGTGATTGGAAAATCACGCTTTTTGTTCTACTTGGGCAGAGAATTTGGAAACAGTGTATTGGAAGCAATCTAATGTCTAACAAGAGTAGGATGGTTACATACACTTTGATATATGTGTTCAATGAAATGCTATGAAGCGCTTTTGAAATAATGTTAAAGAGTATGTAATCATGAAGAAATACTCCTAATGTTAAAATTTTTTAAAAGATGCAAAAATGGTACACAATATGATCCAAATATTATGTGTATTTATGTTCACGTGACTGCCAGCCTTTTTTGTTTATGCTAGTTTAAGCTTCTGTCACTTGAAATAAAAAAGTCCCAATTAACATATTTTTAGATTATTAATAGAAAATTAATAAAATTTTATTTTAACTTTCTATTAGTCAGCTTTTTTAGCTGACACTTTACTATTTGAAACAATATTGCTTTGTAGCTTTCAAAAGCCTGTGTTAAAGTAAAAGGACAAAAGAAAAAATTTCATTACACTGTTAAAAAATGCTTAAATTTGATGTTTTCTGCCATTTGCATATCATGTCTAAAAAATACATCATCTTGAGTATCATGCAGATATGTTCCTGTATTAACATTTCAAAATCCAAACTAAACTTCCCTTCTATGATGCTTTATAATTGTAGTACCAAAGTATACACCTGGAGTTTAAGATAAACAATGAAAACCTCAAATTTAAGAAAACTGCCATCTTGGAAGAGTAAGTAACTATATATATATATATATATACCAATTAATATTAATCAATGTCATGAAACCAAAGATAGTCTGTGGACTTATCCCCCAACTAAGGTTTCTCCCTACTTTCTATGGGAAATTAATATTTTACCCCTAACTAAGTCTCCCCATGTATTGTACATAGGGAAATTAGTGTGCTCCTCCCTCAACTCTTAACAGGTAACGAAATAAAACAGGAGAGAAGATCTTATTAACAAAAGACTGAGCTAGGTACAATAGTGCATGCCTGTAGTCCCAACTACTTGGGCAGCTAAGGCCAGAGCCTAGGAGTTCAAGTCCAACCTGCACAACAAAGAGAGATCACATCTCTAGGAAAAAAAAAAATAAGGAAGAAGGAATAGACCTCTTTGCTCTTTGAGCTTACACTTCCCTACCTTCCAAAGCTAAACATTGGAGAGAAAAACAGCATCACTTATTTTAACATAAAATCTGTTCCTACTTTTAATGAAAAAATTATTTTTAAAAATAAATGAAAAAATGCAAAAATTAAAGAATGAAGGATATTAGAAAGTCCCTTAAAAGGAATAATAACTTATTTTGACTTCTTATACATTTAAATTACATCACTGACAAGTTCACAGCAGGTCTTTTTTTTTTTATTATTATACTTTAAGTTTTAGGGTACATGTGCACAACGTGCAGGTTTGTTACATATGTATACATGTGCCATGTTGGTGTGCTGCACCCATTAACTGGTCATTTACTTTCGGTATTTCTCCTAATGCTATCCCTCCCCGCTCCCCCCATGCCACAACAGGCCCAGGTGTGTGATGTTCCCCTTCCTGTGTCCATGTGTTCTCATTGTTCAATTCCCACCTATGAGTGACAACATGCAGTGTTTGGTTTTTTGTCCTTGCGATAGTTTGCTGAGAATGATGGTTTCCAGCTTCATCCATGTCCCTACAAAGGACATGAACTCATCCTTTTTTATGGCTGCATAGTATTCCATGGTGTATATGTGCCACATTTTCTTAATCCAGTCTATCATTGTTGGACATTTGGGTTGGTTCCAAGTCTTTGCTATTGTGAATAGTGCCTCAATAAACATACGCGTGCATGTGTCTTTATAGCAGCATGATTTATAATCCTTTGGGTATAGACCCAGTAATGGGATGGCTGGACAAATGGTATTTCTAGTTCTAGATCCCTGAGGAATTGCCACACTGACTCCCACAATGGTTGAACTAGTTTACGGTCCCACCAACAGTGTAAAAGTGTTCCTATTTCTCCACATCCTCTCCAGCACCTGTTGTTTCCTGACTTTTTAATGATCGCCATTCTAATTGGTGTGAGATGGTATCTCACTGTGGTTTTGATTTGCATTTCTCTGACGGCCAGTGATGATGAGCATTTTTTCATGTGTCTGTTGGCTGCATAAATGTCTTCTTTTGAAAGTGTCTGTTCATATCCTTCACCCACTTGTTGATGGGGTTGTTTTTTTCTTGTAAATTTGTTTGAGTTCATTGTAGATTCTGGATATTAGCCCTTTGTCAGATGAGTAGATTGCAAAAATTTTCTCCCATTCTGTAGGTTGCCTGTTCACTCTGATGGTAGTTTCTTTTGCTGTGTAGAAGCTCTTCAGTTTAATTAGATCCCATTTGTCATTTTTGGCTTTTGTTGCCATTGCTTTTGGTGTTTTAGACATGAAGTCCTTGCCCATGCCTATGTCCTGAATGGTATTGCCTAGGTTTTCTTCTAGGGTTTTTATGGTTTCAGGTCTAACATTTAAGTCTTTAATCCATCTTGAATTAATTTTGTATAAGGTGTAAGGAAGGGATCCAGTTTCTGCTTTCTACATATGGCTAGCCAGTTTTCCCAGCACTATTTATTAAATAGGGAATCCTTTCCCCGTTGCTTGTTTTTGTCAGGTTTGTCAAAGATCAGATAGTTGTAGATATGCGTTATTTCTGAGGGCTCTGTTCTGTTCCATTGGTCTATATCTCTGTTTTGGTACCAGTACCATGCTGTTTTGGTTACTGTAGCCTTGCAGTATAGTTTGAAGTCAGGTAGCGTGATGCCTCCAGCTTTGTTCTTTTGGCTTAGGATTGACTTGGCAATGCAGGCTCTTTTTTGGTTCCATATGAACTTTAAAGTAGTTTTTTCCAGTTCTGTGAAGTAAGTCATTGGTAGCTTGATGGGGATGACACTGAATCTATAAATTACCTTCTGAGCACATCCTTGTACAATGGAAAGATATTTATCTGCCTGACCAATGATACTGTCATTACTAAGTCAAATGTCAAAAAAGCTGGACTAATGATAGCTTAACATAGTTCACATTCTGATCTTATAAATGCAGTTATGTGCCATTTCACACATCTATGTCCATTAAATATAATCTCTCTCAACTAAATAAATCTAAAACACTGCTTAGAATGAATAAATTATGATCTGAAAATAAAGTGGGTGTTAAAAAGAATTGATTCTAAGGAAAGAGATGCATCTCAGAAGATAAATAGTATATACGACTGCATTTTTTTGGTAAATGTAATAGATGTATAGTTTTTTTGTCAAGAGAAGCAGAAATCTTAGCTACTATCTTCAAACCACTGAGAGCTTTCTGAAATAATTTATTCAATCTAAGTTATTTAAAGATATTTTGGAATAAAGAAACTCTTTAAATTCTCTAAATAAAGATTATAAAAGTATTAGAGTTTTATCACACTTTGATCTTTAGCAGTTATTTGATCAAACAAAATATTTTGTTTCTGGGAGCATGAAATTGTTCAAGGAGCAAGGGTTTGAGAGTCTAAGAGAACTAAAGTTGAATACTAGTTAGCTGTGTTTTCTTGGGCAAGTTACTCAAACTTTGTCTCCCTTCTCTATAAAATGAGCATGATTTTGTCTTCTGTAAAATGAACTTACATTGGAAGAAAGTTGTCAGGATTAAGTAACTCTAAGGAGCCTATCTCACACCATAGCAATAATAGTAGACTAGTTAGTGCTCAGTTAATTCTCTTCTTTTCCCAAGTGACCTTTCAGAAACCACATACATTTTGACCTGAATTCCTAGCTGAAAACTATTTAAAGTCAAAGACATTATAGCTGATTCATATTCTAAAATCTGAAATGAACTTTTAAAACCCCCTAGTATTTAAATGATTAGAAACAATATTATTTCAATTGATTCAATAAAGTTCTCTTAGAATTTGTTGTATTTTATGACCCAATTAGTTTTGTCTTTCTTTTTTTTTGAGATAGAGTCTCACTCTGTCACTCAGGCTGGAGTGCAGTGGTGCGATCTTGGCTCACTGCAACCTCTGCCCCACCAGCTTCAAGCAGTTCTCCTGCCTCAGCCTCCCCAGTAGCTGTGACGACAGGTGCCTGCCACCGCGCCTGGCTAATTTTTGTATTTTTAGTAGAGACAGGGTTTCACCATCTTGGCCAGGCTGGTCTTGAACTCCTCACCTCATGATTCACCCGCCTCGGCCTCCCAAAGTTAATTTTGTCTTTAAATATATACACAAGAGCTGGTTTAAAATCAAGGTGTCAGTCAAACACAAATATAACTGAAACTCTCTGTTCAGGCATATAATGTAACTAAACAGCCTGCAGTGCAACAAAGCCAGCAAAGTAAACACTGCCAAGAGATAACTGGCCTTGTTCCCTCTGTTGAGCATGTCAAAGTCCTGCTTCTGAAAATATTTGAAAAATCTGCCTATTTTCCATCTGCTGTATTTCTCAGAGGATAACTGAAAGTTCATGTGTAAGTTCACTGCAAGTTCAAATGTGTCATATCAGGTCATTTACAGGGTAAAAGTTCACTGGGAGTTTATTATTCGTTTTTAAAGACTGCAGTGGAGAAAGAATAAATATACTAATTGAAGCTATTTTATATTATGACCACTGCATTTTTAAACATCATAAATAAAAATTACAAGTTTTAAAAGGCCATGTGCTATGCATAATTACAATTAAAAGGACCCTACAGAAGATGATAAAGATACTATTCCTTGGGACTATCCTTAGTGAAAAAATTATAGATAAGTCTTGGTTGTTCTAGATATTATTTAAAGTAAAACAGTTGTCATATTTTACATTTTGTATTGCATATTTTATTTAAACCACACATTTAAATGCAGAAATATAGAGACATAGAAAAAAGAGGAAACATCAGAAATAATAAGTGGATATCATCTTACTATTTAGCTGAATAGAGATGATTTTTAATTCGCAGTTGCTAAGAATGCTATTTAAGGTACAATATTTGTGGGATGTTTATAGTAGAAGTAGGCAGCCAGGAGAAATATGTCTTATTTGGAATAAATCACTGAATCATTAAGAAAAAACCTAAACCACACAGCATTCGTCAATATGATTTGAATCACTGAGGCAAAATTAAGATTTTTCTTTTGGATAAAACCATAATATTTTTTAAGATTTAGAAGAATATTTTTCAAGGAAAATAATAGTGAACACATATATACATTTAGGGGATAATTTCTGGCTTCAAAGATTAAAAATATTTTCTTTCTATAAAGTACTGGTACATCACAGTGGGTATTTGAAAGCTGAGGCTAAGTCCTGCCAGCTTGGGTTCATAACAATCTTCCTTTTACTGCAAGCAGTAAGAAGAGAGTGGGGATCAATCTGACCGCCAATGCAGTAAGCCCTGGAATCAGTCTGAAGTCACCATGGACCAGAGGAATTTTGTCACCGATAGAGAGTCATGACTGCAAGTTGGCCAGGTTCCTGGCGTTTTGAACAAAGAATTGAACAAAACTCCCAGCAAAGCAAAGAAAGAATGAAGCAACAAAAGAAGGAACACAGGGATTTATTGAAAAACGAAAGTACACTCCATAGCGTGGGAGCCAACCTGAGCAGCAGCTCAAGTGCCCGGATACAGAATCTTCTTGGGTTCAAATACCCCCTACAAATTTCCCATTGGCCACTTCATGCTCACTTCACGTACATGAAGCGGTAGCTAGCAGTCAGTCTGATTGGTTGCAGAAAGCAGCCAATCAGAGGCTGAAGTGAAGTTACAAAGGTCACACTCCTGCGCAAGCATCTGATTGGTTGCGCCAAGCAACCAATCAGATGCTAGGGTGAAGTTACAAAGTTATACTTCTATGCAAATGAAGACTCGGCAGGCAACCAGTCTGATTGGTTGTGGACAGCAGCCATTCAGAGGCTGGAGTGAAGTTACAAAGTTGCAAATGAAGACTCCACCAGCAATCAGTCTGATTTGCTGTGGACAGCCAATTTCCCATCTGCCAGTGCAGAAAAGGTGGGGGGTTTACAAAGTGAGTAGCCGCTGGTCCTTTTGTTATTTAGGCTTGGAAAGTTAGGGTTTTCCTTTAAATTAGTTATAGGAAGTCAGCGTGAAACGGCCTTAGGTTCTCAGCCTCCAGACTCTATTCTCCTGCCTCAATTTGACTGGGCAGGAACCAATCATGCATAGCGCTTGCCAGGCCTCCCAGCTCATGCAGTCCTATTCCTCTGACTTCTTTCCCTTGAATCCCTGCTCCATCCAGCTAGGATTCTCATCACAAGGAGCCAGACGCCGTTTCCGCACCTTTAGAAAAACATTAACTGAATTTCTATACGAAATACATCCATTCCTCTCAGTATGATTTCTTTATCTTTGGCTCCCAGGCATCATCTGAATTTAGTCCTTATCACACACTGATAAGTCATCATGTGATTTTAAGAGGTGTAATATTAAATATAGAAACTGAATATGTAAAATACACAGTTTGGATAATTGTTATTCATCAAATGTATCATTTGGTATAATGTAGCCACTTTTCCTCGGATTCTCCTCCTGGCTGCTCTGAACCATAGTTTTCCCTGTTTTTCACCTATGCACAATATATGATTTCCCATACTGGAAAGCTTTCCGATGGACAGTTCCTCATACCCAAGCCCCCCTGCTTGGGGGGGATTGTCTTCTTTGGTACAGTGGCTGAACAGCTATCGTATGAAGTTGGTGATCCTCAGCAGATGTAACTTGTGACTCTTCCCAAGTGTCTCCTACTGAAATTCCAGGTCAGTGAATAATATGGTTTTGTTCTTAAACGTTACATCTACACACACACACACACACACACGCACGCACACACTCCAGTCTTTATCATACAAAACTGCAATTGTTTCCAACTTCATACCATCCTTTCTAAGCAAAGTGTGGAAGTAAGTTGACAATTCTGTGATATTATCCATGGCACATATCTCTAAAATGTATTGAAGAACAATAAAACAAGATCTATAAAAATGGAAAAACAAACCATTTTCTTAGATGGAAAGACATTATAATAAAATGTCAGTTCTACCAAGTTAATTATATACTCAAAACAAATCCAGTTAGAATTTCCTCCTTTGGATAAGATAATCTTAAGGCTCATGTGAAAGAACAAATGCCAAACAATAGCAAAAAATATATATATTTTTTGAGATGGAGTTTCGCTCTTGTTGCCCAGGCTGGAGTGCAATGGCGCGATCTCAGCTCACCACAACCTCCGCCTCCCAAGTTCAAGTGATTCTCCTGCCTCAGCCTCCCAGGTAGCTGGGATTACAGGCATGCACCACTACGTCTGGCTAATTTTTTTTGTATTTTTAGTAGAGATGCAGTTTCTCCATGTTGGTCAGGCTGGTCTTGAACTCCCGACATCAGGTGATCCACCCACCTCGGCCTCCCACAGTGCTGGGATTACAGGCGCAAGCCACCATGCCCAGCCACAAAAAAAATATTTTTTAAGAAAAGGGGATGAGGAAGGACTTGGCTTATCAGATAGGAGAATATTTTACTTTTATTTTTATTTTTTTTGTTGTATTTTTAGTAGAGACGGGGTTTCACCATGTTAGCCAGGATGGTCTCCATCTCCTGACCTCGTGATCCGCCCGCCTCTGCCCCGCAAAGTGCTGGGATTACAGGTGTGAACCACCGCGCCCGGCCTAGAACATTTTATTATACACCAATATGTTAATATGTGTATATGCATTCACATCCGTATATGATTATCTGAGGGTAAATACAAAGTATAAAAGAATACATGTTTGGTCTATAGCATGATTACATAGGCAGAAGCGATGCCAATAAGCAGGAGAGAGGAGCAGTGGGAAAAGAGGAGGCAAACAAAAAATAATAAGAGAACTACATTAAAGAAAGAAGATGGAATATGACCAGATTTATTCATTTATGAAAAATATTTTATATGGGTATATAGATAAAGAAATTAATTCTTTAAATGTTAAGAAGGAAAGGAGACAAAGTCGGAGAAAGGTGGAAAGGTGAGAACATGGTTGAGAAATGACTGGAGATGCAGGCTGGGCAGGCACTATAGCACAGCCTACTAGCTGTCTTCCTTAACTCTCTTATCACAGCTGCCCCTCTTAGAACTTATGTGCTTCCTCCCACTACCTCTGAATCAGATGGACAAGAACTTACTGAAACCCAACCCTAGACTTCCCAATACACTCAACTTTCCCCTTGTCCTTCCCTTCCCTTGATTCCTTGATTCTCCCCTTGTGGTCCTCTACATTCCCAAGCCACCTCATCCACTTCCATGGCTTCAACTATCAATGCTCACCCAATCTCAAATAAATCTTGATGTCTTTTCCTCACATTCCCCCAAGCTACTCTCAATTTCTTATATGTCCCACAGTTATAAGAAACTAAATGAAATACTGCTGCCCACTGCATTACTACTATTATTGCTACCATTAAAACCACCACCATCACTGCTACCACTGCTTTACTACCAATAGTATTGCCATTATTTCTATTTCTACTGGGTGCCATTTATTTAGTGTTTACTATATGTCAGGCACTGGACTCAGTCCTTACCAATGGCAGCTCATTTATTTTCCTCTTTAAACAACCCTGTGAGTAGGTGTTATCCTAATTTTATGCTTGAGGAACTCAAAAAGCTCAGGACTACGTCAACACAATTAAGATGGGCAACATATGTTCAGATGCAGTCAAAGCACATGTCTGTTCTTGTGTTAATATAGTATCAGTTTGATTCATTTACAGATATCTGATGAACATCTAAGTGCAAAACAGTAAAATAGAGGTGAACATTTTACTGAAAACTTACTACATATCTTTGGCACTGTCCTAAGTGCTTTACATTTATTATTTGATTCACACCACCTTCCCATTCTACAACCTAACTAGCACAGATTATCCTTATTCTACAGATCGGTGAATTGAGGCAAATAGAAGTTAAGTAGCTTGACCCATCTCACAGAGCTTATAAGTGGTAGAACTAGGATTCCAGGTAATGTCTGTAGAATTTATGGTTTTTAATTGCTATTTTGGGTGAGACAATGCTATTATGATAAATTCCTAGATATGCAAAGATCCATCTTTTCAAAGAGTTTACAATCTGGTTGAATAGATAAGACTATCACTACTTCAGAGTTGGAAAGCCCTGGCACTAGAAACAAGAGACAGGGAAACCAATTAAAAGACTATTATAGTCGCCTGCAGAATCTAGATGAGGAAACTGGCAAGTGTGAGTGAATATGAAAGAAACAAAATGAGAAATATTATGGATTGAAACACTGATCTCATCTGGTGATTGATGAGATAAAGCAGACCATAGAAGAGAACCAAGATTGCCTGAGTCTGAATTAGTGGCCGACTGACCATGTCACTGTCAGAAATGGACATGTCTTCAACAGGGGTGGATGATTTTGAGGTAAGAATAAAATTATAAATAAAGTCAAATCTATTCAGATCTTTCTAGTGGGGTTGTGATTCAGAAGCTCCGGTGAGACGCCAGGTCAGTAGGTATAAAGTGTGGGAGCCACCTGCTCTCCACACTGAGACCGCAGATGCTCCCCCTGAGGGAGACAATGCAGAGCCCTAACAGCAAAGGGCCTCAGCCACATTTCCCATCAGTGCTCTGACACTCGTGTTTTCACTGCTTCCTGCCAGTCTGGTGCCACATGACAGCCAAGGAGGAGGAAAAAGAAATGATAGAGAGAAGAGTGAGCAGTGCCTGTCTGGCTACAGACAAGGCTCACAGAGTAAAAGTGGAGACAAGACTGGAAAGATCTACTGTCTAGACTGACAGCGGTTTGGAATGTCATCTAAAGTCTCCTGTTTTCCACTAAAGCAGAGGCCTGTGTATTGTAAGCTTCATATTGGTAAATGAAGCCGACTTTGCTGGTGCATATTGCAGGAGCTTCTGAGAGCAAGGAGCTTCTAGGACCAAGGGCCTTCTGCTACTTCTAACAACGAAGACTTGGATGGAATAGGGTGAGAGAAAAAGTAAATCATGAGCATGTCCTGGCATTTAAGGTCTCAGTATATTCAGTGTATTCAGTCCTTAAAGGGAGAGGTTCTATTTCTATTTCAGGTACTATATTACTTTCCTAGGGCAGCCATAAAAAAGTACCAAAAACTGGGTGACTTAAAACAACAGGAATTTATAGGCTCACAGTTCTGGAGGCTAGAAATTCAAAATCAAGGTATCAGCAGGCAGGGCCATGCTCTCTCTGACAGTTCTAGGGGAGAATCCTTCCTTGCCCCTTCCCAGCTTCTGGTGTTTGCCACCAATCGCTGGTGTTCCGTGGTTTTAAATGCATCACTCTCATCTTCTGTCTGTCCAAATATCCCCTTCTAATAAGGACACCATTCATATTGGATGACGGCTCTCCCTAATGACTTCATTTCAACTTGATTACCTCTTTAAAGACCCTATCTCCAAATAAGGTCATATTCTTAGGCACTGGGGGTTAGGACTTCAACATACTGTATCTTTTTGGGGGGACACAATTCAACCCATAACAGATATAATAATGGTTTAATAACAACAAACATTGATAATAAGTTAGACATCATAATATTATAATAGAAGTACAAAAATATTGCATATTATTTTGAGGAAGTATGATCTTTAAGATGCCTTAAAGAATTCTCCTATGGCCAGGGGCGGTGGCTCATGCCTATAATCCCAGCACTTTGAGAGTCCAAGGTGGGCATATCACGAGGTCAGAAGATCAAGATCATCCTGGCCAACATGGCAAAACCCCATCTCTACTAAAAATACAAACATTAGCTGGGTGTGGCGGTATGTGCCCGTAATCCCAGCTACACGGGAGGCTGAGGCAGGAGAATCGCTTGAACCAGAGAGTTGGAAGTTGCCGTGAGCCAGGACCACACCACTGCACTCCATCCAGCCTGGGCAACACAGGGAGACTCCATCTCAAAGAAAAAAAAAAAAAAGAATTCTCCTACAACTTAGTTCTGGATCCTAATAAGATAATAATGACTAGGATATAACATTTGCTTGTGTTTCACAATACAAAGATATTTTTAAATGGGCACTACTTAAATACAGTTTAATGAACAATAAAATTTATAAAATGTAGATACTATATGCCATGCTATAACCTTTATATATATATATATATATATATATATTCATTGCTTCCTGTCAGTCTGGCACCAAATGATAATCGGTGAATATTCCACCAGTACCCTGAGTACCACATTCAGTGAGATTGCCTGCAAGACTGCAAAGCAAATAAAAAACTAGCATTACTATAGCGAGAAAAATGTTTTAATACATGTTCAAATATAAAAAGAATATATTACAAATAAAACTTTATTTTTAAAGGTATTATAAAAGCGGGGAAAATGATTTGATTTTATATCAGTGTCATTTTGGTTTTGCTTATTTGTTTTAATAAAATAAGTTAATGACACAAAAAGGCTAGCTTGGAACCATAGAAAAAACACTCATCTAAGAATCATGGGAACCTAGACCAGGTGGTAAAGTTTGAGCAAAATGAGGTTAATGTCATACCCATGTGGCTATGAGAATTAATAGATAAAACTATGTGAAAGCACCATGGAAACTGCAAAGTGTTTCAAATGTGAGTTATAACCAGACCTGAAGTGTGACATCAAATTATCATTACATTACAGGAGAGAAAATTTGTAAAATATTACTCTCCTACTTGGTATGTTAATAAGCTAAAACTAACCAACAAATTCATTATAAAACACATTCTTAAAAATCTTAATAACTGGAAGTTCATTATAGAGTTGAGAATTTTGGTCAGCATGGCATAATAAAATACTTTGGGTTTTAGTTATCTGACCTGTTTAAATCCAGGCTCTACCATTTAACTTACTCTGTAACTTAGGGAAATTATATAACCCTATTAGATACCAGTTTCCTCATTTCTGAAATGAGGATAATGATATCTACCTAATAAATACATTATGAGAATAAAAAATAATTTTATGAAGTACCTGCCACAAAGTACACACACACTCAGTAAGTGATAGTTACTTTGTTTCAGAAAATTTCTTAAGTCTTTGCATAAGGCTTATGTATTCAGCTTTAATAATCTGCAGCATTAAAAACTATAAATATATTCAGTTTAAAATGTATTTGGCATGATCTCCAGATATATGTATTTTAATTTCAAAAAAATGATTTTAACTGTAATATAGTTAAAAGTGTAAAATTACTGCTACTATTATTATTAGACTTACCTTATAGCTGCTAATAAATCAAAATAATTACTTTTCCAACCAAACTATGAAAAAACACAAAAGTTAATTATTTTATTTACAATATATCTTTTGTATGTAGAATATTTCTTTATATAAATATGTATTTGACATAAAGTAATTCATTCCTTTCTTAATCTAAAGTACAATTTAGATTACTGCCTAAATTCAAATAGAAAATTATATGGCAAAACTAACAAAAACCTTTTCATGAACACTTGAAGTAGAAATTTCACTCCAGAAAAGATGGAGTCACATGGACCAAATTTATATTCCTGATTGAAATAACCAAGAAAACAGACAAAATATGTAAAAAAACAGTTTTCAAGATACTGGACATCAAGCAACAAAGAAAAGTGATCCCTGAGATATAAAACAAATGAAGTGTGTGTATGATTGAGTTTCCAGGTCATGCACCAGGAGGAGGAACTCAGATGGAGAATGGCAGATTCCCCGAGTTGAGGAACTAAGAGTCCAAGAAGAACATAAACCGATTACCAGGAAGTCCAGGGAGTTCACAGGATAGATTGCAGGAGAGAGACAGGCATCTGCTATACAGATAGACAACTCTGGAGATCTACAGAGGGTCCCTCCGAAGTATTCCGCAGAGAACTAGCAGTGCATGGGTATGAAGAAGTTACTTAAGTCTGACAGTAGTGCCTATTCTCACTAGCTAGACTGGAAAACCTCACAATTCATAGGAAAATAGGTAGAATGCTCAGAAGGCTTTGCCTCAAAAGTGGGGAATTTAGTCCTAGACTAAATGCTGCTCTGGTCCTACCTAACATATCTTAAAAGCATGACCAAAATGGACCAGTTTCAAAGTAATTTAATCACAATCCAGAACAAAGCTCAAGATATGAACATAACTTGCAACTAACAAGGTAAAATTCACAATGTCTGTCTTCCTAACCAAAATTAGCAGGTATGCAAAAAAGCAGGAAAATAGGCTCACACTGAGGGAAAAGAAATCCATCAATTAAAACAGACTCATATCTGACACAGATGTTAGAATTAGTAGACAAGGTCATTAAAACCATTACTATAACTGTATTTCCTAAGTTGAAAACATACCTATAAAACAGATCCTTCATGTCCCTTGTTAGCTGTATTCATAGGTATTTTATTCTCTTTGTAGCAATTGTGAATGGGAGTTCATTCATGATTTTGGCTCTCTGCTTGTCTATAGTTGGCGTATAGGAATGCCTGTATAGGAATTTTTGAAAATTCATTTTGTATCCTGAGACTTTGCTGAAGTTTCTTATCAGCTTAAAAAGCTTTTGGGCTGAGATGATGGGGTTTTCTAAATATAGGATCATGTCATCTGCAAACAGAGACAGTTTAACTTCCCCTCTTCCTATTTGAATATGCTTTATTTCTTTCTCTTACCTGATTGCCCTGGCCAGAACTTACACCTATGTTGAATAGAAGTGGCAAGAAAGGGCATCCTTGCCTTGTGCCAGTTTTCAAGGGGAATGCTTCCAGCTTTTGTTCATTCAGTATGATATTGGCTGTGGGTTTGTCACAGATGGCTCTTATTATCTTGAGGTATGTTCCATCAATACCTAGTTTATTGAGAGTTTTTAACATGAATGGATGTTGAAATTTTTCAAAGGCCTTTTCTGCGTCTATTGAGATATGGTTTTTGTCTTTAGTTCTATTTAGGTGATGAATCATGTTTATTGATTTGCATATGTTGAACCAGCCTTGCATCCCAGGGATGAAACTGACTTGATCGTGGTGGATAAGCTTTTTGATATGCTGCTGGATTCAGTTTGCCACTATTTTATTGAGGATTTTTGCATCGATGTTC
Organism: Homo sapiens; assembly: GCF_000001405.40. Lineage (NCBI taxonomy): Eukaryota > Metazoa > Chordata > Mammalia > Primates > Hominidae > Homo > Homo sapiens. The sequence continues at coordinate 154,650,573 of NC_000004.12, read as the reverse complement.
ATCAGGAATATTGTCCCAAAGTTTTCTTTTTTTGTTGATCTCTGCCAGGTTTTGGTATCAGGATGATGCTGGTTTCATAAAATGAGTTAGGGAGGAGTCCCTCCTTTTCAATTTCTTGGAATAGTTTCAGAAGAAATGGTACCAGCTCCTCTTTGTACCTCTGGTAGAATTCAGCTGTAAATCCATCTGGTGCTGAGCTTTTTTTTGGTTGGTAGACTATTACTGCCTCAATTTCAGAACTTGTTATAGGTCTATTCAGGGATTCAACTTCTTCCTGGTTCAATCTTGGGAGGGTGCATGTATCCAGGAATTTATCCATTTCTTCTGGATTTTCTAGTTTATCTGCACAGAGGTGTTTATAGTATTCTCTGACGGTTGTCTAGTTTTCAGGGGTCAGTAGTGATATCCTATTTATCAATTTTTATTGTGTCTAGTTGATTCTTTTCCCTTTTCTTCTTTATTAGTCCAGCTAGTGGTTTACTTTATTTTATTTTTTTCAAAAAACCAGCTCCTGGAATCACTGATTTTTTTTTGAAGGGTTTTTCATGTCTCTATCTCCTTCAGTTCAGCTCTGATCTTGGTTATTTCTTGTCTCCTGCTGTCTTTGGGGTTTGTTTGCTCTTGGTTCTCTAGTTTTTTTAGTTATGATGTTAGAATATCAATTTAAGATCTTTCTAGTTTTTTGTTGTGGGCACTTAGTGCTATAAATTTCCCTCTTAACACTGCGTTAGCTGCCTCCCAGAGATTCCGGTATGTTGTCTCTTTGTTCTCATTGGTTTCAAAGAACTTTTGATTTCTGCCTTAATTTCATTATTTACCCAGGAGTCATTCAGGAGCAGATTGTTCAATTTCCATGTAGTTGTGTGGTTCTGAGTGGGTTTCTTAATCTTGAGTTCTAATTTGTACTGTGGTCTGAGAGACTGTTATGATTTCAGGTCTTTTGCATTTGCTAAGGAGTGTTTTGCTTCCAATTATGTGACTGAGTTTACGGTAAGTGCCATGTGACAATGAGAAGAATGTATATTCTGTTGTTTTGGGGTGGAGAGTTCTGTAGATGTCTATCAGGTCCACTTGATCCAGTTAATTTTCTGTCTCATTGATTTGTCTAATATTGACAATGGAGTGTTAAAGTCTCCGACTATTATTGTGTGAGAGTCTGAGTCTCTTTGTAGATCTCTAAGAACTTGCTTTATGAATCTGGGTGCTCCTGTATTGGGTGCATATATACATAGAATAGTTAGTACTTCTTGTTGAATTGAATCCTTTACTATCATATAATGCCCTTGTCTTTTTTATCTCTGTTGGTTTAAAGTCTGTTTTGTCAGAAACTAGGATTGCAACTCCTGCTTTTTTCTCTTTTCTATTTGCTTGGTAAATTTTCCTCCATCCCTTATTTTGAGCCTATGTGTGTCTTTGCACAAAGATTGGTCCTTTGAATACAGCACAATGATGAGTCTTGACTCCTTATCTAGATTGCTATTCTGTGTCTTTTAATTGGGGCATTTAGCCCATTTACATTTAAGGTTAATATTGTTATGTGTGAATTTGATCCTGTCATCATGATGCTAGCTGGTTACTTTGCAGACTTGTTAACGTAGTTGTTTCATAGTGTCATTGGTCTTTGTACTTCAGTGTGTTTTTGTAGTGGCTGGTAATGGTTTTTCCTTTCCAAATTTAGTGCTTCCTTCAGGAGCTCTTGCCAGGCAGGCCTGGTGGTGATAAATTCCCTCAGCATTTGTTTGTCTGAAAAGGATTTTATTTCTGCTTTGCGTATAAAGCTTAGTTTGGCCAGATATGAAATTCTGGATTGGAAATTCTTTCCTTTAAGAATGTTGAATATTGGCCCCCAACCTCTTCTGGCTTGTAGGGTTTCTGCTGAGAGTTCTGCTGTTAGTCGGATGGGTTCCCCTTTGTAGGTGACCTGGCCTTTCTCTCTGGCTGCCCTTAACATTTTTTCCTTCATTTCAACATTAGAGAATCTGATGATTATGTGTCTTGGGGTTACTGTTCTCATGGAGTATCTTACTGGGGTTCTCTGGATTTCCTGAATTTGAATATTGGCCTGTCTTGTTAGGTTGGGGAAGTTCTCCAAGATGATATCCTGAAGTATGTTTTCCAACTTGATTTCATTCTCCCTGCCAACTTGGTTTCATTCTCCCCATCTCCTTCACATACCCCAATCATAGTTTGGTCTTTTTACATAATTCCATAGTTCTCAGAGGTTTTGTTTGTTCCTTGTCATTCTTTTTACTCTAGTCTTGTCTGACTGTCTTATTTCAGCAAGATAGCCTTCAAGCTTTGAAATTCTTTCCTCTGCTTGGTCTATTCAGCTAGTGATACTTGTGGTTGCATTGTGAAGTCCTTGAGTTGTATTTTTCAGCTCCATTTATGTTCCTCTCCAAACTGGTTATTCTGGTTAACAGTTCCTGTAATGTTTTATCATTATTCTTCGCTTCTTTGCATTGGGTTAGAACATGCTCCTTTAGCTCAGCAAACTTCATTATTACCCACCTCCTGAAGCCTACTTCTGCCAATTCATCCATCTCAGCCTCCTCCCAGTTCTGTGCCCTTGCTGGAGAGGTGTCATGATCATTCGGAGAAGAAGAGGCACTCTGGCTTTTTGAGTTTTCAGAGTCTTTTCATTGATTCTTTCTCATCTTCATGAGTTTATCTAGCTTTGATCTTTGAGGCTGCTGACCTTTGGATGGGGTTTTTGTGGGTACTATTTTTGACCCTGTTGTTTTTGTTGCTTTCTGTTTGTTTTTAACAGTCAAGTCCCTCTTACATAGGGCTACTGCAGTTTGCTGGGGGTCCACTCCAGACCCTATTCACCTTGGTCCTTCTCACACATGGAGGTGTCACCCAGGAAGGCTGGAGAATAGCAAAGATGGTTGCTGCTCCTTCCTCTGGGAGCTCTGTCCCAGAAGGGCACCAACCTGATGCCAGCAGGAACGCTCCTGTATAAAGTGTCCGGTGACCCTGTTGGAGGGTCTCACCCAGTCGGAGGGTCTCACCCAGTCAGGAGGCATGGGATGAGGGACCAACTTAATGAAGCACTCTGGCTGCCCCTTGGCAGAGGGGGTGCACTATACTGGGGGGAATCCCACTTGTCCATATTGCCTGGATTCCTCAGAGCCAGCAGGAAGAAAGACTAAGTCTGCTGATCTGCAGAGATCACAGCCACCCCTCCCCATAGGCACTCCATCCCAGAAAGATCAGAGTTCTGTCAGGAAACCCCTGGCTAGAGTTGCTGAAATTCCCACAAGCAGGCCCTACCCGTTGAGCAGGGATGGGTTAGGGTCTAGCCTAAAGAGGAAATCTGGCCACAGTCTGCCACAACCGCTGTGCTATGTTATGGAGAATTCCTCCTGGGTCCAAACTGCCCAGTCTCCCCAATTTTCTTAGGCATCAATGATGATGGTTTCCCCTCCCCCTGAGAACTGGGTAGCCTTAAACAGTCTCTAGCTGAGCAGCCATAGAGAATCTGCACAGCTCTGTGCTTGGGATCCAAAGCCCTGGTGGCATGGGCTCATAAGGGGATCTCCTGACCTGTGGTTCACACAGATCATTGGAATAAGTATGGTTTCCAAGGTGGGGTAGCAGAATCACTCACCGCCTCCCTTGGCTGGGGGTGGGAGCTTCCTTGCCCCATGTGGCTACCAGGTGGACAATTGCTCTACCCTCCGTTTTCTCACTCTCTGTGGGTCATGCCAACCACCTAGTCAGTCCCAGTGAGAGAACCTGGATACCTCAGTTGCCAGTGCAGGATTCACTCACCTTTTTCTTTCTCCTTGGTGGGAGTCTCCAGCTGCAGCTGCTTCTGGTCAGCCATCTTGGTCCCTCCCTCTCCCCCATCTTTTAACAAAACAAACATATGAACCTGAAATTTCAGTTAGACACTAGGTCAGAAAGTAAACCTAACTCTGTAAATTAGTTATTTCATCCTCATATGTCTATAAATTTGCACACATACATACACACTATGTTCAGTAATGTGAGTTCAGTTTTCAAAGAAGCAAATCACTTGTCAGGCTCTGTGGTTATAAAAACATATGTAATACTTGAGCATTATAAAAACCCTGCCTTGTGGTTATATTTTAATGTAATCTAATTTTTTAAATGTCAAATGAAACCTACTTTTCCAGTTATAACTCACTAAAAATAGATCAGAGAAGAAACTGCTCATTAACATGTCACAAATAAATAGAAATGTACTAGTGCCACCCTGAAAAACTTCACACCTGATAAATTAACCAAAAATTCAGTTTTTTAATTTGTAAATATTTTTCTGGATCCCTTATTATATAGGGACTTCTCTGCAAGAAAATTTGATGTCTTTTATGTTTAGGAGTCCCAAAAGTTGTGCATTTCACGTACTCTGTAAATGTTTAGTGAATGTGCTTATGATGCATTAATACTTAAATGCAAAGCTATCTTACAGAAATCATCAAGAATAGACACAAAAGTATAGCTGGATGTTTATTCACTGTAGCTTATTTAAAATAGCCAAAAAAAAAATGGAACCAACATATGTATCCAATAATAAGTCAGTTAGATCATTTGTACCATATACCGGTATAATATACTGTCATTAAATATGGTATTGTGAAAATTATTTAATGATATTTTTGAAAATACATTATTAAATAAAAATCAGATTATTACAAAATATGTATAGTATAATCTCATTCTTGTTTGAAATATATATGTTAAACTCCATTTTTATAATCTGTATTGTTGTGGTCTCCACAAGAAGACATGATAGACTCCCTTCACCCCTAAACACCTGAATTGGAGTCACATATAGAGACTGATGATAATGCTACATACACACCAAGAGGATATGCAGACATTTACTACTCGCATAATGAGGCTTTCTGGGGAGAGCGAGAAAGGCTCCCAAACAGATTCACAAATGATTTGAGAGAGTAGAAGAGAAGATCAGCTTAGACTTTATTGCAATGAAGAGATAAAGCTGGGGTGAAGGCTCCCACATGTTGGCCAAGGTTTGTGTGTTGTGTCCTTCTCATTGGAGCCAGAGGAAGAAGCAACAGGTCTTTTTTACTTGCTTGCCCAAATGTAGGGGAGCAGGGGAAGGGGGCGTGGTGGGGCTTGAAAGCTGCCAGCAGTCAAACATCAAAAACGGAGTCTGACTTTTTATTATACATATATAATAATGGATTATATATGAAATATATGTAAATAAGTCTAAATATAGATGGCTGAAAAGATACATACCAAAATATTGACTGTAGCTATGTGTAGTTGGATCATTATTGCATTTATTTTTTCTTTATTAACCAAATTTTTAAATGAACTTTTTGTTTTATAAAATAAAACAAACCATGAAAATTAGATTAAAACTCAGAAATTGAGAAAACAAGCCTTACCTGTTTTTATCAAAAACACTTAAAATCTTAAGAAAATAAAGATATCTAGTGCTGGTAAAGGAATGGTTAAACAAACAAAATAATACTTCTAGTGAGTAAGTATAAATTGGTACAAGCCTTCTGCAAAGTAATTTGGTAATACATTATAAGGACCTCAGAAATGTTAAATGTCCATAACCTTTAACACATTAATTTGATTTCCAGAACCAACCTAAGAAAATCATTGTATACACTGATAAACAAATATATTCACTTGTTCAACAAAGTTTCTTGAGAGCTTAGCATGTGCTCAGGCCGTGAGGATACAGCAGTGAACAACAGACAGCTCCTGTCTGCATGCAGCTTTTGGTACAGAAGGGCCATAGAGATACAACATTGAGTGTGCACTGGTTACATGCATGGGTCTAAACCCTGGTAGACCTGGGTTACCAGACTCCTCTATCTCTTAGGGCTTCCACACATGCTCGTATAAATGGTATGGTTCACAAACAACATTTGCGGCAGCCCTCCATGGATTCACTTCAGGATTATATGTGGTGCTTAATGGTGTTCAACACAGAAACCATTCCAAACGTTCTAAAGTCAGTTAATTCTCACCACAGCAGAAGTCATTTTCCTATGTCTTATAATTGTTATAAACATAATAATTAATGATAACATATTACTTAATAGACCAAACAGTTTGCTTAACTTTTTCCTTATTGTTAGACATTTTAACATAAGCAAGAAATGAATAATGAAACTCTTTACTTAAAAAAATGTATGCAGGTTTGTCTCATTTTAAACATGCTGCAAATAAAAATTCAGATGTATACAAATAACAAAGGGCAAATGACAAATGAATTTTCTTTAAAGTAGCTGCTCTTTTCCATACTATTTTATTGTAAAAATAGTTTCTTGTTATAAAAGTAGTACTTTGTCATAAAGAAAATGTGAAAATTTTAAAAAGGAGAGAAGGCCAGGCGCAGTGGGTCACACTTGTAATCCCAGCACCTTGGGTGGCCGAGGCAGGTGGATCATCTGAGTCAGAAGTTTGAGACCAGCCTGGCCAACATGGTGAAACGGTTTCTCTGCTAAAAGTACACAAAATTAGCTGGGTGTGGTGGCACATGCCTGTAATCCCAGCTACTTGGGAGGCAGGGGCAGGAGAATCTCTTGAACCCAGGAGGTGGAAGTTGCAGTGAGCCAAGATCATGCCACTGCACTCCAGCCTGGGTGACAGAATGAGACTCTGTCTCAAAAATAAAAATAAATAAATAAATAAATAAATAAGGAGAGAAGAAGAAATTACTCATAGCAGCCGGTATAAATTACTCATACCATCTTTTGTAAATTCTTTCCTGATTCTTCCCTATGCGTAGGATTTTGACATCTTTATGTTTTCAGCATATATTAAATCAGACTACTGGTATACTTTTATCATCATGCACTCATTATTTACCTGAAATTAAATAATATGCCTTTTGTATGTCTTACAACTGTTATAAACACAATAATTAATGATGACATATTACTCAATAGAGCAAAGAGTTTGCTTAGTCATTTCCTAACTGTTAGAGATTTTAAAGTGTGTATGGGTTTATGTCTCTTTAATACTACTTTATTAAATGTAATGAGACTGGCATGGTGTACAAGACTGAGACCTACTTTTCTCTAACCTTTTATATTCCCTCTATTATGAAATCTTGCCAGTTCTACCTCCTAAAAATTTCTTCAATCAATACACTACTCACAGTTCTTTCTCATGCCCAAGCCACTAGCTCTCAATTGCCTTTCATCAGTAAGCTCCTTATTTCCATCTCTTGTCTCTAAACCACCTTGTAGCCAGAACGATATATTTAGAGCTCACATCTGATCATATAACTTATCTGCTTTTACTTTTCTTTAGTTGTTTTTTATTTGTGTTCAAAGTAAAGTACAAAATCAGAACCATGACCTTCAAAGTCCTCTCCCCTCTTGCTCCCACCTGTCTCTCCAGGCACATCACCCTCCTTTCTCTGCATGTCACCATTCTGGACTTCTCAGTTCCTGCATCCCTCCAGCATATCCCTCCAGGGCTGAAAATGTGCAGTGTAGTCTTTTCTACTTGAAACCTTTTATTTTTTTCCAGAGCAAATTATATTCACCCTAAAGATCTCAATTTCAACATCACTTCTGCTGAAAGACCATCCTCATCCCCTTCAGAACATGTTAGGACCCCCAGTTATAAATTTTCTAAGCTCCCTGAACGTTTCCTTTTCATGCAGGAGAGGGAAGCCCCAACACTGGGGCTTCGCCCAGGAAAGAATTCAAGGGCAAGCCGGTGGTGTTAGACAGCAATCTTTTATTGAACAGTTGCAGAGCAGGGCTAACACATAGACAGTGTGCCCAGAGTCAGCAATGTACGGGCTCTTGTCAGCTGTATTTATATTCATGTAAATCCAATGTCAATTACATGCAAATTAAGGAGTGGGTCAATATAAATTGAGGAATGGGTAAATTAGAACTTTCTAGAAAGGGGCGGTAACTTCTGAGTCATTGCCATAGAAATGAGTGGTCACTTTCCAGTCACTGTCATGACACTGGTGGGAGTATCTTATGCCAATAAGCAATGAGGGCAGCTAGGGATGGCTTTTGTTGCCATCTTCTGGCTTCTGCTAGTTTTTCACTTTATCCTGTCTGGATCAGATCCTGTTTTGGTCAGCAGGATTGTGACCAGAAAACAAGTCCTGCCAGTCTCCTACCTCACTTTCATAACATTCATCAATTCTCTAGTAACAATAAGCATGTTGTTAGGGCCTTAGAAACACAATGAAAAGTGAAGCCTGGTGGTTTAAAGTGTAGGCTCTGGACCCTAGGCAACCCACCTGACTTTTCTATCCCCAAGTTTCTTCATCTTTCTTTTCTTTTTTTTTTAGCTCTCTACAAAAGGATGGAAATTGCTCCATCTTTAAAGTAGGACAATGACAGTTATCTGTTTCATAGGGTTGTTATAAACACATAGATATAACCTCTTCTTGTTCTTGCAAAGTGATTTACCATATTTGGAAGGTACCAGTAGTCTATGTCTAGTAAAGAATGATGCTCCCTAACAAGCCAAAGTTAAGAATAAACTATCAATATATTTCCTGAAAAGACATGAGGTTTGTAATCTTCTCTCTTATAATCATGAGGCATGTGTCCAGGGATTCCTGAAGCAGGCATGTTTTCCCAGGCTAAGTGCCAAAGCACTAGAGAGGGCCTTTTTATAAAGGGTGATCTCTGTATCACCTCAAAAAGGAGGGTGCATGGCTAGAGTTATGGAAAACAGGTAAAAGCCTGTGAAAATTTCTAAGCCACCATAGCATCAGCTGATGCTGCTTGGGTACAGCCATTCATAAAAACTGCATATCACCTTATCAAGCCATTATAGCTGCCGAGGACATTTTCTGCTACTCCACATTGACTGATTGCTGTGGATTGCCTGTCCACAGCAATCAAAGTCAAAAAGCAAGTTCCCTACCAAAAATTAAAGCTGAAACTTCTCCATCTTTAAATCACCAATGTGGAATTTTAAAGAGTGTTATTATTTTGACAAGTATATTTTATGTTGTCTTCAGTTACTATCACAACAGGAAATAGAATTTCGGCTATTAAATTCTACATTCCCAGGCAGGTTCCTACTTCTCCTCTCTGTTCAAGGTGTTTCTGTTTCCACATTTGCTTTTTATGAGCAAATTAAAATCTCTGAGGGGTATTTTCCTTTCCATAAGGCAAAAACGGGTCCATGTTGTAATTCCATTGGATAAGATTTAGCATTTTTGTCATCACATTGTGATCATTAAAGCAGAAGTCTGCCACATGCTAGCAAACACCATATTTAAAATAAACCAACAAGCAGTTATGGCAGTGAAATCACTCATCCAGTTACTACGTCGGTAGTGTAAAAACAAGAACCTCTTTTTCGAAGAAAGAGAAAGATAAACTCAAAATACACTATCTATACAGCAACAGAACAACTCTACAATGTTATCTCCAGAACAATTTTCACAAATCATAAATCTAAACCTTCTGCATAGACAGCACATTTAGCAGGCCCCTGTCAGGGAGGACAATGGCTTTAGAAAGATAAATAACTAGCAGAACTCTTGTGTCTACGTGCAAACAAATTAGTGTTTTGTGCACCTGACAGCTCATACCAATATTGCAAATATCCATGACCAGCAAGAACTGTGTTTGGATTTCACAGGTGGGATTTTCCACCTCTTGCATTTCACTGGGAGCTAAAGACGGTGCTAAAGAAACAGCTCCAAGGAAAAGTATGACACTTGCCTTCAACATTTAGCTTTTCAAACTGAAGTGTTAATAAAAGTATTTATTAACTTCATTTCCCTTTCTGTTGTGACACGTAGAATGTATCACTTGCAGCAAAATCCATCAGTTAGAACCAAATGATGGTAAGATGAGAAAGGTGGATAACAGATTGTGCTAAATAACTTTATGATTTATAAGAAGCACAATTTCAGCTTAACCTTCTGTGTGAATTAGAAATGTCCAGAGTTATTTTAAACATTGCTTTCAGTGAAACAATACATCTTGAATACCATCCACATAGGTGGTTTATAGACATAAATCATTAACCAGTAAAGGCAGCTGACACACCAGATTTTATAAAGTAACAAGAGACCTGAAAGGGATTTCTAGAGCTCAATCCTAAGATTTATCTATTAATTACACCAAATTAAATGATCATAATTGTATATTACATGGCAGGATGGCTTCTTGCTTAGAAGCATATAATATAAATGTCAATAACATCCCCCATGACATTATCTACAGTGATAACTGTTGTATTCAAATCCACACCGGCCTTCCTGGCCATCTTATGAAGGGCAGCAGCATACTTGGGGGCTCAGTACCCCTCTACTGCTAAGAGCTTACATGCCTGCCAGAAGAGAACCACCAAAGCAATCACTCTGATGGGAGCTCAGTCACCAGTTTACATTCAATAAACTGCTTTTTCTTCCCAATTTTTTTTCCTTTTGGAGGGAAAACACTAAAGGCAATGACATCCACATGTGTTTAAGTGGCTACAGCCACTTCTGGTGTTTATGATCATTAGATGCATGGCTAGTAAATGATATAAATAGTGATATAAAGGTTGTGTCCTAATGAAAATGTCTGTGGACTACTAAAGAAATGATTAACTTTAATTTTAAAAATTGCCTGGATTTTCTAAATAATCCCCTGGGGATGACTGATACAGTCAATTACATTTCAGAAAATCTAATCCTTAGAGTGGTCTCTGAGAGTGATTTGGGAGACAGGCCATATGGAATACAATAGAGAAACGAAAGTCAGAGATTAAAAATTCCTGATATTGTATACTAAGCAGGACTTTAATGATCACCTAATCCAGTAGTCCTTAACTTTTTAGGATGCATTATCACTTTGGGGGATCTGATCAAAACTATAGACCTTCTCCCTAGAGGGAAAACCCCCTTTTTTTTTAGCTTATAATTTCAGACATCTCAGAATCTCTGAAGCTCATCCTTGGACATCAATTTAAGAAACTTCATTTATAGATGAAGCAATTAAGGAGAGGAGAGACGAGTGATTCAACCAGGGTCATGCAGCTTGTTAGTGACAGAGGCAAGATGGAAACCCTGCTTTTCCTGCTCCTTGTCTGCTGTCATCTGCTGCATCAAGCTCTATATGGACTTAAATGTTCTACTAAACCACTTCTATCAACTGGCCAAAGAATGGTTACTAAGTGTCTATAATTAGAATTTATACCCACTAGTACTCTTTCTAATCAAATACAAAATCTTTTTCTCTGTGTGCATTCTCCTAAACCTATTCAGGTCCATGTGAACTCACTCTATCCTCCTAGCCTCCTCCCCCAGCACCACTACTTTCTTAAAACTCCCTCCTTCCAGGGTTCCTGTGATCATCCAGATTCTTCCCACTTCTTCCAGGGTTCACCTCCCTCCCCTCATGTGTGTGTGTGTTTTTAAGAGACAAAGTCTTGCTCTGTTACCCAGGCTGGAGTGCAGTGATGCAATCCTAGCTCAATGAAGCCTCAAACTCCTGGACTCAAGCGATCCTCCCGCCTCAGCCTCTCTAGCAGCTGGGACTATAGGCATGCACCATGGTTCCAGCTAAGTTTTGCATTTTTGGTAGAGAAGGTGTCTTGCTATGTTGCCCAGGCTAGTCTTGAACTCCTAGGCTCAAGCAATCAGCCTGCCTCCAACCCGCAAAGTGTTGGGATTACAGGCACGAGCCACCGCACCTGGTATCCTCTCCCATTTGTTATCTCCTTAGCTGCTACCATTTCTCCTCTCTCCAGGGGTTCCCTAAAGCTCAATCCTACTCTCCTTTATATCCATTCTCAACCTTCTTACTGTTACTTCTATTGAATAGAACTCCTGTGAAAATTGTCAGTACCCAAAACGGAGTCACTTATGTCAAACCCTAACAAAATGCAGTGGGAGGCCATGAAGGAAGGGCCCTCACACATGTGTGCCTGCACCAGGAACTGCCAGAAATGACTTCCTCAACTGGAAATTTCCAGTTAAGCCACTTCTATGAAAACTCTCTCCTACCAACAGCCAGTACCACCAATGAGCAAATGCCACTGCATGTAAAAAGACCTGTAGCCAGTGGTCTTTATTTCAAAACAGGTACATGGATATCTTTTTGCCTTTAAAAGCTTCCTTTTTTTCCCAACTCCCTCGGATACCCTTATGGTCCTCCATAGCAGGCATGTATTATGTATTATGTTGATTGCAGTTCCTTGCTATTCCCTAATAAGCTTGAGAATTAATCCCTGTTGCTCAATTTAGGTTGACACCATTCTCACCCTGTTTACAGAAATACTTCCCAATAATAGTTTCAACAGGTACCTTTATTGAATATAATTTCCTCCCCCTAACCTGTTCCTATTTCCACCCTCTCATCTATGAGGCACTGGTGACTTGAACACTGCTTGTGCCCTGTGATGTCCAGCTCTATATTTGGCACATACATACATAGCAAGAGCAGTATAAATGTGGATTAACTGACATGTGAGGGTTTCCTCACATCTCAGTGAAGATAGTATACAAATAGAAAAAAAAAAGTGAAAGATAGTATACAAATAGAAAATTTAGCAACAATTCTGGTGATTTTATAAGAAGTTTTGCAAATTTGACAAAATTTACTTTTTCAAATGAAGCTTTGCTTTCTTTTTTTGCAAGATAGTATAACTAGTTTTATTCTTTTTTCTGGGCAATTGACTTCTTAAAAGAAGATATACCTCCCCCTCCTGGATGATAACGGTATTTTAAAGACAGCCCTTCCAACTCTATGGTGCATTCTGAAATGTGTCATTAATAAAACTAAGTCGTACATAGCAACAACATCCAGACTGTTAATTATTCAAAGCTCCTCATGTAGATCTAAAACAACAGCACGTTCTAAGGAATTGATCCTTCTTAAGCAGAAGTACATTTTCAGTACTTCAAAAGGAGATATTCAGTAACACCATATGATATTCAGTACTCAATTACAAAAGACTTTCTTCATTAGCTCAATAAATCAAACCACTGTGATAATGAGGCCAGAGTCCTGGATTTGGTTCTAGTTTGGGAAGCTGCTTTGATTGGTTTCATAGCCTCAAGTTTCACACTAACTCCCGGGAGTCATCATAAAATGATTCGTCCTGAGTCACAGGATATCCAGAGTGCCAGAGAGCAAACAGTTCAGTTCTAACTTTCTCCAACTGGAAATCATCCCCCAAAATGCTGGGGCATTAAAAGTGGCTTTGTATTTCTAAAAATTCTTTCACATAATGGCAACCGCCTTCTTTCCTCAGAACCACAAGGCAACTAACAAAGCCCTTTTTTTTGAGACGGAGTCTCGCTGTGTCACCCAGGCTGGAGTGCAGTGGCGCGATCTTGGCTCACTGCAAGCTCCGCCTCCCGGGTTCCCGCCATTCTCCTGCCTCAGCCTCCCAAGTAGCTGGGACTAGAGGCCCCCGCCACCATGCCCAGCTAATTTTTTTTTTTTTTTTTTTGTATTTTTAGTAGAGACGGGGTTTCATCGTGGTAGCCAGGATGGTCTCGATCTCCTGACCTCATGATCCGCCCGCCTCAGCCTCCCAAAGTGCTGGGATTACAGGCGTGAGCCACCGCACCTGGCCAATAAAGCCCTTTTTTAAAAAAAAATTTTACTTTAAGCTCCAGGATCCATGTGCAGAACATGCAGGTTTGTCACATAGGTATACCTGTGCCATGGTGGTTTGCTGCACCTATTGACACGACCTCTAAGTTCCCTCTCCTTTTCCCCTACCCCACAACAGGCCCTGGTGTGTGTTGTTCCCCTCCGTGTCCATGTGTTCTCATTGTTCAACTCCCACCTATGAGCGAGAACATGCAGTGTTTGGTTTTCTGTTCCTGTGTTAGTTTGCTGAGGATGATGCCTTCGAGCTTCATCCATGTCCCCACAAAGGACATGAACTCATTCTTTTTTATGGCTGCATAGTATTCCATGGTATATACATACCACGTTTTCTTTATCCAGTCTATTATTGATGGGCATTTGGGTTGGTTCCATGACTTTGCCATTGTAAACAGTGCTGCAATAAACATATGTGTGCATGTGTCTATTAAAGGCCTTTTAAAGGTTCATCAAGTTATTTACTTTTTGTGACTATGTAAGTCAAACAGTTTTACTAAGTGTGTGTGTGTGTGTGTGTGTGTGTGTGTGTGAGATTCTATCTTAAAATCTGACATTCTACTGAATACAAAAAATTAAGATAATCCATATGAAAAATAGTTTTCAAATTACCTTTTTATTTGGTCTTTTATATCTGGAGCCATGGCAGTCTGTATAAAATCAGGAGCATAGCCCAGGTCCTAAAATATAAAAAGAAATGTATTATTCACTATAAAATATATTTGGCTATCAAAGGCAATAATGCAGACTAGTCAACCTTTTAATGTTTCCAAGGCCATAATGAACATTAAGAAATTGTAATATTTATGTTGTTTGATATGAACTAATCCTATGTGAATTTGAAATATAATCAATTGATGGAAAGATCTGGTATTATGTTCAAGATGCACTAAACTTTCATTACCACCAAAGTGAAAAAATTGGGCTTTAAAGGAACTAAACAAAGTAACCACTTCTCTTTTGTGATCTATTAGCAGCTTTTTTGTTCACTTGTTTCTGAGGCAGGGTCTCGCTGTGTCACCCAGGAGGGAGTGCAGTGGCACAAGCACAGCTCATTGCAGCCCCAACCTCCCAGGCTCAAGCGATCCTCCCACCTCATTTTTTAAAAAATTGTTTTGTAGAGACAGGGTCTCACTATGTTGCCCAGACTGCTCTTGAACTCCTGGGTTCAAGTGATCCTCCCACCTCAGCTTCCAAAAGTGCTGAGATTACAGGCATGAGCCACTGCACCCAACTAGCCGCAGTTTTAACTCCAAAGTTTCACTAAAACCTAAAGTTACCAACATTTTACATGCCCTGAACATTCATTACCAAAAGTCTACACTATTCCTTAGAGAAACCAGTGATTTAATATTTAGTTAATAGATTATAGAAACAGATACAGAAAACCAAAAGGGTAGATTGGAGTAAGAGTTACTGTAGGTGATGTAGCTATTCAAAAGTACCTCCTTTGTGAACAAACTGCCCTTTAAAGCACAGACTAGATAATTAATCTAGGTATGTTATGATGAGGACTTTTTAAATTAATTTCACCAAATCAAAGCAGCTTCTTACATAAACTAAAAATCACAAAGTTGATGCTATAGCTATAATAATACTTACATATTCTCTAACAAGCTAAATAATTTGAATGGTTCTCTTGTCTAAATGGAATTTCTGCTGGGATATTCCATGCCTCAGGCCAATCTCTAGGCCTTAAATATTAAAATAAGAAAATTTAATCCATCTGTAGCAACTGAAATATTTCAAAATTAAGACTAAGACATTTATCAGGTACAATATATGACAGCATAAGCAGTTCTCCATGGTAATAAGGTTTTCCATAAATAAAATTTTAATGGCTATGTAAGATTTTATTGCCTGACTCTCTCCTCATTTATTTAACCATTTCCTTATTGTTAAGCATTTAGGTCTTTCCTTTTGTGTGTGTGTGTTATAAATAAGGCTACCGTATCCATCTCTGTGAACAAAAGTTCTATAATTAGCTATATTTCCTTAAGATATTCTGACATAAAGATGGTAAATAACCAAACTACTTACCTTTTTTCTAACAACAATAGCACCTAACATTTTTAAAGTTTTACAATAAATCACTTACATAAACACCTCATTGTATAATTAGCCTTTAAGTTATTGTCTTCAAGGTCTAGCCTTAGAGGTAAGGCTAGGGGGCTATTAAGGTGACTACAATAGTTAACTTATAGGCGATTTTACTTTTGTAGCAGTTAGCAGGAACATAGTTTATCTCTGAGAGATAATAAAAAATCAAATAGGCTGGCCAAGGCAGGCAGATTTCTTGAGCCCAGGAGTTAGAAACCAGCCTGGGGAAATATAGGAAGAATCTGTCTCTATAAAAAAAAAAAAAAAAAAAAAAAAAAAAAAAAATATATATATATATATATATATATATATATATATATATATATATATATATATATATATATGCCAGGTGTGGTAGTGCACTTGTAGTCCCAGCTACTCAGGTGGCTGAGGTGGGAGGATCACCTGGGAGGCAGAGGCTGCAGTGAGCTGAGATAGCACCAGTGCACTCCAGCTTGAGTGACAGAGCAAGATTCTGTCTCAAAAAAAGAAAAGAAAAGAATCTAGCTTCTTTCCATACAGTAGCTGTCTTAGCCGTTTTCACACTGCTGTAAAGATGCTATGTGAGATTGGGTAATTTATAACCAAAGGAGGTTTAACTGACTCCCAGTTCCACATGGCTGGAGAGGCCTCAAGAAACTTACAATCATGGTGGAAGGCAAAGAGGAAGCAAGACATGTCTTACATGGTGGGAGGAGAGAGACAGAAGGAGAGAAGGGGGAAACACCAGACACCTATCAAACAACCAGATCTCGTGAGAACTCCCTCACTATCAAGAGAACAGTATGGGAGAAATCACCCAGGTGATCCAATCACCTCCCACCAGGTCCCTTCCTGGACACACGTGGGGATTATAATTCAAGATGCCATTTGGTTGGGGACACAAAGCCAAACCACATCAGAAGCTGAGGAACTGGAAGAAAAACACAAAGTATATTTTACTTTTTAAAATTTAAATTTAACAATGAATTAATCAAAGTTGAAAAAATGTATGAGTAAAATATTATTTTACAGTACATTATCCAAATATAGAAGTTGTAGATATATTTTTATTCATTTGGGGTATTTCCTGCCAACCCTCTCTATCTCAATGAGTTGTCACTGTACTTTACATTTCAACCATTGGCATATTAGAGTGGTAATCCATATACTTAATTATGCTGACTAAAAGTAAATTATTATATGGTAACAGACAAGTAAGGAAAATATAGCAGTGGTAGCAGATTTCCCAATTCCCAGTGATCTCCAGGAATTATTTCCTTCCAATGGCAAAGGTCTCATTTTAAAACAAATTATATATTTCCTTTATCCAATGTACAATTGTCTTTGCTATTCCAAGCTCATAATTAAGGCAAAAATTGATCCTGCTTATTGACAAATGATGTAAACATGAGGGGTCAGTAGCATCCTCAAAGGAAAGATTTGCTGTTACCAAGCCCCTAGTTTTCCATAATCCTAAAATAACTGGTTTTCTTCAAGTTACTTCCTTATTTAAAAATGTTATGCAAAGGCAGTGCCAAGAGTACAAAAAAAGAGCTATAAAAGCCTAAAGAAAAAGTACCATCACAAGACAGCGTTTTCTTCTAAAACAGTATTTTTAAAGGTAGGAGCTTTGTCTTGATGTGTGTGTGTCCCTAGTCTCTTTGACTGTACCTGATGAGCACTTAGCAAATGTTGGCTGAATAATGGCTGAATGAATAGGAAAGCACATTTTAAAACAGCTCTTCACCTTAAAGTTTCTTCATTTCATATCTCTCACTTTTTGTAAGCTCTCATGGCATACTCCAGGATTCCTTGTCTCTAATTTCTTATTAACTACCATAGAATCTTTTATTTTGAAATTCAGTTGGAATTCCTAAAACCTACCATAAAGATTTTAGGTAAAGATCTACCAAAGATGGAAATATTTCCCACTAGGTCAGAGGCGTTGGCATAGCAGTCTTATGGAAATACATAAAATAAATGCAGCATTAAAAGTATTTTTTAATTATTGAAATATACATTTACACATTTTTTTCTGTATAATGTAACTGCAATACCCTATAAGCTGGATGGCTTTTACAATCATAAAAGAGTAAACTCAGACATTATGTAATATGCGTATGGAAAACCATTAAGATATAAGAAGGGAAATACTGAAAGATAAATGGTCCCATAATTAATTATACATTATTTATCATGGATAATAATGATAACTTAAACGCAGCTCGCCTGTTTTTAGAGCACTTGAGCTCAGAAAAATCAACAGCAACTATTTCAAAATGAGATGCAATACCCTCCAGTGAAACTCTGACAATCTCCAATTAAGCAATTCTACAAACTGCACACAAAACAGTAACTTTTCATCAAAGGTTTCAGCGAAGGAAGAAAAATCTCACTTTGGGATTTGACATTGAGATGTTTAGTAACAGGGATACAAATGCAAAATTCAAACAGGGCACAACAAGCAGTTGTGTTAATGATCGTGGGAATATTGTGGAAAGGAAGAAAAGAAAGACAAGAACAAATGGATGCCACAAAAATCAGACAAAGCTGGCTTTGTGAATGATGGATAATTCAAATGACTGCTATAGGTTCCAGAGACAATGTAAAATCCGAGACGAAGATGTAAACTGCACTGCAAATTAGTGTCATGTATTTTTAAATGTTTCCATGTTCAGATTCTTAAATCATATCTGCCAGTGTCTCAATAGTCCAGAAGCAAATGGAGTGGTCCATGAAATTTGCTTTCTTCAGGAAAGGCATTTGAATAAATTGAAGACACAGTGGAAAACTCAAAAAGCAGTCAAATGGGCTGTCAGTCTTCCTTCCTTCCCTTCAGTGTACAAGAATCGGCAAGCAGTCCAAAGCCAAGCCATTAAGGTTCAAGGATACAGCAGCAGCAGAGGTCTAGCTAGACAACCCTCTCCCAAGGGCTGCACTATGCCCTCCCTAAAGGAAGTCATTCTCTACAAGGGATGGAGCCCTGGGGAGCTCAGCTGGACTCTGTCTCACTCCAACTGTGGAGTTGAAGGTTACTAAAGAATTCAATGAACGAATGTGCTTATGTGCTGTGTTCATCAGAGTTTTAAAAAAGTAAATACAGATGAGAAGATAACAGAAGTAATCATCTTAAAGTATTTCTCTATGGTTTATATTTATACCAGCCACGGATTTTCAAAAGGTAAAAAATGTGTTAATTTTGGTATAAATCTGGAAATAAAAATACACCAAGAACAGTATCCTGGGTTCAGGAAATAGGTCGTATTCTGGTTTGTACTCCCAAGATCTAGCACAGTGCTCAAGAAATATTTATTGCCAAGTAAATGTGAGGCCAAAACAATGTCTACGTATTTCACATTATGTAGTTGTATCAGAATTCCTGATGAATAAATGTGAGGCAATGAATATTCCTAGAGAATAAAACCATGTACAGTTGATCAATACTGTGCCAGGCAAGGATGAATAAATCCTGGTCCCTGTTCTGAGAGTGCTTACAAGGCTATTTTACTTGATAGGGAAATGAAGGCATTTACTGGCCACAGCCAACTTCTTCATTGAAGAATTTCTTTTAACTTGAAGTGCACTGTCTCACGGTGAAGCAAGCTGTTCTGCTGTCCAGATCTAGAACAACTCTACCCTGGTTGAGCCCTCATATGTGGGGATCATCTTCTGGTGACCTTGCAGCATTTTCTCCTTAACCTCCACATCTGGAAGAAGCACAACCTTATTTGGGGAGATGGGGCTGCTGGGGAGGCAGCAGGTGAGAAGGGTTTGGGGGGCAGGTGGACACAGATAGTTCAGCAATGTATCTGAGTTCTTTAAGTCCTGTTCTGAGCCCGTGTGGTCATTGGGGAAGGGACTGCAAACCAGGGAAAGGGTACATCACAACCAAGACAAGATGACTTGGGTTCTGAAGCTGTCCGCATTTACCTAAGAGTCCTGTAGTCTGTGATTCTTAAACTTCAACAAACAAGAATACAGAACTGAACCTGGATTTCAGGGACCCTCAACTCACAACTCTTTGTGTCCTAAGGCTTCAAATCTAACTCATAGTCTAAAGAATATGGCCTATACCTTGAAGTTTTTGTGGAAAAACTCAAGATGAAAAGGGGAATCAGCATAGCATCTGTCTGCCTTCCTGCTGTCTTCAAACTGTGGCAGTTAAAAGCTCTTACAGACCTATATACTAGCTGACCTCCTTCCTGTCCTCAAAGAGCCTGAATTGTATACCCCTTGTAAAGCTAGGCTAGACTATAGCAAGAGACTATGAGTACCCTGAAAATAAGGACATACTATATTTCCCTTTGAATCCTCAAAACCTAGCAATGTGTGCTGAACTAAAATAAACCAGTCAGTACTCATCTAGCAGGACCATGCTGAGGAAGTGCTGACTGGCAGCTTGTCACCAGCTAATTACTTGGGTTTCATGTGAGTATGTTAAGTGGCTGAATTTGTGCACATGTTTTTTTGACAGATTGAGATAATAAGATAAGATACAATAAGATAATGTATTGCCTTCTCAGGCACAGCAGAACTACAGGTTATTGGGAAAATTATGCAGAAATAATAGGAAGTCAGACATTCAATTCCATTAGAATGTGTAAATATAGGTATAGATCCCAGCCATTATTCATTTTCTAATTTTCAGTATGCTACAAGCACTGAAACCATTCACCCTGAAATGCTTTGCACAGTACAATTCACACAACTGTCCCCAGTAATATTAGCTCTATATGTATAAATGTGGCTTTAGAGCTTACAAAATAGATTCACACATATATTCTCAAAACTGCTCATTTTCTAGCCTCCTCATAGCTGAGTCCTTTATGAGCATTTTTGTTACACCTTATGCCTAAAATAAACCTTCAAGATATTATATTATACCCATCACACAAGTGTGGAAAATGGACCTTCTGAGAAGTTCACATTACCAGTGAGTGTGCAACCATGATTGGAAACCAGGTTTCACTAATTGTAAAGCCAAGGTTTTTTCCAGTATACAAACTGGCCTCACAATGTGATCTTCACTTTAGCCCTATGGTATAAATATCATGAATATAATTTATTCAGTAAAGATACATTGGTAATCTTGCATACCAATCTCTGTTCTAGGCACTGGAGACAATGCAGTGATCAAAATGGACACAATCTCTGCCCTCTTTGGAGTTCACTTTCTGGAGTATAGGTAGGAAAAGAAACAACAAAATATTTGTCAGCTGTCAAGTACTGTGGAGAAAACTAAAGCCAGGTAAGGGGTTAGGAAGTACCAAGAAGGCTGGGCACAGTGTCTCCCACACCTGTAATTCCAATAGTTTCAGAGGCCAAGTGAGAGGATCACTTGAGCCCAGGAGGTTGAGACCAGCCTGAGCAACAGAGCAAGACAAAATCTCTACCCAGAAAAAAAAGGAAAGAAAAGAAAAAAAATCTTAACATTAGCCAAATGTGGTGGCACACACCTGTAGTCCCAGCTACTTGGGAGACTGAGGCAGGAGGATTGCTTTAGACAGGAGTTTGAGGCTGCCTTGAACTATGTTCATGCTATTGCACTCCAGCCTGGGTGACAAAGCAAGACCCTGTCTCAGTTAAAAGAATAATACCAAGAGGAATCCCATAGAATTGTGGCTACTGGATGTAGAGTGGTCAGGGGACAGCGTCTTTGATATGATAATATTTGAATGAGTAGAGACCTGAAGGAAGTGAAGTGCTTGCCATGCACTGTCTGGGGAAAGAGTGTTCCACACCGAGGGGCAAGTATGTGCAAAGTTCCCAAGACAGGGATGTGCTTGGCATATTGTAGTCATAACTGGGAAACCAACGTGCCTGCAGTGTTGGTGAGCAAAAGGGAGAGTAGAAATAGATAAGACCAGAAAAGAAGAGGAAACTAAATCAGTTTTGTAGATCTCTAAATGAGATAAACCATTGGGAAGTTTTCATCCAATGAGGGATATGATTCTCCTGCATAGGTACTCTTGCAGCTGTGTGCAGAAAAAAAACTTTGGGAGTGCAAGAGAGCAACTAGGATGACTAGATCAGAGGCTATTGATATAGATCAACTAGAGAGATGCAGGTGTGGACTAGGCTGATGGTAGACATCAAGTTTGACTGCAAAGATTTTGGCTCGAGCATGGAAAGATAGGGATTCCATTTAATGAGGTGAACAAGACTTGGGAAGAATCAGATTTGGGGTAAAGATCAGGAGTTCTGTTTTGAACATGTTACTTTTGAGATGCCTATGAAGATGTCAAGAAGGCAGCTGGATACCTGAGTATGGATTTTAGAGGAGGACAAGTCCATGTTGGAGGCATAAGTGTGGGATTCTTCCAAGATGGTGATGTTAAATGTCATAGATGGAGAGCACTTAGAGAGGATGGAGTCAGAGAAGAGGCCTAGTACACATCAAACTTTAGCTTTTAGGGTTGAGGAGGAACCAGTCAAGGAGACTGAGAAGTAGTGGGCAAGGAGGAAGGAGGAAGACCTCATGAGACTTCAAGTAGAAAGTATTTCAAGGAGACAATGATCACTTTGGTTAAATGCCACTGGTAATCAAGGAAGAAGACAGCCAAGAATTGAAGACTGAATTTAGCAGTCATATAACAATGGATGGGGGTTATTGGTCCCAGATTCCCTGAAATGAGAAAACCAAGGTTCTGAGAAGTTAAATAAATTGAACAACCAAAATCACATAGCCACTTAGCCCCAGAAATGGGTCCAGAACTAAACACTGGACACAAGCCATCTGAATCTTGTTTCCTGAATCTCAGACCAGGACTTTTCTTCAATAACATGAGGTCATCCTTCTCATGGTAACCGTGATTCATTAGGGGGACTGGAAAAGAATATTAAGACTTTAAACAAAAGGAATAAACTTCAGTAGTAGAATGTCAATGACAGACAATGCTCAAAGGCCCTCAAATCAAATGAAACAGGCAGCCACAGCAACAAGGGAACACCCAAGTATCAAAACACACTTCAACATACAAAAAAGTTTACGGCCCCTCAAAAGAAATGATCTATTCGTTCTATTTTGCTAGATGATTTCTACATACATAAATACCCGAGGCCTGATTACCTTCACTTGGTTTCTTTACCAAATGCCAGAAATGGGGTAGGAGAGGATTTTAGTAAATCAAACTAATGTTTAGGCAGAACAAAGGCACAGGAAAGCCCTAAACCATTTAAGTATTAAAAACTACTTTTAATCGTCCCTACTGCTGCCCTCTAATCCACAACCACCACCAACCTAAGAGGGCTATGATTCCAAGAGCCGACTCTGTTGCAAACCTCCGCTGGACGGTTTTGCGGACTAGGAAGTGAAGATTTCCAGTGGGAGGAAGAGCGAAGAAGAGAAGGAGGTAGATAAGCTAGCGAAAAGAAGGAGGTAGACAAGCTAGCAAAGCGAAGGTGCAGAATAGGAAAGTTACCAGGACAGGGCAGGGAGTTCCTCATGTCCACAGCAGGCCTTGCTCCCCTGGCCGGAGCCCAGGGGAGGGAGACGGAGGAAGGCAGCCACTTTTCCAGTGAGAAGTTGAGCAAGGAGTTGGCACCCGGCCCTCTCTACCTCTAGAGAAAAGGTAAAAGCTAAGCTGGATCGCGTGGTAGAGAAGAGCCCACTTTCAGAGTCCAAGTGGCATTATCTTGGAGTTCAGTGTCTGCCTCCAGGGCTGCAACTAACTCCTCGCGCCTCCCTTGCCGCCTTTCCTCCCTGGAAAGAGGAGGTGAAAAAGGTCCCAGGGCTCGGGTGGGCATGACTGCCTGGCGCAGGCCGCCGGGGGATTACCTGATACCTCCGCGTCTCCCCAGAAGGCGCGGCGCCGCCCTCCAGCCCCACCCGGTCACTCCGCGGTCCCCAGGCTCTGGTGTCTGTCCAATCTCCGGGACTCGACGCCCGAGGCGGCCGCCCGCGAGACCCGGAGCACGAGCCTCACGCTCAACGTTAGGCACTGCTCAAGGCCGCCCGAGGAGCAGAGACACCTACTGGCCGAGCGCTCCTGCGGCGGCTGGGCTGGGCTGGGGGCCGGAGCCCAGAAAACAGGGCTCCGCACACCCCCTACCGGGCGGGCTCCATCTGCGCCCCAGCCGAGTCCCGGACCCGCGTCTTGGCAGGCTCACCTACCTTGAGGTTCCCAGCTCCTGTCATCCTGTGCGCAAGTGATTTCAGCAACCATCACCACAAAACCTAGTCGGAGGGTGGCTGGCTCACAGCCTCTCCACTTTTTCGGAGTTTGTGCCAAATAATTTAAAGACCCTCCCCACCCTTTTCCAAATTCTGGCGTTTGAGAAGGGAAAATCCAAAGGGATGAGGATATAGGAGCCCCTAAGTGCTCTCCCCAGAAGCCAGGGAATTGTATTTCTGTTTCTCCAGGGCCCTGAAGAACCTGGCTTTCTTGTAATTACAAATACCTTTCACTGAAAAGTGGCTTCTTTCCTCCTGCTCCCTGCCCTGTGACAGTCAGTCCCTCCCTGTTCTGTCCTGGTAACTTTCCTGCTCTGAGCCTTGTTCCTGTGCTAGCTTATCTATCTCTTTTTCTTCTCTTATCCCGCTCTTCCGCCTTTTGGAAATCTTCACTTGCTACTCTGCAAAACCATCGGAGCAAGGCCTGCTGCGGACATCAGGACCACTGCAAATATTTTTTTCCAGGTTCTGAGAGGGATGCAGAAGACGCAGGAGCTGACAGTCTAGTTAATTTTTAGCTGACAAAGTCTCTCTCTCTCTCTCTCTCTCTCTCTCTGTCTCCCTCTCTGTCTCTTTCTCTCTCTTTAACACCTATATTTGAGTAGTTTTGTTTCCATCAGCACTCTTGTCTTTCCTTCTAGTCCTTTAATCCTGACTCTCTTCCTGGATTGAACTTAGGGAGGCAAGAGTTTAAATTAGAAGCAGTAAAATTGTATAATAAAAGGAAGAAGACAAACCAGGCCTTGCTTCTTAACAGGATGACTAATACAGTTTATGGATTATCTGGGTAGTTACATGACTAATATTAACCATTAACAATTATTGAGTTCTTAATGCTGACCAGAAACTGTTTTAAGAGCTTTTTTATAATAATAGTAAAATCAGCTCTTATGTAATGTTTTAAATGTTTACATTTATTAACACATTAGACAAAACAACCCTATAAGATGGGTAATAATATTATTCCCTTTTTACAATTGAGGAAATTGAGACAAAGAAGCAGGAACATTTCCTAAGGTCACACAGCTAGAAGTAAGTTATAAAGCTGGAATTTAAGCCCCGACAGCCTGGTGGATCATTCAGGGTACTCTAGAGGGACAGGACTAATAGGATAGATGTATATATGATGTATATATGAAAGGGAGTTTATTAAGGAGAATTGACTCTCATAATCACAAGGTGAGTCCCACAATAGGCCATCTGCAAGCTGAGGAGCAAGGAAGTCAGTCTGATAAAAGGAAACAGGCACAGAGAGGCTAACTAATAGTCCAGGAACACAGAGCTACTAACTTGTACAGGCAAGATTAGAACAAGTGAGTCTGATCCTTAACTAACCATGGGAGGGAGATACTTTTTTCCTACATTCAGCCATACAGAGGGAGAAGGGATTGCCTAAAAAGGGTGTGATGCTTTCATAACCTTCAATTAGTGAGCCCAGCTGGGCTTGGTGGCTTTTGCCTATAATCTCAGCATTTGGGGAGTCCAAGGATTGCTTGAGGCCAGGAATTTGAAACCAATCTAGGCAACTAACAGGACAACATTGTGAGACCCTATCTCTACAAAACTAAAAAATTTAAAAAATTAGCTGGGCGTGGTGATGCATGCCTGTAGTCCCAGCTACATGGGAGGCTGAGGTGGGAGGATTGCTTGAGAACAGGAGTTTTAAGCTGCAGTGAGCTTTAATTGTGCCACAGCACAGCAGCCTGGGCGGCAGAGGGAGAGCTCATCTCTTAAACAATAACAAAAACAAAAACAGCCCCTTGTGTGATGGTTAAACAAATCCAGCCCCTTGATTAGATTGAAGGATGCAAAGCATTGATCCTGGGTGTGTCTGCGAGGGTGTTGCCAAAGGAGATTAACATTTGAGTCAGTGGACTGGGCAAGGCAGACCCACCCTCAATGTAGGTGGGCACCATCCAATCAGCTGCCAGCGCAGCTAGGATGAAAGCAGGCAGAGGAATGTGGAAGGAATAGAATGGCTGAGTCTTCTGGCCTTCATATTTCTCCCGTATTGGATGCTTCCTGCCCTAGAGCATCGGACTCCAAGTTCTTCAGCTTTTGGACTCTTGGACTTACACCAGTGGTTTGCCGGGGCTCTCAGGCCTTAGGCCACAGACTGAAGGCTGCACTTTCGGCTTCCCTACTTTTGAGGCTTTGGGACTCAGACTGACTTCCTTGCTCCTCAGCTTGCAGATGGCCTATTGTGGGACTTCACCTTGTGATTATGAGAGTCAGTTCTCCTTAATAAACTCCCTTTCATATATACATCATATATACATCTATCCTATTAGTCCTGTCCCTCTAGAGTACCCTGAATGATCCACCTGGGTTTCAGGCTGAGTCCCTGAGAGTCAAGGCCTGACGTTGAGCTGAACTGTCTGTTTAAGCAGCTCCTCCCTTCCTGCACTCTACTAGCAATGCCAAGAGCATAAAGAGCCCTTCGCCAAACTCAGGGCCAGACTAAGGTCCCGCTGTATTACCTACAGCTGAAACAACTGTTCCCTTAGGAGGCCAAGGCATAAAAAAAAAGCCTCCACAGTGGGGCACATGGTGTGGCACATGGTGTGGCACATGGTGCGCTCTCATCCCTTCTGTGACCAGTTCTCCTGGACGCTTTGGGAAGGGACGACTAGAGGCACCAGTATCGCCAAGTAATCTTTGCCCTTTTAGAGGAAATAATGTTGCTTTCTGCAGGGGAACAACAGTAATTGAAGAAGAGGCACAGAGGGAAACTTAGGGCCATGACCATATGAAAAACCAGAGTTACCAGAGTTTATGACATTCATTTCTTTCTCCCTGCTGAGGTGAGGCCTTTCTCACCTGATAGAATGAGTTTTTCAAGGGATTTTGAGGCTGATCAAGGAAAAAAACATAATAATGAAGTGGGAGTAGCACACAATGAGCTCTATTTTGGAAGCACTTTAACAGGTTTGCGTGGTGAGGGGGAGTCCCACACAGCGTGGACCCATCCAGAGCTCTGGCAGCATGGAGGCCACCACCCAGAAGGGGAGGAGGATAAAGGAAGCCCTGAAGAAGAGGAATCAGAGAGGGGACTTCTGTATTTAGGTAACGTCCCTCAACACACTGCAAAATCTCAGGATCAGATACCCTCAAAGGGCAGCTGCTGAGTGGGGTTTTTTTAGCTGCAAAGTTTATCTTATCTATGGCTAGCAGATCTTGGGTGCAGTTGCTCAGGGTATACAGAGCAGGCAGTTTCTAAATAGCTGAAAATCTGTTTATTTGGACTGTGTTTAAAACATTAAGATATATAAACATTTGACTTGTTGACAACCTGCCATTAAAACAAAACTCAACAACCTTACCAACCTTGGCAACACAGTGAGATCCCATTTTTACCATTTTTTTTAATTAGCTGGGCATTGTGGCGTGTGCCTGTAGTCCCAGCTACTCAAAAGGCTGAGATTGAACAATCACTAGAGCCCAGGAGTTGGAGATTACAGTGAGCTATGATTGCACCACTGCACTCCAGGCTGGGTGACAGGGCGAGAGCCCCCACCCCCACCTATCCTTTAAAATAATAATAATAAATTGGAAAAAATAAAAAAAAATCAACAGCTTAGAAGCCAATATACAGAGGCCATTTGGGGGTCATTTATTATACCCTAACTGCTAGGTTGGAAGTACCTCCAAACACACAGAGAATCCCAAATTCTGAATTTCAGATTTTGACCTGAGGACCCATTTCAAATGCTGTTGACTGACACTAAGAAAAATATCTACTTCACCACCCCTTCAGCACAAAAACAGAGAAACCTAACATATGGATAAGAACTTACACACATACAAAAAGAATAGGTGGGGGATATTTAATCTACAAGAATCTATGTGGCAATTTGAGTGCACAGGTGTATCCACAGAAGTGGCTGTTGCTGTCTAGCAATAACTTCACCAGCAGGTGGCTGTATTACACTAACCATTAGAGAGGACTGGGCTTCCAACAAAGTGCCTTAAAATACAGTTCTTTTCTTGTCTTTTTTTTTTTTTTTTTTGAGACAAAGTTGAGACAGGGTTTCACTCTATCACCCAGGCTCTGAAAAGCAATGCAGTGATTCAAACACAGTTCACTGCAGCCTGGACCTATTGGGCTCAAGGAATCCTCCTGTCTCAGCCTCCTGTGTAGCTGGGACCACAAGCACACACTGCCACGCCCATCTAATTTTGTTACTTTTTGTAGTCTCGTTTTGTTGCCCATGCTGGTCTTGAACTCCTGGGTTTAAGCAATCCTCCCACGTCAGCCTCCCAAAATACTGGGATTACAGGCGTGAGCCACAGCACCCAGCTAGAATAGAGTACTATATTTCTAAATTATTTGAATTTTGGTTTGAATTAGCCCTAATAAACCCTATGTATTCATCAAAATCTGTAATGACATATGCAACATAAAAATCCATTCACAATGAAATCCAACAGTTTCCTCCAAGCATCTCAGGAAATTCAGCACAACTAGATTATATCACAGAATGTACTAATTAACAAAATCTATTTACTAGACAGCCTACCCATTTCTGGCACCACAGAACATGAAATGTGTTAAATGATTACCACTCATTCTGTATTATCTGACATATCTAACAGCAAAGGTTTCATATGTATGTATATGTATATATAATGTGTATACATATATCTGTGTATATATATATAAAATACTGTTTATAATTCTTTCATTTGAAAGCATTCCAAGACACAGATAAACAGCTAAATCACATCCAAGCGGTGTCATTTGGAGATATGAAAGTCTTTGGCTTTTGTGTAGGCACAGGGCCATGAGGTAGAGTCAGAGCCATTCTTCCCCTCTCTGCCTGTTCTGCCAGCTCTTAAATTCAGTCCACATTCTGTCCTCAGGTTGTTTTCTCCTTGGAAACTCACTTCACCCTCCATCAGCTCACCACTAGTTCTCATTCCCAAAGCTCTATCATCTCCAGCATTCTGACGCCATCTCCTCTTACAGGTCTCACTCCCATCCAAACTTAAAATGTTGGAAATTGGACTCTTCATTTTCTCTCTTCAGCAGACCAGTTCCTCTTCTTGTTTTCCTATTCATGTTAGTGTTCTCCCATATTTACTGTTTCTCAGAGTTATTATCTGTGAAACTTTTACCCCTCTCCTACGTGTTCATTCAGTCTTTCCCTAAGTCCTTTCTATTCTATTTCTGTAAAGCGATTGAATTTCTTGAACACCTACTTCTGTAATGTGTTAAGGCACTGGGGCTTGGGGCCAGTCTACTTTTTATTCTTTGGGCAGCATTGATGCCATATTCATCAATAAAGCAATATGCATCATTAAACTGGATTATCCACAATCTATTTTGTTTTTGTTTTGTTTTTTATTTTCATAGATTTAGGGGTTACCAGTGCAGTTTTGTTACACAGATATATGGTTTAGTGGTGAAGTCTGGGCTTTTAGTGTAACCATCATCGGAATGATGTACATGTACTCAATAGGTAATTTCTCATCCCTGACCCCTCTCCGACCCTCCCACCCTTTGGAGTCTCCAGTGTCTATTAATCCACTCTGTATGTGCATGTGTGCAGATTTTTAGCTCCCACTTATAACTGAGAACATGCTGTATTTGTCTTTTTGTTTCTGAATTACCAAAATCTAATTTTAAACTTCAATAGAAAAAAACTGATACCGTTGGTTTTTAAATTCTTTTTGCAACAAGAAATGATTATGGCATATCTTCAGTATTAAATACTCTAACAAAGAGGAAGTATACAAGATTTGAGATTGTCTAATGGAAATAAGGCCTTCTTAGGTAAAGCAGGTATGGTTACTCTCCTGTGTAGGGCAGTGGTTGTCCTATTTTACTGTGTATAATAATCATCTGGGGAAGTTTGTTAATAAAATGAAGATTCTTGGGGTCCACTCCCAGATACTCTTCTTCGGTAGATCTGGAAAGGGGCTGAGGAACCTAACATTTTTAACAAAGTGAAACAGAGTAATCTAAGGAGCATTTTAAGAAATAGTCGCTTAGAAGAAATTCTAAGTACTTAAAATAGAAATAAAACGTCTTTACGTCATTAAATGGCTTTATACAACTTCTCTTAGTTACCTAATTTGTATTTGATCCCATAATTCTCTTCTAATAGCTGACTGTTTTGTAAAATTCTCTTTTTAGATTCTGATGTCTTCAGTTTCCGGGTTTTTCTCAAGTTTAAATTTCAGTCTTGGTAGAAGTAATACCTTAGGCGAGCTCAGTCTTTCCTACCTTACTTCATATGAGTTTACCAGATCCTGTCATTGGGAGAGCAGGAAGTAGAGAGGGATTCCTGAATGGAGAAAGAAGGGACCACAACAAACCTAAGTAGGGCTGGGTGCTGGGGCCAGGCTGGAATGCACTGGTGCATTTCCTGACAGTAACCATAGGCTGTGGCAGCCTGAGGCCCAGTGGCAAATTCTAGTTGAGAAATGGAGTGCAGTGGGTGACACAAGGTCCTGCAATAGTGTCCCAAATGTAGGTCATGACCACTTGCTGACTTGGAGCACAGCTGAGTGAGCTGAGCTAAAGCATGGGACCAAGACAGACAAACCTAAGGAAAGGGCCAGGTGAAGGTTACTTGGCTTTCTCTATGACACATTCTAGCCCTAGTTCTGCGTATTCTAGAGAATATGCACAACACAATGCTATAAACTCCCTCATTTCCCTATCTTCTAGGATTTGACTGACCTTTGTTAAAGTTGTACTGTTTGGTTAGGGCAGCCCACCTGTTCCAGTCAAGCAGGAGTGGTTCAGAGGCCTATGTGGAGCTTTCTCTCCTTATAGTTTATAAAGCAAATCAGGAGAAACAGTGACCAATGGCTCTAGGCAATTCCTCCTAGTGTTGTGATATTCTAGGACTTGCCCACTCTATTTTATGTTTATCATTCAAACTTGGAGTTGTTTTAAAATGTGACACAATTTTGCTTTAGTTTTCCAAAAATTAAATACATATAAAGTTTCCTTCAGTCAAAAAATCACGGTGAATGTCTTGCTCCTCTCCTGATCCACTCAAATGGAGTCAGGAGGATCACCGTGGTCCCTCCCCAGTACTCTCCATCAGCTCTATCACTGACCCACACTGTGAGATCTGATTGCCTTGCTACAGATTTTTGCTCTGAAACAGATGGTTTTGAAATGGGTGTATTTCCTTTTCTTGAATGATTTTGTTATCTGCTTAATGGTCATGTTCTCTGCCTCAAACTGCATTTTAGTATTTTATGTTAGTGTTTTAGTAATATTTAGTAATTCTTAATATTTTAGTAAAATATATTTTATTCACTCAACAAATATTTATTGGGTGCATTGATCAAGCACCACAGATAATAACAGATTAAAAATCCTTGCCTTCATGAGGCTTACATAAAATTTACTTTAATTAAGGTATTATTATATGATTATGAAGGTATTTAATTAAGGTATTATATAATAATAATTGTATAATAATTAAAATACCTTTTATGTCAGCCTCATGAAGGCAAAATTTTGAAATTTTATGGGATATGCTACCTCAATCCAATTTATAAGATATACCTAACAAGTTATATTGGCCTTTTTTTTTTGGAGAAGCTTAAATACAAGGCTGAGAAGTTTATATTTAATTAGACAGGAAATGGGAATTCCTCAGAGGATTTTGATGAAGAGAATGGCATAACTCGCAAGCTCAATAGTAATGTGTAGATGGTCATTGTGGTATTTTCTGGCTAACTTGCGCAGTGTTCCTCTCTTAGTATACTTCTCATTCTATTACTTACCTACACTTGTCAAATCTCTGACAGCTCTAAATGAAAAAATATGTGTCTGTTGGCTTTAAATCATTCATCCTCCAGATGTATTGGGGCCTGCAGGTGGCAATAGTGAGCCAGCCATGAGCTTTGTAACTAGCCTCACCAGAAACCCAGCAAATGTCACCTTAACCTAGAGTGCTGCCCGACCACCATATCTAAAACAGCACCTCCTCTAGTCTTTCATTTCCTTAATCCTTCTTCATTTTTGTTCACAGCCCGTGTCACCAACTGACATTATATAATATTTTGTTTATATCCTCTTTCTCTCCACTAGAATGTAAACTTATCAGCAGCGACTTTGGTTCATTGTGTAGAACAGGGCCTGGCAAATAGTATATGCCCAATATGTATTTACTAAGTGAATGACCACTTTGATCTGAGCATCCAGCAGAGGAACACCATGGGACAGTGTGCAGTTACCCGGCAGCCAAATTTTGTGGTGCATATTTGATTCAGCATTATTTTAGATATTATCCTAGATAAATTCTATAAAGTTTCTCGGTCAGAGCTAGAAATGGCTTAACATATCAGGTTAATATGAGGAGGGGTATGGGGCCTTCCATAGCCATAATTAGATGATGTAGTATTAAATATCAATAAAGTACTAATGAGGAAATTAACCTTATAAAGCATAGTGAGATCCACAGGAAGTATTGATATGTAAATATCAGGTAGTTTTCCGACGCAGAAGGATGCATAATTAAGCAATCGGTTTCCTGGATCTTGGTCAACAGAATTTCCTCTCTGCTGTTTATAAAAGGTAAAATGCAGTGTTCTAAATTTTGACCTAACCTTGTTTCTTTGTGAATGAGCTTGCTCTGGTCAGCCCTGAAGCCAGACCATTCTTCGGTAACTTGCAGCCATAGTGTTATCCATCAAGAGTGTGATTTACACTCTAGGCTTTCTTGCACAACATTCAATAAATATTTGGGTCTTTGACTTAATCTGGTTTTGCAAATCGTATCTTTGTTTACTTAGTAGAGGTCACTGCTCCACCACTCAAGGTAAAGTATACACAGAAATCTACACTTGAAGAAGACAGAGATATGTCACCTTTCATGGATGAAGCAAAGTCCTTCAAAATGTCAATAGAAAGTTAGCCTTTGTACACAGCAAATCCTATATGGATTTAACTTTGAAAGGACTATAGTGCAATTACACTAAGACAATAAACTAACCCAAGTAGTTAGAATTTAAAACAAAGATCTAAATCTTATAAATGTTTTGTTTGTCCTCATTCAAAATTGCAGGTTAAAGCAAATGTGTGCGTTAAGCTAGATAAGATGACTGAATTGCTTTGATGATCTGATAGCATTCTCTGTTCTTCTTATTTTCTCTCCTTCTTTAGAAATATATATATATTCCTCCAAAGATAGTTTATATGACAAAATAACTACAGTTTTTCTCAAACAGGGGCCTGTCCACTTTCAACATAGGCCAGTATTTCTACTCAAAGGCTTAAAAAGTTTCTTCTTTCCGGAGCACATTCTTGTGAATATAACTTGGCCCCTTGGTTGGTGGTGGTTTATTTTTCCCCCCAAACTCATTTGCTCTTGTAAATCTCCTGCTAATCATATTTAGTCATGAAAATTCTTTCATGGGGTGAGAGATTTAAAATCGTAGATTACACAAAGATGGAAAAACACAAACAAACCAGTAGCAGATACCAATGTGGCACAGCAAAACACTTAAATCCAACTTCTCTGTTCAATTTGTCTCAATCCAGGGCACCTCAGATCATTCCTTAGTCTCAAACTAGTATTAAAAATGGCTAATTTCCAGCCTCTTTGGCCTCTGTAATTGCCAATGGGATAATCCTTCTTTCTCTAGGCACCCAGTACTTTATTTCCTAAATTCCAATCACAGCAGAGATTTTTCAACATCCCTGCCGCTAGGACAGATCCCCCAAATGACACATGTAATGAAACTTTATGAAGTTAAGAAGTGCAAAACTCAACCTGTGGGTGCTGTTCTGCTGCCAGTGAGGGAGTCCATTTTACTTGTGCCCAATGTTGTTTTTGTCTTTGATTTACATAGTGAAACTAAAAGCACATTGTTCACAGACTACCAAGAAACTTTTGCGTTTTCACTTTCCCTGGGCTATTTTTATACACAAAGCAAATATTCTAACAGACAACTCTGTTGCCCTTAATGGGATATTTTTACTATTAGGTTGGACTGGCTTTCAGTATGCCAATAGGTCATTTTCTTTCTGCCAGTTTTTAGGAAATCCAGTTCTGAGGGTTCAGGCTATAAATTTAGCTTAGATCTAGAAATGGTTTACTTGTTAGAAAAACAGATATATCATTGTCGCCATTGATTTGAGCTTCCTTGACCACGCAGTGGCTGTCTCTCCCTTTAACTTACTGATGGAATTCAATTTATCAAGTCCTATTAAACTTGAACCATGCAGTTAGCATTGAAAAACTGCTTCCATCTAAAATTGGACTGAAGCCAGGTGCATTGGCACGTGCCCATAGTCCGAGCTACTCAGGAGGCTGAGGCAAGAGGATCACTTGGGCCCAGCAGTTCAGTTTGAGGCCAGACTGAGCAACAAAGCTAGGCTGCATCTCTAAAGAGAGAGAAAAAAAAAAAAGGACCATAAACACAAGCTAATCATAAAACAACACAAATCTAGGTTTGAGAAATACTCAAAGACTGTAAAAGATCATTCACAAAATCTTGTCTCTAACCCAGAGAAGAAGATAGATAAGTTGGTAGATAGATGTAAATGTGTGTTCAAATAATCATGCACACAGTTATGTAGATGCACACACACATCTTTAAAATCCATTCTATCAGTGAATAACTTTGAGTCTCATAACACCTTGTATCTGTGTATTATTTTAAATTAAGAAGGGCTTCATGGTTGTATTAAGATTCATGGTTAAGAGCACAGGCATTGGGCCCCATGGGTTTGAGTTCCTGTTCTGGCACACTGACCCTGCATATGTTACACAACATCTCTAGGCCTTTCTTTTTTCATTATAAGATACAGGTAATTATATCTACTTCCTAGGCTTGTGGTGAGGATTAAATGAGAGAATATACATGACAACAAAAACTATACTACCACATAATATCTAGCATAAAGAAGATGCTCAAAATTGGTAGTTCTTTCTATTATTCCTTAGGGCTATATCATTTGTCACTAGGTCAAGAAGTCTTCTACATAATCAAATTTAAATTCAGCAAATAATTTTGGAGCAAAGATGAATGTAACAGACTTGGCTCACAGAGTAAATTACCAATATACACGAAGACTGTTAGCTGTAGATTTGTGTTTTCAAATCAGAACACAAACGGTTGGACGATAGGGAATTTGGGACATTATTATTTCAATAAACAAGCCCACTGACCTCAGAGTTACAGTAAATGATTATTTTGGCTTAAATACTACCTATGCTATTATCTCAAAAAACATACCTGGAAGTAGAAGAACTGTGATTTAAGAAACATTCTTCATTCCTGGAATTCATCAATCATTTATCATTTTTCAAAGAAAAAATTGGCCCAAACATGAAAAAACTAGTTAAAATTTAATAAACCTAAGTGATACTAGATTGAATGCAGGGCCAATGTAGACCGCTAAATCACTGTTGACCATTTTTTTTTCTCAGAGAGCAAGCATCTTGTCTTATATGATTTGGATTTAGGACTTGAGATTGTAGTAAAAGGAAATTATTTTCTCTAAAATTGTGATAACACATCTGGATTCCAATATAAGTCAGTTAAAAGCCTGTAATACAAGTATTCCACTTCTAAAATGGGATAAGATAGAATTTCTAATGTCCTCAATTTAAATGTTTATCAACTTTGTGAATATTATATATCTTAACACAACCAATGAAACTTTATGACATTAAGGAGCTCAGAACCCAACCTGTGGCTGCATGAATTGTTACCCTAAATTCAACAAACTAATATTTTATGGTCTTCAGCAAAAAGAACCACAAAGACATGCTCTGTCTAAACACACTTTGCTTGAACATTCTTACAGATAGGAAGTATACCTTCTCACAAGGCATGCAATCCATTTATATTATCATTTGATCTTTGATTGGTAAAATCAATTTGGATAGAATTTCCTAAACTAAACGACCAGGTGCTTTCTTCTCTGGGGAATCTTACAGAAGGAGACTGCAGTTAGTTGCAACAGATTTTTTATTAAAGAGAATTTCTGTAGCTAGAACAACAAAGCTTGTTCCCTGTGAACCAAATCTACCAATAATAGCTCTATTAAAAGAGTTTCCTATTTACATAGATTTTATACCAAATATATTTGGTAATTCATAAACCTTACAAACATTTACTTAACACTTACCATGAATTGGGTAATGTGCTCAACACATTATCCCACTAAATCTTAGTAATAGCCCTATTAAGTAAATACCATATCATAAGTATTATCTCTCTTTTACTGACATGGATAATGGAACTCAAGGAGATTGAGTAACTTGTACTGAATCACACAGCCAGTAAATTGTAAAGATGGGACTCAAACCTAGGGAGATGGACTCCAGAGCCTTAACAACTATTTATTTATACATTCTCCAATTGAGCTACACACTTCTTGAAGGCAAAGGCAATGCCTGAGTCACCTTTCATGTTCAAATCATATTAAAAAGTTAGCAAGATGTAATTATCAGTGTACTATGTAAATCTTTGTGAATGATCAATAATTACATATTTTCATTATATATATTTTAGTAGATAATATTTATATACATTCAACATTCTAAATATAGAAAGTTTACAGAGAAAAATAAAGCCTTTTTTTCCAATCCTGTCCTCCACCTCTGCATCCCATTCTTCTTCACAGAGGCAACTGATTCAAGTCATTACATAGTTATTGAGTGTTAACTACAACTATGTTAAGTACAGCTATATATGTTAGATGCCGTAGCCACAGAAATCAGTTTACAATCTAATGCAGTGGATACAGCATGTATACATATAATATAAGGTTGCTACAAATGCTATCTGAGGTAGAGCTGTTTGAAAGAATACTAATACTTAAATGTTTAATTCAACTGACTTGATTGACAACTGATTAGCTGAGTGGAAAAGATGGATGAGAAAGATTGTGAGACTTAATTGGCTGGTGGTATGGTGATATGATTGACAATAACTGCTAAGTCAGAGAGGGATATATTAAGGAGGAGAAGAAAAGCAACAAATCTGGTTTTGATGTGTTCACTTTGTTATAATTATTGATTATTTACTGAATATGAATATTTATCTTTGTTTTTGAGTCAATAAATATACCTTTGTAAAGACAGAATTAAAGTATTAGTATTTCTTTCAAACTGGAGGCATTTCTCCCACTAACATATTTCATCAAAACTTATAATAAGCTTGGTTCCAGAGGAAGAAATGAGGGATAACCAAAAATAGAGACATTAATAATAGTGTAACGCCCAGTGATAAATCTCAATAGGCAGTGATGACAGACATGTTTTCCCAAACACAAGGATGCTGTAAGGGCCAAACAGAAATGATGGCCCCTCCCCAGCACCTCATTTTGCCCCTTCCTTCAGCTATGCCTCTACTCTCCTTAGATACAAGGGAGGTGGATTTTTCTCTTCTCTGAGATAGCTTGATGGAACCACAGGAACAATGAAGTGGGCTCCTGGCTCTTTTCTCTGTGGCAGATGGGGTGCCATGCCCACCTTCAGACAAAGGGAAGATTGAGCTCAAAAGCTCCCTGAGAAGTGAGAGCCTATGAACATGGTTGACACAGAGGGACAGGAATGTATTTCCAGGGTCATTCATTCCTGGGAATAGTGAACTGGGACATGGGGGAAGTCAGTCTCCTCCTGCCACAGCCACAGATTAAAAATAATAATGTTAACTGATCCCTAGGCTAAAATAATAGTGTTAACTGATCCCTAAGCTAAGAAAGTTCTTTTGGTAATTCAGGTGATGGCAGCAGGACCCATCTTAAGGATAGACTAGGTTTGCTTAGTTCGAGGTCATATCTGTTTGCTCTCAGCCATGTACTGGAAGAAGTTGCATCACACAGCCTCCAGGACTGCCCTCCTCCTCACAGCAATGGATAATGCTTCACTAGCCTTTGCAGATAATTTTGGATCAGAGAAAAAACCTTGAGCTGGGCCAAAAAGGAGGAGCTTCAACCTGTGTGCAAAATCTGGGAACCTGACAGTATAGGTTGGGGGCCAGGATGAGGAAAAAGGAACGGGAAAGACCTGCCCACCCTTCTGGTAAGGAGGCCCCGTGATCAGCTCCAGCCATTTGCAGTCCTGGCTATCCCAGGAGCTTACATAAAGGGACAATTGGAGCCTGAGAGGTGACAGTGCTGACACTACAAGGCTCGGAGCTCCGGGCACTCAGACATCATGAGTTGGTCCTTGCACCCCCGGAATTTAATTCTCTACTTCTATGCTCTTTTATTTCTCTCTTCAACATGTGTAGCAGTAAGTGTGCTCTTCACAAAACGTTGTTTAAAATGGAAAGCTGGAAAATAAAACAGATAATAAACTAGTGAAATTTCTGTATTTTTTCTCTTTTAGTATGTTGCTACCAGAGACAACTGCTGCATCTTAGATGAAAGATTCGTAAGTAGTTTTTATGTTTCTCCCTTTGTGTGTGAACTGGAGAGGGGCAGAGGAATAGAAATAATTCCCTCATAAATATCATCTGGCACTTGTAACTTTTTAAAAACATAGTCTAGGTTTTACCTATTTTTCTTAATAGATTTTAAGAGTAGCATCTGTCTACATTTTTAATCACTGTTATATTTTCAGGGTAGTTATTGTCCAACTACCTGTGGCATTGCAGATTTCCTGTCTACTTATCAAACCAAAGTAGACAAGGATCTACAGTCTTTGGAAGACATCTTACATCAAGTTGAAAACAAAACATCAGAAGTCAAACAGCTGATAAAAGCAATCCAACTCACTTATAATCCTGATGAATCATCAAAACCAAGTGAGAAAATAAAGACTACTGACCAAAAAATAATAATAATAATCTGTGAAGTTCTTTTGCTGTTGTTTTAGTTGTTCTATTTGCTTAAGGATTTTTATGTCTCTGATCCTATATTACAGATATGATAGACGCTGCTACTTTGAAGTCCAGGAAAATGTTAGAAGAAATTATGAAATATGAAGCATCGATTTTAACACATGACTCAAGTATTCGGTAAGGATTTTTGTTTTAATTTGCTCTGCAAGACTGATTTAGTTTTTATTTAATATTCTATACTTGAGTGAAAGTAATTTTTAATGTGTTTTCCCCATTTATAATATCCCAGTGACATTATGCCTGATTATGTTGAGCATAGTAGAGATAGAAGTTTTTAGTGCAATATAAATTATACTGGGTTATAATTGCTTATTAATAATCACATTGAAGAAAGATGTTCTAGATGTCTTCAAATGCTAGTTTGACCATATTTATCAAAAATTTTTTCCCCATCCCCCATTTATCTTACAACATAAAATCAATCTCATAGGAATTTGGGTGTTGAAAATAAAATCCTCTTTATAAAAATGCTGACAAATTGGTGGTTAAAAAAATTAGCAAGCAGAGGCATAGTAAGGATTTTGGCTCCTAAAGTAAATTATATTGAATGTGGAGCAGGAAGAAACATGTCTTGAGAGACTAAGTGTGGCAAATATTGCAAAGCTCATATTGATCATTGCAGAATGAACCTGCATAGTCTCTTCCCTTCATTTGGAAGTGAATGTCTCTGTTAAAGCTTCTCAGGGACTCATAAACTTTCTGAACATAAGGTCTCAGATACAGTTTTAATATTTTTCCCCAATTTTTTTTTCTGAATTTTTCTCAAAGCAGCTTGAGAAATTGAGATAAATAGTAGCTAGGGAGAAGTGGCCCAGGAAAGATTTCTCCTCTTTTTGCTATCAGAGGGCCCTTGTTATTATTGTTATTATTATTACTTGCATTATTATTGTCCATCATTGAAGTTGAAGGAGGTTATTGTACAGAAATTGCCTAAGACAAGGTAGAGGGAAAACGTGGACAAATAGTTTGTCTACCCTTTTTTACTTCAAAGAAAGAACGGTTTATGCATTGTAGACAGTTTTCTATCATTTTTGGATATTTGCAAGCCACCCTGTAAGTAACTACAAAAGGAGGGTTTTTACTTCCCCCAGTCCATTCCCAAAGCTATGTAACCAGAAGCATTAAAGAAGAAAGGGGAAGTATCTGTTGTTTTATTTTACATACAATAACGTTCCAGATCATGTCCCTGTGTAAGTTATATTTTAGATTGAAGCTTATATGTATAGCCTCAGTAGATCCACAAGTGAAAGGTATACTCCTTCAGCACATGTGAATTACTGAACTGAGCTTTTCCTGCTTCTAAAGCATCAGGGGGTGTTCCTATTAACCAGTCCCGCCACTCTTGCAGGTTGCTATCTGCTGTCCCTTATGCATAAAGTAAAAAGCAAAATGTCAATGACATTTGCTTATTGACAAGGACTTTGTTATTTGTGTTGGGAGTTGAGACAATATGCCCCATTCTAAGTAAAAAGATTCAGGTCCACATTGTATTCCTGTTTTAATTGATTTTTTGATTTGTTTTTCTTTTTCAAAAAGTTTATAATTTTAATTCATGTTAATTTAGTAATATAATTTTACATTTTCCTCAAGAATGGAATAATTTATCAGAAAGCACTTCTTAAGAAAATACTTAGCAGTTTCCAAAGAAAATATAAAATTACTCTTCTGAAAGGAATACTTATTTTTGTCTTCTTATTTTTGTTATCTTATGTTTCTGTTTGTAGATATTTGCAGGAAATATATAATTCAAATAATCAAAAGATTGTTAACCTGAAAGAGAAGGTAGCCCAGCTTGAAGCACAGTGCCAGGAACCTTGCAAAGACACGGTGCAAATCCATGATATCACTGGGAAAGGTAACTGATGAAGGTTATATTGGGATTAGGTTCATCAAAGTAAGTAATGTAAAGGAGAAAGTATGTACTGGAAAGTATAGGAATAGTTTAGAAAGTGGCTACCCATTAAGTCTAAGAATTTCAGTTGTCTAGACCTTTCTTGAATAGCTAAAAAAAACAGTTTAAAAGGAATGCTGATGTGAAAAGTAAGAAAATTATTCTTGGAAAATGAATAGTTTACTACATGTTAAAAGCTATTTTTCAAGGCTGGCACAGTCTTACCTGCATTTCAAACCACAGTAAAAGTCGATTCTCCTTCTCTAGATTGTCAAGACATTGCCAATAAGGGAGCTAAACAGAGCGGGCTTTACTTTATTAAACCTCTGAAAGCTAACCAGCAATTCTTAGTCTACTGTGAAATCGATGGGTCTGGAAATGGATGGACTGTGTTTCAGAAGGTAATTTTTTCCCCACCATGTGTATTTAATAAATTCCTACATTGTTTCTGCCATATGGCAGATACTTTTCTAAGCACCTTGTGAACCGTAGCTCATTTAATCCTTGCAATAGCCCTAAGAGGAAGGTACTTCTGTTACTCCTATTTACAGAAAAGGAAACTGAGGCACACAAGGTTAAATAACTTGCCCAAGACCACATAACTAATAAGCAACAGAGTCAGCATTTGAACCTAGGCAGTATAGTTTCAGAGTTTGTGACTTGACTCTATATTGTACTGGCACTGACTTTGTAGATTCATGGTGGCACATAATCATAGTACCACAGTGACAAATAAAAAGAAGGAAACTCTTTTGTCAGGTAGGTCAAGACCTGAGGTTTCCCATCACAAGATGAGGAAGCCCAACACCACCCCCCACCACCCCACCACCATCACCACCCTTTCACACACCAGAGGATACACTTGGGCTGCTCCAAGACAAGGAACCTGTGTTGCATCTGCCACTTGCTGATACCCACTAGGAATCTTGGCTCCTTTACTTTCTGTTTACCTCCCACCACTGTTATAACTGTTTCTACAGGGGGCGCTCAGAGGGAATGAATGGTGGAAGCATTAGTTGCCAGACACCGATTGAGCAATGGGTTCCATCATAAGTGTAAGAATCAGTAATATCCAGCTAGAGTTCTGAAGTCGTCTAGGTGTCTTTTTAATATTACCACTCATTTAGAATTTATGATGTGCCAGAAACCCTCTTAAGTATTTCTCTTATATTCTCTCTCATGATCCTTGCAGCAACCCTAAGAAGTAACCATCATTTTTCCTATTTGATACATGAGGAAACTGAGGTAGCTTGGCCAAGATCACTTAGTTGGGAGTTGATAGAACCAGTGCTCTGTATTTTTGACAAAATGTTGACAGCATTCTCTTTACATGCATTGATAGTCTATTTTCTCCTTTTGCTCTTGCAAATGTGTAATTAGAGACTTGATGGCAGTGTAGATTTCAAGAAAAACTGGATTCAATATAAAGAAGGATTTGGACATCTGTCTCCTACTGGCACAACAGAATTTTGGCTGGGAAATGAGAAGATTCATTTGATAAGCACACAGTCTGCCATCCCATATGCATTAAGAGTGGAACTGGAAGACTGGAATGGCAGAACCAGGTACTGTTTTGAAATGACTTCCAACTTTTTATTGTAAAGATTGCCTGGAATGTGCACTTTCCAACTATCAATAGACAATGGCAAATGCAGCCTGACAAATGCAAACAGCACATCCAGCCACCATTTTCTCCAGGAGTCTGTTTGGTTCTTGGGCAATCCAAAAAGGTAAATTCTATTCAGGATGAATCTAAGTGTATTGGTACAATCTAATTACCCTGGAACCATTCAGAGTAATAGCTAATTACTGAACTTTTAATCAGTCCCAGGAATTGAGCATAAAATTATAATTTTATCTAGTCTAAATTACTATTTCATGAAGCAGGTATTATTATTAATCCCATTTTATAGATTAACTTGCTCAAAGTCACATTGCTGATAAGTGGTAGAGGTAGAATTCAGACTCAAGTAGTTTAACTTTAGAGCCTGTCCTCTTAACAACTATCCTGGTTGAAAAGCAAATACAGCCTCTTCAGACTTCTCAGTGCCTTGATGGCCATTTATTCTGTCAAATCATGAGCTACCCTAAAAGTAAACCAGCTAGCTCTTTTGATGATCTAGAGGCTTCTTTTTGCTTGAGATATTTGAAGGTTTTAAGCATTGTTACCTAATTAAAATGCAGAAAAATATCCAACCCTCTTGTTATGTATAAGGAATAGTGAAATATATTGTCTTCAAACACATGGACTTTTTTTTATTGCTTGGTTGGTTTTTAATCCAGAAAGTGCTATAGTCAGTAGACCTTCTTCTAGGAAAGGACCTTCCATTTCCCAGCCACTGGAGATTAGAAAATAAGCTAAATATTTTCTGGAAATTTCTGTTCATTCATTAAGGCCCATCCTTTCCCCCACTCTATAGAAGTGTTGTCCACTTGCACAATTTTTTCCAGGAAAGAATCTCTCTAACTCCTTCAGCTCACATGCTTTGGACCACACAGGGAAGACTTTGATTGTGTAATGCCCTCAGAAGCTCTCCTTCTTGCCACTACCACACTGATTTGAGGAAGAAAATCCCTTTAGCACCTAACCCTTCAGGTGCTATGAGTGGCTAATGGAACTGTACCTCCTTCAAGTTTTGTGCAATAATTAAGGGTCACTCACTGTCAGATACTTTCTGTGATCTATGATAATGTGTGTGCAACACATAACATTTCAATAAAAGTAGAAAATATGAAATTAGAGTCATCTACACATCTGGATTTGATCTTAGAATGAAACAAGCAAAAAAGCATCCAAGTGAGTGCAATTATTAGTTTTCAGAGATGCTTCAAAGGCTTCTAGGCCCATCCCGGGAAGTGTTAATGAGCTGTGGACTGGTTCACATATCTATTGCCTCTTGCCAGATTTGCAAAAAACTTCACTCAATGAGCAAATTTCAGCCTTAAGAAACAAAGTCAAAAATTCCAAGGAAGCATCCTACGAAAGAGGGAACTTCTGAGATCCCTGAGGAGGGTCAGCATGTGATGGTTGTATTTCCTTCTTCTCAGTACTGCAGACTATGCCATGTTCAAGGTGGGACCTGAAGCTGACAAGTACCGCCTAACATATGCCTACTTCGCTGGTGGGGATGCTGGAGATGCCTTTGATGGCTTTGATTTTGGCGATGATCCTAGTGACAAGTTTTTCACATCCCATAATGGCATGCAGTTCAGTACCTGGGACAATGACAATGATAAGTTTGAA
Source organism: Homo sapiens (assembly GCF_000001405.40). Lineage (NCBI taxonomy): Eukaryota > Metazoa > Chordata > Mammalia > Primates > Hominidae > Homo > Homo sapiens. The sequence continues at coordinate 154,606,786 of NC_000004.12, read as the reverse complement.
GGCAACTGTGCTGAACAGGATGGATCTGGTTGGTGGATGAACAAGTGTCACGCTGGCCATCTCAATGGAGTTTATTACCAAGGTATGTTTTCCTTTCTTAGATTCCAAGTTAATGTATAGTGTATACTATTTTCATAAAAAATAATAAATAGATATGAAGAAATGAAGAATAATTTATAAAGATAGTAGGGATTTTATCATGTTCTTTATTTCAACTAAGTTCTTTGAAACTGGAAGTGGATAATACCAAGTTCATGCCTAAAATTAGCCCTTCTAAAGAAATCCACCTGCTGCAAAATATCCAGTAGTTTGGCATTATATGTGAAACTATCACCATCATAGCTGGCACTGTGGGTTGTGGGATCTCCTTTAGACATACAACATAAATGATCTGGATGGATTAACATTACTACATGGATGCTTGTTGACACATTAACCTGGCTTCCCATGAGCTTTGTGTCAGATACACGCAGTGAACAGGTGTTTGGAGGAACAGAATAAAGAGAAGGCAAGCACTGGTAAGGGCAGGGGTTTGTGAAAGCTTGAGAGAAGAGACCAGTCTGAGGACAGTAGACACTTATTTTAGGATGGGGGTTGGATGAGGAGGCTATAGTTTGCTATAAGCTTGGAATGGTTTGGAACACTGGTTTCACTCACCTACCCAGCAGTTATGTGTGGGGAAGCCTTACCGATGCTAAAGGATCCATGTTACAATAATGGCATTATTTGGAAATCCCAGTGGTATTCCATGAATAAAACCACTATGAAGATAATCCCACTCAACAGACTCTCCGTTGGAGAAGGACAGCAACACCACCCTGGGAAAGCCAAACAGTCAGACCAGACCTGTTTAGCATCAGTAGGACTTCCCTACCATATCTGCTGGGTAGATGAGTGAAACCAGTGTTCCAAACCACTCCGGGCTTGTAGCAAACCATAGTCTCCTCATCTACCAAGATGAGCAACCTTACCTCCTGATGTCCTAGCCAATCACCAACTAGGAAACTTTGCACAGTTTATTTAAAGTAACAGTTTGATTTTCACAATATTTTTAAATTGGAGAAACATAACTTATCTTTGCACTCACAAACCACATAATGAGAAGAAACTCTAAGGGAAAATGCTTGATCTGTGTGACCCGGGGCGCCATGCCAGAGCTGTAGTTCATGCCAGTGTTGTGCTCTGACAAGCCTTTTACAGAATTACATGAGATCTGCTTCCCTAGGACAAGGAGAAGGCAAATCAACAGAGGCTGCACTTTAAAATGGAGACATAAAATAACATGCCAGAACCATTTCCTAAAGCTCCTCAATCAACCAACAAAATTGTGCTTTCAAATAACCTGAGTTGACCTCATCAGGAATTTTGTGGCTCCTTCTCTTCTAACCTGCCTGAAGAAAGATGGTCCACAGCAGCTGAGTCCGGGATGGATAAGCTTAGGGACAGAGGCCAATTAGGGAACTTTGGGTTTCTAGCCCTACTAGTAGTGAATAAATTTAAAGTGTGGATGTGACTATGAGTCACAGCACAGATGTTGTTTAATAATATGTTTATTTTATAAATTGATATTTTAGGAATCTTTGGAGATATTTTCAGTTAGCAGATAATACTATAAATTTTATGTAACTGGCAATGCACTTCGTAATAGACAGCTCTTCATAGACTTGCAGAGGTAAAAAGATTCCAGAATAATGATATGTACATCTACGACTTGTTTTAGGTGGCACTTACTCAAAAGCATCTACTCCTAATGGTTATGATAATGGCATTATTTGGGCCACTTGGAAAACCCGGTGGTATTCCATGAAGAAAACCACTATGAAGATAATCCCATTCAACAGACTCACAATTGGAGAAGGACAGCAACACCACCTGGGGGGAGCCAAACAGGTCAGACCAGAGCACCCTGCGGAAACAGAATATGACTCACTTTACCCTGAGGATGATTTGTAGAAAATTAACTGCTAACTTCTATTGACCCACAAAGTTTCAGAAATTCTCTGAAAGTTTCTTCCTTTTTTCTCTTACTATATTTATTGATTTCAAGTCTTCTATTAAGGACATTTAGCCTTCAATGGAAATTAAAACTCATTTAGGACTGTATTTCCAAATTACTGATATCAGAGTTATTTAAAAATTGTTTATTTGAGGAGATAACATTTCAACTTTGTTCCTAAATATATAATAATAAAATGATTGACTTTATTTGCATTTTTATGACCACTTGTCATTTATTTTGTCTTCGTAAATTATTTTCATTATATCAAATATTTTAGTATGTACTTAATAAAATAGGAGAACATTTTAGAGTTTCAAATTCCCAGGTATTTTCCTTGTTTATTACCCCTAAATCATTCCTATTTAATTCTTCTTTTTAAATGGAGAAAATTATGTCTTTTTAATATGGTTTTTGTTTTGTTATATATTCACAGGCTGGAGACGTTTAAAAGACCGTTTCAAAAGAGATTTACTTTTTTAAAGGACTTTATCTGAACAGAGAGATATAATATTTTTCCTATTGGACAATGGACTTGCAAAGCTTCACTTCATTTTAAGAGCAAAAGACCCCATGTTGAAAACTCCATAACAGTTTTATGCTGATGATAATTTATCTACATGCATTTCAATAAACCTTTTGTTTCCTAAGACTAGATACATGGTACCTTTATTGACCATTAAAAACCACCACTTTTTGCCAATTTACCAATTACAATTGGGCAACCATCAGTAGTAATTGAGTCCTCATTTTATGCTAAATGTTATGCCTAACTCTTTGGGAGTTACAAAGGAAATAGCAATTATGGCTTTTGCCCTCTAGGAGATACAGGACAAATACAGGAAAATACAGCAACCCAAACTGACAATACTCTATACAAGAACATAATCACTAAGCAGGAGTCACAGCCACACAACCAAGATGCATAGTATCCAAAGTGCAGCTGGAGACAGGAAAGCTGCTTGGGGAGTCTCCCAGCAGAACCTTTTAGCTCCAAACACCTGTGGTGGGACCTGGTCACTCTGAAAGGACTGCAACTCAGAGCAGAGAGCTTTAGGGAGCTATTTGCCCTATCTCTCACTAGTCATGAGGTGAGCTGAATGGAACCATCTCTTCCTTCTGATTCAGGGATATTGACTTTTTAGCAGCCTGAGTTCAGGTTCATTCGCCAACTTTCTAAGGAATAGCTAAATCTACATAACTTAGCAAAAGGCTGACTGTGGGAAGTAATTGGCTAATTTTATGAGGTGGGTCTGGTTGTTCCGAAGTCCTGAGCTTTGGCTTTGCACTCTCTTTCTTTTCACACTTCTTTCTTTCTTCTTGCCTTTCCTTTTTTTTTTTGGATATAGGGTCTCACTCTGTCACCCAGTCTGTAATGCAGTGGCACAACAGTAGCTCACTGCAGCCAGCCTTGAACTCCTGGGCTCAAGTGATCCTCCTTCCTCAGCCTCCCGAGTAGCTGTGACTACAGGAGTGCACCATCACACCTGCCTAATTTTTCTTTAATTTTTATTTTTGTAGAGAAAGAGTCTCACTGTGTTGCCCAGGCTGGTCTCAAATGCCTGGCCTCAAGGGATCCTCCTGCCTCGGCCTCCAAAAGTGCTGGGATTACAGGCATGAGCTACCATGCCAGGCCCACAATTTCCTTCTTAATCTTTTCACTTTCTTGTTATCAGGAGTGCTGAATTTAAGATATCCTATTGAAGAGATAAAAACAGTAAGTCAGCTTCTAGATATACAACCGAAGACGTGGGAGGCTTTGGAAAATAGAAACATTGATTCATTGTTTGCAGCCTTCATATATACATGTATGCATGAAGCACTTATTCAATTAACATTTATTGAATGCCTTCCTTGTGGTAGCCATTGTGTTGGATTTGGGGATATAGTACATGGTATGCTTAGTGTTCTCCACTCTCCCAAACCTGTTCTACTCCATCCAGTCCTCAAATGCAAAAAAAACAGTGACTCATCCTCCAATCTTCCTCCCCATATCCAATTTCTACCTCCCTATATCCAATTACTCATCAAGCCTGCTGAATTCACCTCCTATATATTTATCATATTCACTTTTTTCCTGTATACCGATTGTCACCTTTGTAGTTGAGATACATCTCTTGCCAGGATAAGGGCAATCACCCACTTCCTGTTCCCTTTCTTACATCCAGCCTCTCCTGCTACCATCTCATCCTCCTCCAAACCACTTCTAAAGCCAGAATGCATACAGTTTACCCTTTGTGAACCTATAAAATCCTTTGTGTGAGCAATCTGGTCATAGCTACAAAGAGATATACAATATTCATGAGTTTTCATGCAATATCACTCTAGTGATTTATCCCAAGAAAATCATTTTTAAAAAAGAAAATAGTTATATACAGAAATAAAAATATAGATGTAAATTTCATATTAGTAGGAAATTAAGAAAATATTTAACAGTGGAAGAATGGACAAGCAAGATAGCTTATTAGTAAATAAAATAGAATATAAGGATTATATAAGCACAATAGCTTTTTATGAATATGGAAATATTTACAAAATAAGTGAAATTTTAAGATGTAAGAATAATTCTAAAATAAAAATTATGTAAAGTTGTATATACATATACTTCATGAACAAAATATAATCTTGACATATATCCTTATTTGTACATACTCGTTCTCCTGTCAACCAATCCACAATATATAATTACATGAAAATTCTAAAACATGGCTGGACATGATGGCTCACACTTGTAATCTCAGCACTTGGGAGGCCAAGGTGGGAAGATCACTTGAGCCCAGGAGTTTGAGACCAGCCTGGGCGAAATGGTAAAACCGTCTCCATAAAAAATACCAAAAAATGTTAGCCAGGCATGGTGGTGCACACCCGTAGTCATAGCTACCAGGAAAACTGAGGTGGGAGGATCACTTGAGCCTGGGGAATTGAGCCTGCAGTGAGCCGTGATTGTGCTGCTGCACTCCAACCTGGGCAACAGAGTGAGTGAGACCTTGTCTCAAAAACAAAAAAATACTAAAACACAAAATAAATATAAGGAAGTCTAAAGATTCCTGATGTCTCCCATTATCACTTGTCCAATTCTTCTTCTGAAATATCAAATATAGCATTCTTTCAAAAACATTTAGGAGTCTCCTGATTTTTGTAGGTATCCTGAGTACAAGCTTGATCTGCATGTTGAATAATCCAGCATTCATTGGTAGAAAGAGGCTACTAACTTTTTCTTTAGATATCTCTGCATTGTTTGGCTTGTTATAACGAGTACATATTAATTTTGTGGTTCACTTTGCAACCCAGTGAGGCAGAGACAAAAAAAAGAATTTCAAAATTCTACTTGTTTAGTTATTAATATCCAGCGGTGAGCACTGAAAGCCTACAGTAAGAACTAAAGCATGAAAAACCCTTCTAGACTCAGTTGCATCATGTCTCCTCAAATAAAGTGGCAATTGAAAGGGTTATGTTGAGAAATCAACCAAAAAAACCTTTTAAGTGAAAAAAAGAGTTTGGGGTCTCCCAGAGACAGATTATATATTTTTTTCACAGCTCAAATCACAGGTGACTATTGCTAAGCCCTCCTCTTTATTTTCCCGGACACAGAAAAACTCTAGTCACTGAAAAGTAGTGAGGCGAAGTGCAAAGCAGATGTGTAGTGTCTTACACCGTGACAAACCTATGGAGGGAAGCATCTACAAAGGAAGAGATCAGGTGTAGTGATACTGTGACTTTAAACCATACAACTACAGAGCAGAGTTCTTGAATCAACAGAGAGGGTGATGACTTCCTGACCAAATACCAAGATTTTAAAATATACCTGTGAAGATTCTGTTTCATACCTGTGGGTGGGTTGAAAGTGAGCGAGAAATGAAAAAATAAATGTATGGACAGCATAGTTGAAATCTTTCCAAGATCCAAAATTCTTTTGCTCTGATTCTAATTAGTATAAACTAGCCAAGGTATTTATAATAGATACCTTCAGTTTATTCAGATGAAAAGGGTGAAAACAAAATACACATTTAACCCTGTGGGAAATATGTGTACCCGTTGATTTCTTATCACTTTGATGTAGCTCAAAGAGGGAGAAAAAGTTAAAGATAGTAAGATGAGTCAAAGTGGATGGAAAATAATAAGCTGCTTTGGGAGGCCGAGGCGGGCAGATCATGAAGTCAAGAGATCGAGACCATCCTGGCCAACATGGTGAAACCCCGTCTCTACTAAAAATACCAAAAAATTAGCCGGGCGTGGTGGTGCACACCTGTAGTCCCAGCTACTTGGGAGGCTGAGGCAAGAGAATCACTTGAACCCAGGAGGCGAAGGTTGCAGTGAGCCAAGATCACACTCCAGCCTGGGCAACAGAGGGACACTCCATCTCAAAATAAATAAATAAATAAGTTGGTGAAAGAGACCAAGAGTGTGGGAAAGACTACGTTTCATTTATCTCTTTGTGTTTGTGCATGTGTGTGTGTGTGTGTGTGTGCGTGTATGCGTGCAGAGACAGAAGTTGTTACCACACTCCCAGTACATCATTCTCATTGCTCTGTTGATTGATTGATTCTCATTTATTCACATTTCCTTTTTGTTCCATCTTCCCCTTAATAAACAATCACCTTAATAGGTTTGATATTTGTTTCTTTATTTGTATGCATTCTTATAAATCATGGTTTTTTTGTGTGTGTATGTATTTTTAAATTATGCAAATGACATTATGCTATAAGTTAGTGTTACTTAGAATACTGGTCCCGAAACTTCTGTTACTTTTCTGCACTAAGTACAAAAATTGAGAATTAGCAGGGAGAAACTTTTTCCTATGTTATATTTGTTCTGATATACTTACTGAGATAGAATTTTATATCTTTCAAATCTCATAATAAAAATATGGGCCTATATTTTGAATATCATTGCTTTTTAACATTTCATTTTTTTAGTAATTATTTTTATTGAATTCTATAAAAACCTGGTCTGTGGCTGATTAGAATTTTAATAAAACTAGTCCTTCACCACAAATCCTTTGACAATCACTGCTGAAGTCTTCATCATACTTACTACTTTTTTATTTCAGCATTGTGTTTTTAAGATCTATCCACACATGAATTTGTGGTTTGAAAGCAGAATGAAAAGGAAAAAAAAAAGATCTATCTACAATCTGAGTATTTCATAATTTTCCTTGATTTCCTTTTGAACCCAAGGGTTATGAAGTGAACACTTTTTGGTTCTAAAGTTTATGAGTTTTTCAACGGTCTATTTTTAATTATTATCTAAATTTATTGCATTATAATCAGAGAACATAGTTTTGATGATATTGATTCTCAGGAGAGAGATTTCACAAATTATTTTGGAACAAATGTTTGTTACAGAATTAACTCACCCCATAAAAGTGTACATCAGTTGTAATTATTCTCCACTAATGATCTATATACTGGAAGCCTGTTAATATTTTTTGCTTTGAGAAGGAAAAAAACACCAGGCATGGTGGCTCACACTTATGATCCCAGCACTTTGGGAGGCCAAGGCAGGAGGATCACTTGAGCCCAGGAGTTCCAGATCATTCTGGGCAACATTGAGAAACCCCATCTATACAGAAAAATTCAAAAATTAGCTGGGAATGGTGTGGTGCCGGCTACTCAGGAGGCTGAAGTGGGAAGATCATTTGAGCCCAGGAAGCCAAGGCTGCTGTGAGCCGTGATTGCACCACTGCACTCCAGCCTAAGCAACAGCAGCAAACCCTGCCTCAAAATAAAAAAAATTAAAAAAAAAATTAAAAAAAAAGAAGGGGACGGGCGTGATGGCTCACGTCTGTAATCCCAGTGCTTTGGGAGGCTAAGGAGGGTGGATCACAAGGTCAGGAGCTCAAGAACAGCCTGGGCAACATGGTGAAACCCCATTTCTATTAAAATATACAAAAATTAGCCAGGCAATATGGTGAAACCCCATTTCTATTAAAAAATACAAGAATTAGCCAGGCATGGTGGCACGTGCCTGTCCCAGCTACTCAGGATGCTGAGGCAGGAGAATCGCTTGAACCTGGGAGGTTGCAGTGAGCTGAAATCACGCCACTGCACTCCAGCCTGGGCGACACAGTGAGACTCTGTCTCAAAAAAAAAATTAGTTAAAAGATAGACTAACGGTTATCATAAACATGAGCTTTGGCCCAAATGGTATTGTTGCCATTGGCTCATTCTGGGCATTGATGGTAGACTCAACCATGGCTTATAGAACACTGCTCTGTAGCAACCTGGAAAGCTTTCTGGGAAGGGTAGCTGGCACAATTTTAAGCTCTTGCTCACCTCAATTTCATTGGGAAATATTTGAAGGAAGAAATCGTGGTAAATTCAGGATCATGACATTTAATCATGTCTACAGCTGGGTCAAAAATGTGTTTCCCAAATCCAAAATCCGTATCCTTGGCCCTCACTCCTATTTCTCAGATCCTCACCCAGATTTTCTTCTACTGGCAACTTTAAAGCATGAGGTGAACTGAGGCAAGTAGAGAATCCTCACTAAATAAATCTAAATGTTGACTCTACTTAGATAAACATAGGAGGGCAGATTCCACTCTGTTATGAAAGTGGCTTCTTTGAAATATTTCGGGACGAATAGTTAAAATGTGACATTAAGACAATATGACCTAACATTTAAGAGACCTTGGACTGGAAATGTTTTCCTTCATAATTTGTCCTCCTTACATCACAAAGCTGTGATAAGGGTCAAGTGAGATAATATGTGTAACTGTTTCAGAGACAATAAAACAAAATTTTTTTTTTTACTCTTGTTTTTTACTCTTAAGATTGGTATTGCTGTGTGGGGTTTGAATTATGTTAAGTTTGGAAATAAAATTTTATAACTTTAATATTTGCTTGCTTTTGCTTTCAAATAAAGCTTTAATTTTGGAATCATGTTTTTATTTGCAGAAAATGTGTAAAGGTACTATGCAGAGTTCACTAGACTATCACCTAGTTCCCTTTCTTTCTTTCTCTCTTTCTCTCTTTCTCTTTCTTCCTCTCCTCCTCTCCTCCTCTCCTCTCCTCTCCTCTTCTTTCCTTTCCTTCTTTCCCTTTCTTTTCTTTCTGAGTCTCACTCTGTTGCCCAGGCTGGAGTGCAGTGCTATGATCTCGGCTTACTGCAACCTCCACCTCCCAGGCTCAAGTGATTTTCCTGCCTCAGCCTCCCGAGTAGCTGGTATTACAGGCGCCCGCTACCACACCCGGCTAAGTTTTGTGTTTTTAGTAGAGACAAGGTTTCACCATGTTGGCCAAGCTGACCTTGAACTCCTGACCTCAGGTGATGTGCCCACCTTGGCCTCCTAAATTGCTGGGATTACAGGTGTGAGCCACCATCCCTGGCCCCAACAGGCGTGAGCCACTGCACCTGGCCCCAGTTACGGGGTGAGCCACCGCGCCCTGCCCCAGTTTTCTTTAACGTTAGTGTCTTACATTACTATAGTACATTCGTCAAAACTAAGAAACCAACTCAGGTACCTTGCTACTGCGTAACCTTCACACTTTATTCAGATTTCAACAATTTTTACACTACTGTCCCTTTTCTGTCCAGGATCCCATCCAAATACCACATTACCTTTAGTTGTCACATCTCCTTAGTCACCTCTGGTTCCCTGTTTCTTAGTCTTTCTTTGTCGTTTCACAACCTTCACAAATTAAGGAAGTCTGTTCTGGTGTGCCAGTCATGAATTTCGTAAAATGTCCCTCAGTTTAGGTTTCTCTACTGTTTTTCTTGGTAACTTTTTGTCAAATTTTATCTAAGTAAAATTTTTATGTAAAATCTTCCATTAATATAGGGCCCAATAAATACCACAGATAATTATATGGATCTTGGTAATTGACTTACCCCTTTTTTTCATATAATTCCTTGTTTGTGGAAATTCCACATGCCTTGCAGATGATATTTCTCCAATTTTTAACATGTCACTGTTAAACCAACACCAACCGGTAGATTTTGTTTGCCAGTCTTTACTAGAAGAACCACAGTGAGACCATCCAGCAATGCACTGAATACCATGGATTTAATAGATATGATGTGAGAATGAATCCATGTTGTTGATATTAATACATCAATTGATTATCTGTATAATGGTTTTACTTTTCAAAACTAGCATTTAAGTTTTAATATACGTTAAGTGCCAAAAATTAGTAAATCTAGATCACGCACATTATAGGTAAGATAAATTAATCTTGAAAAATGAATTATGTAATTGATACTGCAGTTAAACATGAAAAGAGATAAAACAGTAAGAAAAACTCAAAGACTCTACTTTCACCTCTCTTTCTCTCCCTCTCTCCACACACACACACACACACACACTCTCATAACTACTTAATGAGAACTTGATTAAAAGTGCTTAAGTAAAAGACCATGAAAATTATGCCTAAGGATAAAAACAGAATTATTATTATATTATTGGAACAGAATAGATTTTAATCTCAAAAATGATAAAAAGTTATTCAATTAAGTGGTCATTAATCTAAAGTCAGTTCAACTACAAAAAATAAAATGGGTGTCTTTCCTGAAGAAAGAGATTAAAGAGAAATAACAGTGTGATAGAATAAATCACGATCACAAAAAGCTCTTTTTTTTTCCTCCTCACTTTCTTAAGTGCAACTCAGAATCACTTCTGGGTATTAAGGAAATTCCTATTTTATCTTTGCAGCTGTAACTTCTGGGGAAACCATTTGAGGTCAGAAAATTGATGAGTTCTGAAAATAAACATTAAACACTCCATTAGTCACACTTACATAGGTCATCCTACCAGTTCATTTACCTTTCACAGTAAGCAGCTTGGTAAAGACAAACTTTTGCAATACCCTTGAGGTGCACAAGACAAATAGAGAAAATAAGATACACAAGCTGGTAATCCCAGCTACTCAGGCAGCTGAGGTGAGATGATCCCTTGAGCCCAAGGAGTTCAGGCTGCAGTAAGCCATGATTGTGCCACTACACTCCAGCTTGGGCAACAGAGCAAGACCCTGTCTCTAAAAAAAAAAAAAAAAAAAAAAAAGAAAAATAAAAAAACTACAGAAAGTTAAATAGCTTTGCCAATGTTGTCCAGTGAATTCATTACAGATCAGACTGTATTTATAAATGCCAAAATCTTGTAAATTTTTATAATTTAGTCATTTCAAAATTTAGAAGATAATTTTAGTACTTTCCAAGAATGCACTTAATATTGTTTTAACAAAATAGTTCCTGTCAAAGTACTATTATCTTCTTGTTATTAGGATACCAAATGTCTTTGGAAAGAATGTACAGATTCATGTAGATTTTTATGATAGATGACATAAGAATTTTTCAGAAACATCTTGTATTTTGAGACCTGAATTAAATCTGACTTTTTAAGAAATATCTCACACAAACAAAACAAAAAGCAATACGTAAGTGATATAACACTCTCTGCTGTGTGTTCTAACAGAACTCAGCATATAGCTTACAGATTTTTTCCATTGTTTTATATTAGATTAAACCGTATAAAACTGTAGATATTATTGTTTTGACCTACAAAAATGTCAAGTTTACATAGTTTAACTTAATTCTCAGCTGCATAACGTATTTGACTTGCTTGCCAATTGTAAGCAACTTGAAGGTAAAAGACTATACATTGTTTGCCTTTTTATCTTAAGCACATAGTATGCAGGACTAGAGAAATAATATACATAGGATAAATGATTGCTAAATTTAGACAAATGAGTGAATGAGTGAGCTGCTCTCAGAAATCAATGCATTTAATTTCTGGTGTCAGCCCAGGGTAAGACAAATATTCCATTCAAAATAACACTGTTGTTTTGTTTTGTATTTTTAAGTTGTATTTATACAATTGCAAATATATAGATAACTGGTTATATATTTTACTTTTCCTGTGGAAGCTGTGATGAGTAGATATAGTTTAAAACTGAAACATATAGCTATAGAATTTCTACTCTTTCTGTATACATTATATACCACACAAATAAAGCTATTAAAACTAGTAAAAACTATTCTAGTCATGCCAAAAGTTATGGCATAACAAATGTGTAAATTCCTGCATTCAAATGTTTATATTAACATTTATATTTAAATGTTTATATTACATTAACTTCAAAAGGATAGATATATCAAACATCCTTCTCATTAGAGCTAAGGTAAATAGGATGTAGTTATCTATAGGAAAAAGACAAACCTGGTGCAGTAGCTCATGCCTGTAATCCCAGCACTTTGGGAGGCTGAAGTGGGTGGAGCACCTCAGGTCAGGAGTTCAAGACCAGCCTGGTCAACATGGGGAAACCCTATCTCTACTAAAAATACAAAAAATTAGCCAGTCATGGTGGTGGGCACCTGTAATCCCAGCTACTCAGGAGGCTGAGGCAGGAAAATCGCTTGAACCCGGGAGGCAGAGGTTGCAGTAAGCTGAGATGGCGCTGTTGCACTCCAGCCTGGGTGGCAGAGTGAGACTCCATCTCAAAAAGAAAAAGCCAATGCACGGCAGATTATAATTTAAGCAACTGAAAATTTCTTCCATCTTTTTTCCAGTTTTGCACATTTAAAGATACGCTTATTGTCACATGCTTTTTAAAAAATGATACTCGTATCATGCCTATTAATTTGCATGGTTTTCCAGCTAAACAAAACCTACTCCTCCAAAGCTTACAATACAGCCTGTTCATGGGGCAGAGAGCCCAGCCTAGTGAGCAGCCTGCAGTGTGGGGCCAAACAGTGAGCTACAGAAGTGCCTCATTAGGGACTCCTGGTACTACAGTCAAAACAAGGGAACATTTTATCATGGAGCATTGGGATATTCTAGGAACAATAAAAGCTACTGTTTCTAGAGCTCCTGCTGTGTATGGCCAACATTTTACATACACCATTTTACATAATCTTCACAGCAATCCTGTAAGACAAATATCATCATCCCATTTATAGCTCAGAGAATTTAAATAGTTTGCCCATGTCACTTAGCTGGAATCCAGGTCTCACATGCTGGAAAGCCCACCATGCATTGTCACCACCATATGGTGACAGCCTTCCATTTCTCCAGCAGATACTGAGCAGCAATTGCTCTATGCCTGACATTTGTGCCAGTCCTTGTGCCTTGGCCTCAGGAAGCTTTGTGTAGGCAAGACACAGAATAAACAAATACCTTCCCAAATGCACATTGTCCAGGAGTTATAAGGTACTGCGTGGAAAAACCAAGCAGAGTCAATGGAATGACATGCGAGAGTGGCAGCTCTTTAGATCAGGTGGCCAGAGAAGGCCTCTCTGAGTAGATGCCATGTGAGCAGAGGCCAGGAGTAAGAAAGGGTGTGAGATGTGCTGATTCTGAGAGGCAAGGATAAAGCCCTCAGGTGGCATCCTTGGAAACACCCTGACATGGCACTAGGGTGGTGGCATTCAACCAAATTGTTTTCTGTTAATTTACCTTCAATCAGATTATGTTCAGCCGACTCACCTAAGGCCTACCAGGTTACTCTCGGGAACTTCTTTGCTATATACCATGTTCACCTCCCAAAGGGGCACTTCTTGTGGGCATAGGAAAATGTGTGCAGAGATCAAGCCTCACCTTCCTATCTAATCCTGACATTTTGCCAGTGCAGTCATTGTGAGTGAGTGTAACCCAGCTTTTCATGGAATCATTGCCCTCTGGAACCTGGATGGGGCTCTGGGGCTTCCTCTTTGCTCTGCAGTTAACTCTAAAATCATAGCAAGCTGCTTCAGGGGTGAGCTTGATCAGACAAGGAGTCTTCCATAGAGCAGACAGTGCACTGCCTTGCACCAGGGCTTCCATCCATTTATAGAAAGCTTCACACGTCTGCAGTGCTGGGGGAGGCAGCCAGGCAACTTCGCATCTCTGGAACCCACTTATGCTTTCTTGCTCAATGAGGGCCCACACCTTTTGGGGAGAATATAAAGACCAATAAAACATTTCAATTCTCAAGTTTATGATCTAGTGGAGGAGACAGACGGTACTCCTATAATGATAAATGCCATTAGTGGTGCACAGTCTAAGGAAGTATGAAAGAACATGAGATTCCTTTTAATTGGACATTGAATCAGGTACCCTGCAAAATGTCTAGCAAAGAACCCAAGACTTAGTAAACATTCAATACACATTAGCTATTACTCTATTAGGATTGGCTTCATGTAGGAAGCAGAATTTGAGGCAAGGTAGGATTGCCAGATAAAGTACAGGATGTCCAGTAAAGTTTGAATTTCAGATGAACAACAAAAAAATTTTAAGTGTGTCTCAAATATCACATGAGACATACTTATACTCAAATAGATTTGTTGTTTATCTGAAATTCAAATTTAACTGGGACACTCTTATTTTTATTTGCTATTTCCGCCAACCTAATACATCTGGTAAATGTAAGCTGAAGATGTTTTTTACCTTTATTGAAGTATAATTGACAAATAAAAATTGCATAATTTAGGTTGTACAGCTGGATGTTTGTTTTTTTATTTTCCTTTAAAGGGGAACTTCTCTCTGATTGGTGTTTTGATACACATAAACATTGTGAAATGATTACCACTATTAATCTAATTAGCACTTAAAACACCTCATATAGTTATCTTTTTGTGTGGTGAGAAGACTTAAGATCTACCTTTTTAGCAAATTTCAAATATACAGCATAATATTATCAACTATAGTCACCATGCTGCACATTGGACTCCAGAACTTATTTATATTGCATAGCTCAAACTTTGTGCCCTCTAACCAACATCTCCCCCATTTCTCCTATGCCTCAGGCCCTGGCCACCACCATTCTACACTTTTCTTCCGTGAGTTTGACTATTTTAGATTTCACATGTAAGAAAGATCATACAGTATTTGTCTTTCTTTTCCGTTTTTTTTTTTTTTTTTGAGAAGGAGTCTCACTCTGTGGCCCAGGCTGGAGTGCAATGATGCAATCTCGGCTCACTGCAACCTCCTCCACCTCCCGCGTTCAAGTGATTCTCCCTGCCTCAGCCTCCTGAGTAGCTGGGATTACAGGTGCCTGTCACCACGACCAGCTAAGCAGTATTTGTCTGTCTATATCTGCTCATTTCACTTAGGATAATGCCCTCTAGGTTCATCAATGTTACTGCAAATGACAGAATTTCCTTCTTTTTCAAGGCTGAGTAATACTCCATTGTGTATATATATATATACACATTTTCTTTATCTACTCATCCATCAGTGGAAACAGGTTGTTTTCATATCTCGGCTATTGTCAATATAGCTACAATGAACATGGGAATGCAGGTGTCTCTTCAAGATCCTGATTTCATTTCCTTTGGAAATACACTCAGAAATGAGATTGCTAGCACAGAAACAGGAAATAAATGGTATTTTTCATGGCACTTTATGATCTCCCATAATTCACTGAGTATTTCCTATGTGACAGTCACTGTTCTGAGAGATTTACAAGAATTAACTCATTTATTCTTCATAAAAGCATGGGGTAGCTTATCAGCATCCTTATTTTATAAATGAGGAAACTGAAGTATAAAGAGGTAAAGTAACTTGTCCAAGAACATAGAGCAGGGAAGTGGTGCAGCTTGGATTATGAACCCAAGATGTTTTGTTCCTGGGGCTGCTGTCATCTTAATATTTTAAATAGAGAAAAGTAATATGTTCTAAATAAACTTATAGAAAGCCTTCAGGGCCAGCTTATCCCCAAAGTTATTTTTTTTATAAGCCAGATCACCCAACCCTAATTTCTGCATAAAGTGAAATATTGTTTGCTAAATCACTACTACTGGGGGCTACAGCTAGCTTACCTAAGCACCTTCTATATTCTTTCACGTTTAGAAATATGGATATACCCTCCTATGCTCCTCTTTTCATTCTCAAAGCCACCCTGTTCCTGGAATGTGAGATCTCCTAATTGTTGACTGGAGAATCAAATGCTACCTTTGCAACAGCTTATCGGAAGCAAACAAGCTGAGGGGAATTGAGCAAGAATTTCTGGGATACCAACAGCATAGGAGGAACAAAGGACGTAGAGGGAGGGTTGACTGTCTACACAGGACAAAGCCAATGATTAACCAAACCTCTTGCAGATTTAAATAGGATGGGAACTAGGAGTGGCAGCAATCCTTTCTTTCAGCTGGAGTGCTCCTCAGGAGCCAGCCCCACCCTTAGAAAAGATGTTTTCCATGAGGATCGTCTGCCTGGTCCTAAGTGTGGTGGGCACAGCATGGGTATGGCCCTTTTCATTTTTTCTTCTTGCTTTCTCTCTGGTGTTTATTCCACAAAGAGCCTGGAGGTCAGAGTCTACCTGCTCTATGTCCTGACACACTCTTAGCTTTATGACCCCAGGCCTGGGAGGAAATTTCCTGGGTGGGCTTGACACCTCAAGAATACAGGGTAATATGACACCAAGAGGAAGATCTTAGATGGATGAGAGTGTACAAACTCACAAGGGAAACTTTAGCATCTGTCATTCAGTCTTACCACATTTTGTTTTGTTTTGTTTTAAAAAGGGCAAGAATTATTTGCCATCCTTGTACCTATAAAGCCTTGGTGCATTATAATGCTAGTTAATGGAATAAAACATTTTATGGTAAGATTTGTTTTCTTTAGTTATTAATTTCTTGCTACTTGTCCATAATAAGCAGAACTTTTAGTGTTAGTACAGTTTTGCTGAAAGGTTATTGTTGTGTTTGTCAAGACAGAAGAAAAAGCAAACGAATTATCTTTGGAAATATCTTTGCAGTATCAGAAGAGATTAGTTAGTAAGGCAATACGCTTTTCCGCAGTAATGGTATTCTTTTAAATTATGAATCCATCTCTAAAGGTTACATAGAAACTTGAAGGAGAGAGGAACATTCAGTTAAGATAGTCTAGGTTTTTCTACTGAAGCAGCAATTACAGGAGAAAGAGCTCTACAGTAGTTTTCAACTTTCTGTCTGCAGTCATTAGTAAAAATGAAAAGGTAAAATTTAACTGATTTTATAGATTCAAATAATTTTCCTTTTAGGATGGATTCTTTAAAACTCCTAATATTTATCAAATGCTTATTTAAGTGTCACACACAGTTAAGAAATTTGTACACCTTGTCTCCTTTAATTCTCATAACAACTCCATAAAATGGGTCCTAGGATTTCCATTTGAAGATAAGAAACCTGAAGCTTGCCGAAGCCCTGTGTCTGCTCTCCTTAATCTCTGTGAGAGTGCCATCTCTTCCTGGGGACTTGTAGGCATGCCACTGTCTCCTCTTCTGGCTAACATTGCTGTTGCTCTCTTTTGTGTATGTGAATGAATCTTTAAAGACTGCAGATAGTGGTGAAGGTGACTTTCTAGCTGAAGGAGGAGGCGTGCGTGGCCCAAGGGTTGTGGAAAGACATCAATCTGCCTGCAAAGATTCAGACTGGCCCTTCTGCTCTGATGAAGACTGGGTAAGCAGTCAGCGGGGGAAGCAGGAGATTCCTTCCCTCTGATGCTAGAGGGGCTCACAGGCTGACCTGATTGGTCCCAGAAACTTTTTTAAATAGAAAATAATTGAATAGTTACCTACATAGCAAATAAAGAAAAGGAACCTACTCCCAAGAGCACTGTTTATTTACCTCCCCAACTCTGGATCATTAGTGGGTGAACAGACAGGATTTCAGTTGCATGCTCAGGCAAAACCAGGCTCCTGAGTATTGTGGCCTCAATTTCCTGGCACCTAATTTATGGCTAAGTGGACCCTCATTCCAGAGTTTCTCTGCGACCTCTAACTAGTCCTCTTACCTACTTTTAAGCCAACTTATCTGGAAGAGATAGGGTAGGAAGAAATGGGGGCTGCATGGAAACATGCAAAATTATTCTGAATCTGAGAGATAGATCCTTACTGTAATTTTCTCCCTTCACTTTCAGAACTACAAATGCCCTTCTGGCTGCAGGATGAAAGGGTTGATTGATGAAGTCAATCAAGATTTTACAAACAGAATAAATAAGCTCAAAAATTCACTATTTGAATATCAGAAGAACAATAAGGATTCTCATTCGTTGACCACTAATATAATGGAAATTTTGAGAGGCGATTTTTCCTCAGCCAATAGTAAGTATTACATATTTACTGCTTTGACTTTATAACAGAAACAACAAAAATCCTAAATAAATATGATATCCGCTTATATCTATGACAATTTCATCCCAAAGTACTTAGTGTAGAAACACATACCTTCATAATATCCCTGAAAATTTTAAGAGGGAGCTTTTGTTTTCGTTATTTTTTCAAAGTAAAAGATGTTAACTGAGATTGTTTAAGGTCACAAAATAAGTCAGAATTTTGGATTAAAAACAAGAATTTAAATGTGTTCTTTTCAACAGTATATACTGAAAGTAGGATGGGTCAGACTCTTTGAGTTGATATTTTTGTTTCTGCTTTGTAAAGGTGAAAACTGAGAGGTCAAGGAACTTGTTCAAAGACACAGAGCTGGGAATTCAACTCCCAGACTCCACTGAGCTGATTAGGTAGATTTTTAAATTTAAAATATAGGGTCAAGCTACGTCATTCTCACAGTCTACTCATTAGGGTTAGGAAACATTGCATTCACTCTGGGCATGGACAGCGAGTCTAGGGAGTCCTCAGTTTCTCAAGTTTTGCTTTGCCTTTTTACACCTTCACAAACACTTGACATTTAAAATCAGTGATGCAACACTAGCTGGCAAGTGAGTGATCCTGTTGACCCAAAACAGCTTAGGAACCATTTCAAATCTATAGATTAAAAAGAAAAGCTCATCAGTAAGAAAATCCAATATGTTCAAGTCCCTTGATTAAGGATGTTATAAAATAATTGAAATGCAATCAAACCAACTATTTTAACTCCAAATTACACCTTTAAAATTCCAAAGAAAGTTCTTCTTCTATATTTCTTTGGGATTACTAATTGCTATTAGGACATCTTAACTGGCATTCATGGAAGGCTGCAGGGCATAACATTATCCAAAAGTCAAATGCCCCATAGGTTTTGAACTCACAGATTAAACTGTAACCAAAATAAAATTAGGCATATTTACAAGCTAGTTTCTTTCTTTCTTTTTTCTCTTTCTTTCTTTCTTTCTTTCTTTCTTTCTTTCTTTCTTTCTTTCTTTCTTTCTTTCTCCTTCCTTCCTTTCTTCCTTTCTTTTTTGCTGGCAATTACAGACAAATCACTCAGCAGCTACTTCAATAACCATATTTTCGATTTCAGACCGTGATAATACCTACAACCGAGTGTCAGAGGATCTGAGAAGCAGAATTGAAGTCCTGAAGCGCAAAGTCATAGAAAAAGTACAGCATATCCAGCTTCTGCAGAAAAATGTTAGAGCTCAGTTGGTTGATATGAAACGACTGGAGGTAAGTATGTGGCTGTGGTCCCAGATGTCCTTGTTTCTGAGTAGAGGGAAAAGGAAGGCGATAGTTATGCACTGAGTGTCTACTATATGCAGAGAAAAGTGTTATATCCATCATCTACCTAAAAGTAGGTATTATTTTCCTCACTCCACAGTTGAAGAAAAAAAATTCAGAGATATTAAGTAAATTTTCCAACGGTACATAGATAGTAAATTTCAAAAGCAAATGTTCAGTCCCTGTCTAATTCCAAAGCCCATTACATCACCACACCTCTGAGCCCTCAGCCTGAGTTTCACCAAGGATCATTTAATTAGCGTTTCCTTTGAGAGGGAATAGCACCTTACTCTTGATCCATTCTGAGGCTAAGATGAATTAAACAGCATCCATTGCTTATCCTGGCTAGCCCTGCAATACCCAACATCTCTTCCACTGAGGGTGCTCGATAGGCAGAAAACAGAGAATATTAAGTGGTAGGTCTCCGAGTCAAAAAAAATGAAACCAGTTTCCAGAAGGAAAATTAACTACCAGGAACTCAATAGACGTAGTTTATGTATTTGTATCTACATTTTCTCTTTATTTTTCTCCCCTCTCTCTAGGTGGACATTGATATTAAGATCCGATCTTGTCGAGGGTCATGCAGTAGGGCTTTAGCTCGTGAAGTAGATCTGAAGGACTATGAAGATCAGCAGAAGCAACTTGAACAGGTCATTGCCAAAGACTTACTTCCCTCTAGAGATAGGCAACACTTACCACTGATAAAAATGAAACCAGTTCCAGACTTGGTTCCCGGAAATTTTAAGAGCCAGCTTCAGAAGGTACCCCCAGAGTGGAAGGCATTAACAGACATGCCGCAGATGAGAATGGAGTTAGAGAGACCTGGTGGAAATGAGATTACTCGAGGAGGCTCCACCTCTTATGGAACCGGATCAGAGACGGAAAGCCCCAGGAACCCTAGCAGTGCTGGAAGCTGGAACTCTGGGAGCTCTGGACCTGGAAGTACTGGAAACCGAAACCCTGGGAGCTCTGGGACTGGAGGGACTGCAACCTGGAAACCTGGGAGCTCTGGACCTGGAAGTACTGGAAGCTGGAACTCTGGGAGCTCTGGAACTGGAAGTACTGGAAACCAAAACCCTGGGAGCCCTAGACCTGGTAGTACCGGAACCTGGAATCCTGGCAGCTCTGAACGCGGAAGTGCTGGGCACTGGACCTCTGAGAGCTCTGTATCTGGTAGTACTGGACAATGGCACTCTGAATCTGGAAGTTTTAGGCCAGATAGCCCAGGCTCTGGGAACGCGAGGCCTAACAACCCAGACTGGGGCACATTTGAAGAGGTGTCAGGAAATGTAAGTCCAGGGACAAGGAGAGAGTACCACACAGAAAAACTGGTCACTTCTAAAGGAGATAAAGAGCTCAGGACTGGTAAAGAGAAGGTCACCTCTGGTAGCACAACCACCACGCGTCGTTCATGCTCTAAAACCGTTACTAAGACTGTTATTGGTCCTGATGGTCACAAAGAAGTTACCAAAGAAGTGGTGACCTCCGAAGATGGTTCTGACTGTCCCGAGGCAATGGATTTAGGCACATTGTCTGGCATAGGTACTCTGGATGGGTTCCGCCATAGGCACCCTGATGAAGCTGCCTTCTTCGACACTGCCTCAACTGGAAAAACATTCCCAGGTTTCTTCTCACCTATGTTAGGAGAGTTTGTCAGTGAGACTGAGTCTAGGGGCTCAGAATCTGGCATCTTCACAAATACAAAGGAATCCAGTTCTCATCACCCTGGGATAGCTGAATTCCCTTCCCGTGGTAAATCTTCAAGTTACAGCAAACAATTTACTAGTAGCACGAGTTACAACAGAGGAGACTCCACATTTGAAAGCAAGAGCTATAAAATGGCAGATGAGGCCGGAAGTGAAGCCGATCATGAAGGAACACATAGCACCAAGAGAGGCCATGCTAAATCTCGCCCTGTCAGAGGTATCCACACTTCTCCTTTGGGGAAGCCTTCCCTGTCCCCCTAGACTAAGTTAAATATTTCTGCACAGTGTTCCCATGGCCCCTTGCATTTCCTTCTTAACTCTCTGTTACACGTCATTGAAACTACACTTTTTTGGTCTGTTTTTGTGCTAGACTGTAAGTTCCTTGGGGGCAGGGCCTTTGTCTGTCTCATCTCTGTATTCCCAAATGCCTAACAGTACAGAGCCATGACTCAATAAATACATGTTAAATGGATGAATGAATTCCTCTGAAACTCTATTTGAGCTTATTTAGTCAAATTCTTTCACTATTCAAAGTGTGTGCTATTAGAATTGTCACCCAACTGATTAATCACATTTTTAGTATGTGTCTCAGTTGACATTTAGGTCAGGCTAAATACAAGTTGTGTTAGTATTAAGTGATGCTTAGCTACCTGTACTGGTTACTTGCTATTAGTTTGTGCAAGTAAAATTCCAAATACATTTGAGGAAAATCCCCTTTGCAATTTGTAGGTATA
This sequence comes from Homo sapiens, assembly GCF_000001405.40. NCBI lineage: Eukaryota > Metazoa > Chordata > Mammalia > Primates > Hominidae > Homo > Homo sapiens. Next base: position 154,585,020 of record NC_000004.12, on the reverse strand, counting down.
AATAACCGCTTATTTGCATAAGTTCTATCCCACTGTAAGTGCATCCTTTCCCTATGGAGGGAAGGAAAGGAGGAAGAAAGAAAGGAAGGGAAAGAAACAGTATTTGCCTTATTTAATCTGAGCCGTGCCTATCTTTGTAAAGTTAAATGAGAATAACTTCTTCCAACCAGCTTAATTTTTTTTTTAGACTGTGATGATGTCCTCCAAACACATCCTTCAGGTACCCAAAGTGGCATTTTCAATATCAAGCTACCGGGATCCAGTAAGATTTTTTCTGTTTATTGCGATCAAGAGACCAGTTTGGGAGGATGGCTTTTGATCCAGCAAAGAATGGATGGATCACTGAATTTTAACCGGACCTGGCAAGACTACAAGAGAGGTTTCGGCAGCCTGAATGACGAGGGGGAAGGAGAATTCTGGCTAGGCAATGACTACCTCCACTTACTAACCCAAAGGGGCTCTGTTCTTAGGGTTGAATTAGAGGACTGGGCTGGGAATGAAGCTTATGCAGAATATCACTTCCGGGTAGGCTCTGAGGCTGAAGGCTATGCCCTCCAAGTCTCCTCCTATGAAGGCACTGCGGGTGATGCTCTGATTGAGGGTTCCGTAGAGGAAGGGGCAGAGTACACCTCTCACAACAACATGCAGTTCAGCACCTTTGACAGGGATGCAGACCAGTGGGAAGAGAACTGTGCAGAAGTCTATGGGGGAGGCTGGTGGTATAATAACTGCCAAGCAGCCAATCTCAATGGAATCTACTACCCTGGGGGCTCCTATGACCCAAGGAATAACAGTCCTTATGAGATTGAGAATGGAGTGGTCTGGGTTTCCTTTAGAGGGGCAGATTATTCCCTCAGGGCTGTTCGCATGAAAATTAGGCCCCTTGTGACCCAATAGGCTGAAGAAGTGGGAATGGGAGCACTCTGTCTTCTTTGCTAGAGAAGTGGAGAGAAAATACAAAAGGTAAAGCAGTTGAGATTCTCTACAACCTAAAAAATTCCTAGGTGCTATTTTCTTATCCTTTGTACTGTAGCTAAATGTACCTGAGACATATTAGTCTTTGAAAAATAAAGTTATGTAAGGTTTTTTTTATCTTTAAATAGCTCTGTGGGTTTTAACATTTTTATAAAGATATACCAAGGGCCATTCAGTACATCAGGAAAGTGGCAGACAGAAGCTTCTCTCTGCAACCTTGAAGACTATTGGTTTGAGAACTTCTCTTCCCATACCACCCAAAATCATAATGCCATTGGAAAGCAAAAAGTTGTTTTATCCATTTGATTTGAATTGTTTTAAGCCAATATTTTAAGGTAAAACTCACTGAATCTAACCATAGCTGACCTTTGTAGTAGAATTTACAACTTATAATTACAATGCACAATTTATAATTACAATATGTATTTATGTCTTTTGCTATGGAGCAAATCCAGGAAGGCAAGAGAAACATTCTTTCCTAAATATAAATGAAAATCTATCCTTTAAACTCTTCCACTAGACGTTGTAATGCACACTTATTTTTTTCCCAAGGAGTAACCAATTTCTTTCTAAAACACATTTAAAATTTTAAAACTATTTATGAATATTAAAAAAAGACATAATTCACACATTAATAAACAATCTCCCAAGTATTGATTTAACTTCATTTTTCTAATAATCATAAACTATATTCTGTGACATGCTAATTATTATTAAATGTAAGTCGTTAGTTCGAAAGCCTCTCACTAAGTATGATCTATGCTATATTCAAAATTCAACCCATTTACTTTGGTCAATATTTGATCTAAGTTGCATCTTTAATCCTGGTGGTCTTGCCTTCTGATTTTTAATTTGTATCCTTTTCTATTAAGATATATTTGTCATTTTCTCTTGAATATGTATTAAAATATCCCAAGCAATCCAGTATACCACCCTTTCTTACATAGCTTCTATTCTGATATAACTGCATTATCCCTCAAAGAAGGAAGGAGAGAGGGAGGGAAGGAGAGGAGAAGAGAGGGAGGAGGAAAAAGAGGCTACAGCTAGGGGCCAGAGCCTGGGGATCAAAGGGGAAATAACCTTGCAAATGCATCACAGATGAACCCCAGAGTTCTTGCATTTCTTTATGGGGAATTGTAAATCTCTGATACAAACTAAACGCTATACCTTCAAATGGTTGGATACTTGGACAAGAACTTCTTCAGAATCAAATGAAGCTTCACTTCTTTCAGACATCAGAACTTCATGCTATCTCTATCCCCACTCTACTTACACTCACACGTATTGCCTTGACAGAATTTGAGTTGAGACTAGAAAATATTTTGTTTTCCAGAATAGCATACTATGTAGGAATATAAATGGTTCCTGGAATGAAAGTGATTATGAACGGGAAGGGCCATTCATTTCTAGTTATTCAGAAGATTTTGAGTTTATCAAAGGATTAGATAAACCTCTTTTAATTTAATAAATGGTAGCCAATATTAGCAGGATCATGAGAATTGGAGATACAATTTGGTTGTCAGAAAAGACATGAAACATCTATTTTCCATTTCACCTTATCTTTAGGTGAAATTTTTTCTGAAATTATTTCATTTTTTCTGAAATTAAATATTAATTTAGCTCCCTGACTCTTATTCACTCAGAAGCCCATTTCAACTTGGTTTTCATGCAATTACCACACTCTTGAAATTGATCTCAAATCAACACAACTTTGCAATTGTAAATTAAATGTGCTGCATTCAAGCCTCTTTCTACTTCTCTCTTTTAAACATCTGCTACTTATTTTGCCCTTATCCTGCCTCTTGGGCCTGTCCTTTTGTCTTGGTTTCTATACCATTTCTTCCCGTCTTACTCTTTTCAGTGTTTTTAACTGGTAATTTCTTCTCTGACCACTTCTTAAATGTAGGGGTTTCTCATTGCATTTACATTGGTACTCATCTTTATCATTTGGGATTAGGTTTGGTACATCTGACTTCAACAAGGCAGAAATTCATTTCCTGCTCACAAAAAAGCCTATGTAGGAGTATGTCCACATAGTCTTCAGAAAGCCGTCATTTTAATAAAAGACTTCTATCCCTTGGTTCAACTTGTAATCCAAATATCATGTCCTCTGGCAATCTGGAAGAAGGAGAAAAGAAAGAAGGGCAAAGGAGTACCTTCTCCTTTTAAGGAACTTTCTTGAGTGTTCTAAACAGCACTTCTGCTTATATTAGCCACAACTTAGTCACATAGATAAGCTCAGTTGCAGGAGAAGCTGAGTCAAGTTGACTATTAGCTTGGGTACAAGACTATCCTAACTAAAATCAGGATTCTGCTAATAAGGAAAAGAGGGAGAATAGATAAGGAAGTCTGCAATTACCAGTCTTGGCCAAACATTTTCTCGCTCTTCTCTTTCTCCTTGATTGATCTGACAATCACCATAGCTTCAACTACAATCAGTGGCCTTAAGCAGGAGGCAGACATTAAGATTAAGTTAAAACTTCTTAGCTTGGAATATAAACTCTTTCAAAAATTGGTCCATTTTCAACCTCTGCAATCATTCATTCTACACATTAGTTACACTGAATTTCTCACTGGCACTGAAATACCAGGTCCTTTAATGATTTGGGGCCTTTTCACAAACTACCTAGAAGACACCCATTCACTCCTTTAAAAACAGCTCAATGCTGCTTCTGTGAACCCTTCCCCAGTGCCCATCATAGAATGAATTGAATTGTCCTCTAGGTCCTCACTGTTTTTGTTCTTATCTCAAAAATAGCATATTCTATCCCTACCTCTAACATATTTATATTATTTGTGGCACTAGGTTATGAACTCCTTTGGGACAGAGCTCATTTATATGGTGCATCCTGTCCTACACAAAATGTTTCCCCATTCTAAGATTATACAGTATTTCAAATACTTCCTTAAATTTTTAAATGTTTTTTATTTTTCCTGTTTTTTCTTTTGCATGTATATATTTAACCTAGAATTTATTTTAATATGTCATGAAGAAAATCTACTTTTATCTTCTTGTGAATGGGTAGCCAGTTATACTGGGATCCTTTAATAAAGAAAGCATTCGTTGTCCATAGAATTAAAATGCCAACTTTTTTCTATAAGATTTTCTTGGGATCTATATCTAAACTCTCTCCTGTGCTTACACCTCCTTGCTCACATTTCAAGTACAGAGTTTGGAAGACGTAGTCTCCATCCTATTCCCCATTTTTTTTCCTTTTTTTTTTAGTCTGTAAAATTGTACTTTTAATTTTTATTTATTTTGTTGTTCTGGGACTACTTAGAGAAGTTTTTCTTAATTTCCAGTTTTCTCGTCTTAAAACCCAATTTGTTATTTTTTCAGGGGGTTAGAGTGAGTCATCTTTCAATCATTAGTTTTCAAGTATTTTATAAATTTTGTTAATTTAACCAACTGTTTCATTCTAAGCATTTTAGATTTTCTTAATTAATTGATTAATTAATTTTATTGCAGTGGTACAATCATGGCTCATTACAGCCTCTACCTCCTGGGCTCAAGCAATTCTCCCATCTCAGCCTCCTGAGGAGCTGGGACTACAGTCACACACCACCTCGTCCAGCTAATTTTTTCATTTTTTGTAGAGACAGAGTCTTGCTATGTTGCCCAGGCTGATCTTGAACTCCTGGCCTCAAGCAATCCTCCTGTCTCTGTCTCCCAAAGTATAGAATTTTTAAGGTTTTCTTTGTGAACAAGTTGCGTTAACTTTTGCAAATGTTTCATAGGTGAAAAGAATGTATATTATCACACCCATATGTTATAATATTCCATATTACCAAGCCTATTGATGGTGTTATTTAAATATCCTATATCTTTTCCTTTTTATGTATCTTTTTGTAAGAGACAGAGTCTCACTCTGTTGTTACCTAGGGTGGAAGAGTGCAGTGGTGCAATCATAGCTCACTGGAGGCTCAAACTCCTGGCCTCTTGCCTTGGCCTCCCAAAGCACTGGGATTATAGTTATGAGATTTTCATCATGTTTTTGTGTGTGTGTGTATAAAAAGACCTCACTCTGTGGTTCTGTGCATGTGTGTGGTCTCTGCATTTTAGGAATTCTGTTTCATAAGGTTGGCTCCTTCCTTATACAGTGCATGAAAGTTTATGACTGTTATATCTTCTTCACAAATTGTACTTTCTATCATTACATAATGTTTCTCTTTTTTTTTCCATTTCTCCTTTTGGAATTAAATTCCTTCTGGTGAAATAGCAACATTGTCATCACTTTTGATTTTCTTTTCTTTGAATTTGCCTACATATCTTGACATGTCATTTCATTTTCAACATACTTTTTGTCACTTTGTTTGGAAGACTTTCCCAAAATAACAGATGAATTTTTAAACATGATTTTATTTTACCATTGTTTTCCCTTTTCTTAAGTTTTATATATCCCTTGATTTTCAAGATTTATTTTTCGTCTTATTTAGAATACTTTCTTATAAATAATAAATTTTAAAACTTAATTATTTTACATTTACATTAAAATATTATTGTTTCCTCTTTCCTTAACTTTTGCTCCCTTACTTATATAAGATGGTATCCCTCCATTAACATGCAAGTTCTATTCAGGCTATCCATTTCAAATTAGTCCTTAGTTGAATGAATGGATTAATGAACAAAACAGATATGAATGTGAAAATCTTGCCAGGAAAAGACATGGTTTTAAATATTTCTGCTAGAGAGAAAAGTGTTGAAGTGGGGTTTTTAATCCTGAGTCAGGAATAGAAAAAACATCTGGCTAGATTTTAATTTTACTTCCAGGTATATCTATCTCCATCCTTTAGCCTGAAGCTGTCTTTGATGTTCTCCTTTGGTATACCATAGTATATGTTATTCTTTTCTTAGGTGTAGGAACTGTATTTGATATCTAGTACTTAACACAAGGTCTGACACATAATAATGACTCAACAAATTTTTGTGAGCTAAGGAATCTAACAGTTAAAAAGGAACTTTTGGGACCAGTCACGGTGTCTCATGCCTGTAATCCCAGCACTTTGGGAGGCTATGGAAGAAGGATAGCTTGAGACCAGGAGTGCAAGACCAGCCTGGGCAACATAGTGAGATGCTGTCTCTACTAAATAAATAAATAAATAAATAAAAAATAAATAAATAAATAGGCTGCATGTGGTGTTGCATACTTATGATCCCAGCTACTCGGGAAGCTGAGGTGGGAGGATCACCTGAGCCCAGGAGATCACGTTTGAGGTTGCAGTGAGCCGTGATTGTGCCACTGCCCTCAAACCTGGGCAACAGCGTGAAACTCCATCTCAAACAAAACAAAACAAGGAACTTATCATCTTTTTTGAACTTTCTACAGAATGCATAATATAATGAAGTTAAGATGCCTTGTTGGGTTCTTATTAAAAGATATTATTTACATTTTAATCCAAGTCTTGTGTTTATGTATTTACTTTCAGTTCCTGGAAACTCTTTAGAATAAAGAATTACAAGTTTCCCCCCAAATATGTGGATACTTTTAATGGAAATCAATTATTACTAGTGTTCTTTTAATGAAGGTGAGAACATTTTATGAACTGATTTTTCAGGTGAGTAAATAGTAATTTAAGGAGGTGAAATAATGTGATGATAAGGAGGACACCTGGGGATGAAGCCCACAGTATTGTTCTTACAGGTTCTAACCACCTAAGTTCCATGCCTCATTCATTATTCATTCTGGGATAATGATACTACACTTCATAAATAAACATGACACTATTGTACATAGCATTTGCTTTTCATTATTGGCCCAGTGGTATCACTGATCTAATTATATTTTGTCATAGATTCCCCACCAAAACAAAATATATTTCCAAGTTAGTTAGCTGATGCTTGGGGTGCAGCTGGTGAATCAGAACAGAAAGACCCATCCAGCCAAATTCACTCATCTTTTTCATGTCCAGAAAAGCCTGAAGGGAAATGCCAAGGTGTCAATGTAAGCACATGCAATCATAAATTAAAGCTTTGTTATATTCAAATAAAGTAATACAACATTTATTACTTGCTTGGGAAACAGCTTGGGAAGCAGCCACATTGAAATTTCTTGTAGCCATGAAAATAATACAAGTTGCTTGTGGATAACAAAATTCACACAGAAACCATTTCTGAGATATCTTATATTTGATGTATTTATGCATTCATTTAAGTCACATATTACCTCTTTTTAATGGAATTCCAAGTACTTCATAAATCTCCTGTATAGAGGAAAATGCTTAATTAATTGGGGATGAGGGCAGGAAGTGCATTAAATATCACTGAGGAAAGCAGTATCGTGAAGTATTTGCCCCTGGGGAAATCTCAATTAATTCTTAAACATGAACAGGACATGATGTCTTCCATTTTCACATAGTAAGAGCAACCATTCAAAACCACAGAGGCAAGAAAACTTAGAACCTGCCAGATTTGAGCTGAGAATTGCTCCGTTACTAAGCAGTAGTCTCCCTGTTCACCAGGTCATTGCTGAAGGTGGGTACGTGGTTATTGCAGCAGAGTACTCTGGAAAATATTTGCTAAATTTGCCTTTGTCTCAATCCCTCATAGGTCTGTGACCTCAAGGTTGCATGTCTACATAAGCTGTTGCAATACTGCACTAAAGTATCTCCTTTCAACAAACAAAGGGTGAAGCTAGGAGAAGGACAGAGAGGTATTTATTAAAATTCTTGCAATTTCTCTGTAGAGTATAAACTGTTCAAAATAAAAAGTTTGGGGCAGAAATAAATATAATTGAATCAAAAAACAAACAAAAAGATGTATTGCCTGTTCATCACATCTTGGCTGGGAGAAGAAAAGAAAGTGTCTGATGGTGAATATCCGTACCAGTTAAGATTATTTGCATAAGTATATGACTCCCAGTGTAATTACTTACAAATTAAAATATTTGTATAGAGGAAAATACCATGTTTCTGATTGCTATCCTACATATTATGAAATGAGTAATTCATATAAAAGATGACTTTGCTAATGGAAAATTGAGGAAAGGGCCAGGCGCAGTGGCTCATGCTTACAATCCCAGCACTTTGGGAGGTCAGGGAGGGCAGATCGCTTTAGTCCAGGAGTCTGAGACCAGCTTGGGCAACATGGCGAAACCCAGTCTCTACAAAAAATACAAAAAAATTAGTTAGGTATGGTGGTGCATGCCTGTGGTCCCAGCTATTTGGGAGGCTGAGGTGGGAGAATCACCTGAGCCCAGGAAGCAGAAGTTGCAGTGAACCAAGATCACGCCACTGTACTCCAGCCTGGGGAACAGAGCGAGACCTTGTCTCAAAAAAAAGAGAAGAGAAGAAAAAACAAGAAAAAAAAGAAAATTGAGCAAAGGACGTGGATAGGCAATTCACAGAAGATAGTAAAATAGTCATTAAACATTTTTAAATCTCTTACTTGTACTACTAATTCAAGATATTAAAATTAAAGTAATTACTAATATTTTAATCATAATATTAGTGATGGAGAAGCAAAATAAAAATTAAATATGTTATTCTGTGCATCAAAGGTAAATTGGTACAATCTTTCTGGAGAGTTACTTGGCTATATATATATATATATTTTTTTTTTAAGTTTAAAATGCCAAAAACATTTTTTTTGAGGCAGGTTCTCACTCTGTCATCTAGGCTGTAGTGCAGTAGCAGTAGCACAGTCAGGGCTCACTGCAGCCTGGGCCAAGTAATCCTCCCACCTCAGCCTTCCAAAGTGCTAGGATTACAGGCATGAGGTACTGCGCTGAGCCCAAAACCTTTTATTTCCTCCAGATATTCTGCTTCAAGTAATTTATCCTAGAAATAAATAAATAAATATTATAAATATACATTTATAATGTGTAAACCATGTTATAAAATAAATATTTTAAAATATAAAATAAATTTATATTATAAATAATGTATACAATATATTATATAATATATATGCACAAAAGGTTTATGGAGAAGGATGTTAATGTCAGTACTCTCTTTAATAGAAAAAGGTTGGAAAAAACCTAAATGTGAAATGAGAGGAGACGTTTAAATAAATTCCCATAATGGAATATCATATGGCCATTAAAAAGCAAATTACAGAAAATGATACTATAGAAGAATGTTAAATAATATGGAAAACTTTTTGTGACTCAGTGTGAAAAATTCAGGCACTAAAACATGTACAGGGTAAGACAAAAAACATAAATGAAGGTATTAGCTATTCCACTGCTTGTGTTGAAATTATAAATGGGTCTAATCATTTCTATATTTCCCAAAATGTCTGCAAAGAATACGGGCTACTTTCATTATTTAATACCACAACTAATGTTGTTAAAATAAATGTCAGTTGGCCAAGCATGGTGGCTCACACCTGTAATCCCAGCACTTTGGGAGGCCTAGGCAGGTGGATCACCTGGGGTTGGGAATTTGGGACCAGCCTGACCAACATGGAGAAACCCCGTCTCTACTAAAAATGTGAAATTATCCAGGCATGGTGGTGCATGCTTGTAATCCCAGCTACTCGGGAGGCTGAGGCAGGAAAATTGCTTGAACCCAGGAGACGGAGGTTGCTGTGAGCCATGATTGCGAGTGCCATTGTACTCCAGCCTGGGCAACAAGAGCAGAACTCCATCTTAAAAAAAAAAAAAAAAAATCAGTGATTCCACTTTCCATGTGTCTGCATTACTATGTACCAATTCATTGCTATTTGGTGCAGAGCTGCACACCACAAGAAGTTCAAGCAAGAGCATCAGATCACATGCAATAGTGAGGGGGGAGGATGGAATTCAAAAACTGAAATGTCAGCTCTATGTACACATGAGAGGTAGCATCTGTAATTCTTTTCTACACTGCAAGAGAATTTGAAGTCCAATCCAAAGAATCACCAGAGACTAGCGGAAGTATAGTGGAAATAGTGATTCTAGCATTTGGAGAGATGTTAAACCCAAGTCTGGTCTTAAACATAGGCAGTGGTCACCATGAAGTTATTCAAGGTAACTTTAAGGATGACTATTTGCTCAAAATATTGCCTCATGGTCACCATTTGAGTGAAAAGGATAGTAGGTAAGAAATATCAAGGGAGTCTCAGGTAAATACAAATGTAGCCTCTATCAGTAACTCTGAAATCCAACCAGTGATCAGTCACTCTCAGGGACATTTATTTTAAAATGGAGACTCAGGCTCTTTGCCCTTAGAGTCTCTGATGTAATAAACCTAGGTTAGTACCAAGAAATCTGCATTTTTTTTTTTGACTTGGAGTCTCAGTCTTATGCCCAGGCTGGAGTGCAGTGGCGTGATCTCAGCTCACTGTAACCTCTGCCTCCCGGGTTCAAGTGATTCTCCTGCCTCAGCCTCCCGAGTAGCTGGGATTACAGGTGCACACCACCACACCCAGCTAATTTTTGTATTTTTAGTAGAGACACTGTTTCGATTTCACCATGTTGTCCAGGATGGTCTCAATTTCCTGACCTCATGATTCACCCCCCTCGGCCTCCCAAAGTGCTGGGATTACAAGCGTCAGTAAGTTTAAATGATCAGCATACAGGATATTATGTGTGTAATGCTTAAACAGAAATGTGAGCTGAGCTACTGCAGCTGGTGATGTGTCATGTCACCCATATTTTTGCCCCATGGTGGGAATCTGTAGTCAGTTTAAAAACAATCCCTGAGTTAGCTGTTTCTCTTGGTTCATAAATAAAGAGGAACTAGAAGCTTATGTCCCAAGTGCATACATCCATTATAGTTTGTTGCAGACTTTCAGTCCTAATTGTATAATTATATATACATATATATAATTATATATGTGTATATATATATATGTATATATATATATAAATAAAATAGTTCTCATACCACAGTGTGGGATTAAAAACTTTCAACTAATCTTTCTATTATCATCTTAAAATCATGAGTTATACAATCTTGTTGTTACTGTTTTATATATTCTAAATAGGGGAAGCTACCTTTTTTATTATATTCAAAATTGTGCATGGGCAAAATCAGACACATAACATTTCTTACCAAATGACACCTTAAGAAAGTGCATTTCTTTTTTCGTTACTGTATTTTCGTTTGTTTTTACAAGTTTTATAGTAGAGCCAGGGTCTCACTATGTTGCCAAGCTGGCCTCTAACTCCTGGTCTGAAGCAATCTTCCCACCTCATCCCAGCAAAGTGCTGGGTTTGCAGATGGGAGCCACTGTGCCCAGCCAAGAAAGTGCATTTCTTTCTAGATAGACTTACATATTACCTGGGAGTGGTCTCTGTGTTTTTTCTATTTGTACATTAACTAAGAATTGACCATCAGATTATCTACTTTAGTGGTTTTTCTTCTATGGCATTACTTCAAGCTCTAGGGATTCATTTGATCCTCTGTGAACACGTAAGGAGTGAGCAAAGGTCTGATGACTGCAGTCTTCCCAACCCGCATTTTTCATTCAGTGAACTTTTGCGACTCTCAGTATTGCCCCAAAAGTTCCATATTCAAGAACTTTGCATGTTGAGTTTCTGTTTGTGGCTTTATTGGAAAATGGGTTCTACATTTAAAAAGAGGATGTTCGAGACTTTGAAAATCACTGGATTTAGCCATCCAGCATTCACAAATGCATGAAAATTAGCCATTCTGACAGGCTGATGTTTCTGGAATCAAAGCTGGATAAGCCTCAGGCATTCATTGTCAAAAAGTAATAAAATTTGCCCAAAGGTTTTAGAAAGTCTTCTCTGGGCGGTGACAGTTAAAGTGAGGTTTAAAAACAAATAGCAGTTTGTCAGATGGTGTTGGGAGGAAGACATTGCTGCAATGAGGGCATCATATAAAAGGACCTGAACATTGTGAATAATGTTGCAATGACCACAGATGCACAAATATTGCTTCCAGATCCTGATATCAGTTCTTTTGGATATATGCCTAAAAGTGAGATTGCTGGATCATATGATAATCAGAATTTTTTAAAAAATTTTTTAGGGGCCTCCACATTTCTTCCCATGGTAGCTGCACCGTTTTACATCCCCACAACAGTGCGAAAGGATACTGTGTGATTTCACTTATATGAGGTATCTGAAACAGTCAAAGTGGAAAATAGAATGGTAGTTGCCAGGGGATGGGAGGTAGGGGGAAATGGAGATAAAATTTCATTTTTAGTAGATGAATATGTTCTAGAGATCTACTGTACAACATAATGCCTAAAATTAATAATACAGTATTGTGCACTTAAAAATTTGTTGATAATATTTCATATTAAATGTTCTTACCATGAAAAACTAAAATAAATGAACACAAGGAAACTTTTGGAGGTGATGGATATATTTAATATCTTGACTGTGCCAGTGATATCATGGGTGTATGCATATTTCCAAAATCATGAAATCGTATATGTTAAACACTTTGTATGACAGATGCATCCGACAGCATTAACTCAAGCATACCCTGAGAATGACTGTATGGTCTAAGAAGAATATGTGTTCAGAGTCTAAGCTAAGGAATCCGGGAATGGCCAACCCAGAGAGATTCACTTCTTATCTGTGAAGGACACTTGAACTCCCTGCCTGTCCGTTGGAACTCAGGATGTGCAAGGAACCAAGGCCTTTTATTTTGGGTTAAATGGAGGTTGCTAAGTGGAGAGTGCTAAGTAGAAATGTTATATAAACTACATACTCTTTACAAATAGTAGCGGTCCTGTCCAGCCCACTGCCACTGGACCACATCTGTATTTAAGTCCTAAATAAACCCTATGTCCCATTCACTGGCTCTGGGTCTCTTCTTGGACAAGGCGCCATCCCTGTTGGAATCAATAGGGCTCCAGCATGACACATGTGCAGGATTTTTTAAATTATATCAATTATATCTCAATAAAGCTGTTGAAATTTTTAAAGGGCCTGACCTGTCCTGGAATGGGGAAAAACTTAATGTGACAAAAATGTAGGTTATAGTGAAGGGAACAGGAAATGGTACTGGGACCATTTTTACTCCAGCTAAAAAATTTGAATTTAAGAAATTTGGATATAGATAGGAAGGAGCTAATGTTAAGCAGGAAGTAAGTTGATAAGAGTTTTCTGTTAAATGTGATGGCAAAGCGGTAGGTGAGTATGGGCTCCAGTGGGACAGAACTTGTGGCAGAGAAACCAGGTCAAAAGTTAAAGTTGGATTTGGTGAGTAATTAAAGAGAGTAGTAGCATTTCCAAGACAGAAATTAATGAGCTTTGCTTACATGAAAAGATTAAGAGGATAAGCTTAAGAACAATAAGTACCATAAAAATGGGTGGCAATGATGATACATTAGGGGTGGAGGACCTAGGGTCATAAGGTTGCCCGTGGCGACTTGGAGTGAAGTGTTGAGATGATATGCCCATTTCATGGGGAGAAGTAGAAAGAACAGAAAAACCACTTTTACTTTAGTTCTGGTGTAACTATGAAGAAAAAAAAGCCTAATTGAGGACAAGAATAGACCTCGTTTCTATGGGCAACAGGCATATTCTGCTCCCTATTTCATTATTTCGCTTAAAAAACACTTGGTGAAGACTTGATGCAGATTGTCCTCTTGGAATCTCTGATCCTGATGTTTATTTAAGTGGCAGAGTGGTGGCTTTTCCATGGTATATAGTCAGATTCTTTTTTTTTTTTTTTTGAGGTGGAGTCTCACGCTGTTGCCCAGGCTGGAGTGCAGTGTTGAGATCTTGGCTCAATGCAATCTCCACCTCACAGGTAGCTGGGACTACAGGCACCTGCCACCACGCCTGGCTAATTTTTGTATTTTTAGTAGAGATGGGGTTTCACCATATTGGTCAGGCTGGTCTTGAACTCCTGACCTTGTGACCGCCCGCCTCAGCCTCCCAAAGTGTTGGGATTATAGTCGTGAGCCACCGTGCCCGTCCTAGAGTCAGATTTTAAATCTTCAAATATTCAAGACCGGTTTATTAGCTATTTGAGGTTGTGAACGCTTCTCCTTCCTTACAAGTGCAAAGCCTAACTCATTGAATGTGTGGATTACAAAACAAGAAAACATTAACTTATTGCAACAGAGTCTGGTTTAATTAATAAATCTTTTTGGAAGTTTTCTTTGACAGATCCTACATAAATAAATATAGTTTTAAAAGTGGACTTTTAAACATCAGTTTTTCCTTTCCGTCATGGTTTTCCTACGACAAGGATAAAAGACCCCTCTTCCTTATTTGAAAATTCTCGCAATCAACTAGAACTGAAATTATGAACACCAACTCTGTCAAAACTATACTTTTGTTACTTCTTGGTGAGCAAGAGAAATGAAGAAAACAAAAGAAAATCATGTGCTATTTTAATGTAATTTATCCTATACTTTTTTCAAAAAGTCACACTCACGTCTGCTTGAGAGTTTTAGAGGAATATAATGTATGAAAGAAAATTCCAATAACATAATGTACAAAAATGTTGTCACATACAGAAGAGCAAAAATCTACGTATTGGGGACTATTGCTGTGGGAAGAAGGGCCTGATCTTCATACTCATCTTCCTCATTGAGTACCATGACCCCTTCCAATTCATCCATACTACACCATCATCTGTGCCATGCTTTGCCATGTCCCAGGTGTACTGTCCACCCCAGTAGTATCTGCCGTTTGGATTGGCTGCATGACATCTATTATACCACCATCCACCACCGTCTTCTTTAGAACACTGTTTTCTGGGATCTGATGTTAACCTGAAAGAAAATGTGTTTGGCGTTATTAGAAACAGAACTACGGTGGTCAAGTTACGTTTTGCAGATTACCCATAAAAGACTGCTACACTCGTGTGCACAGTAGTCTTTCCTTTGGGTGCTATACATAGAGTCACACTAATACACCAAAGACCTCCTGTGCCCTATAGCAAGAAAGAGAGATAACTGGGCCTTTGTGGCCAATCCATCTAGGGACTGTGTTTGTTACTTTATACTGGAATAATAGCTTTTACAACCCTTAGTATCAGAGAACCCTGGAAATGAAAATGAAAGTTTTCACACACACTTTAGAATATAGAGATATAGGTATTTATCTAAATGCTCATTATTCAGAAAGTAACTGTGCTCAAATTCTAGTTTTATCTCTGGGTAGTTGTGTGACATTGGACAAATCACGTAATCTCTCTAAATCTCATCTGTAAAATGAGAATAAGAATGTCTACCTTATAGTTGAAATGCTTTCGAGTGATGCATAAAGAGCTTAGGACAGTGGCTGACAGTAAGTGCCCAGGAAGTGGTAGCTATTAAAAATATTGTTAATGATTCTGAGTAATGATATTAGTGTGATTTTTAAAGCAGGAGCAAAGAGTGCCACACATACCAGCCGTCATTGTCTCTGTCATACGTGCTGAAGAACATGCCGTTGTGAATGGTCATGGTCCTGTTTTCTCCCATCAGCTGAGATGCTCCATCCATGAGGGCATTACCGGCTGTTCCTCTGTATTTGTTCACTGAGATCTGGTATTTGTTGGCTTCATTCTGTACAGTGAATCCTCCATAGTGAGCCTTTACTTTGTCTCCTTTCCAGTCCTCCATTTCTATCAAAAGTTCTGTGGGTCCCATCCTGGTAAGCTGGCTAATTTTATCATTTCCAAGCCAATATTCACCTAAAAGAAAAACAAAATAAAATCTCACCAAAAATAAAATTTTGGGAAACTAAAAACTGCCTTTCTTCCCTTATCTTTAGCTTCCACATTTTTGTCAGGAAACTCCTCTTAACTGCCTAAAACAGGCTTCCAACAATGAATGTTTTTTAATTAAAAAAAATCCCATTTCAAATAGAATGATTTTATTTTGCATGCCTGTTCGTTACCTGGTAGGCCACAGTAATTCTTCCCATCTGTGTTGGTTGCAACATTTCCAAATCCCTGTTTATATGGATCCCATTTCCTGCCAAAGTCAACACTACCGTCTTGACGGTTCTGAATCACTGTCCATCCTTTGGTTGACAGAAACAAAAAGAGCATATATTAACCAACAGCAAATAATGTCACTTTGAAAATAATATCTGAATCCCCTGTCCATTCCATTTAGTATATATTTGGTGCTCTAAAATAGACACAATAAGGAAATAAATATGAGAGGTAAACTTGTAAAATCTTTGGAAACTGCAAGTGCTTTATCTTACCCCAAATTGTGAATTATAGATATTTTATAACTTTTTAAATATCAGGTTGAATTCCACATCAAATTACTCTTTGTCAGCTATGTTAGATGTTAGAGCTAAGTCTTGTTTCCTGGCTTTTTAATTAATTTTTTTTTTTGAGACAGGATCTCACTATCCTCTGTTGCCCAGGCTACAGTTCAGTAGCATGATCAAGACTCCAGGTTGTGGGCTCAGGTGATCTCCCATCTCAGCCTCCTGGATAGCTGGGACTACAGGCACATACTACCAACACAGCTGATTTTTTTTTTTTTTTGGTATTTTTTTTTTTTTTGTAGAGTTAGGGTCTCATTATGTTGCCCAGGCTAGTTTCAAACTCCTAGGCTCAAGCTATCAGCCCACTTTGGCCTCCCAAGGTGCTGGAATTACAGGTATGAGCCACCACACCTGGCCTTGTTTCCTGGCATTTTACGGTATCCAAATAATTACAGATCAACAGGTCAACAACTGTCGAAAGCTTACCTCCATTTTCTGTATTCATGTCACAGTATACTCTATACGGTTTGACAGAACTGTCAGGTTGAATGAGATACATTTCAGATGTTTCACCTCCTTTCCTGATAATTTCCTCACATTCTGCAAATGTAAGACAACATTATGTTCAGGGGTTTATGACATAATTACTTTGTATTTAGTCACCAATTCTTTAAAATAACATTACATAAGTTACTAAGGAGTGTGTTATTATAGACCTTTGAAAATAATATAACAAATATTAGATTTTCATTTTACTTTAGTAAGTCCAACCCAGTTTTGAGGACGTTTATCTGCTAAGAGGATGAACAAAGCTCTTCTCCACCTTTTGTGTCCTGGAATATCCATGAGCTCCCAGAACACACAAAATGGAGAAACTTCTACATCTATCTGTGGTTCTGCCATCTGTTCAAGCCAGTACGCAGATGCACACATCAGCCACCCCTGGGACTACCTGTGCCCCATCCTGCTCATCAAAACCAGCAAATGCACCAGGCCAGTCCAAAACACAACTGGCTAAGGATATTTTTATGATGTACTGTAATGTCATTATGATCTGTTGGGAAAATCCACTTAGCATTTTTGTTGTTGTTGTTGTTCTCTTATTTTTGGTGTGTGAGTTCTTCTGGAACTCTCTAAAAATATGTTTATGAATCAGTTACCTTTGCCAGACACCACAGGAATATTGCAACTGACAGTGCATGGGGTGCGACAATATTCCATTTGAGCTGAGACATCAGATTCTAACTTTTGTATTTTGCTTCTCAGGTTTTCCAGGATTGAACGAAGCACACGAAGGTTAGTTGGGATATTGCTATTCACAGTCTCATCTATATATAATTGGTGCTTTTCCAGTTCTGAGGAGTACTCATTGACTACATTTTCATTATCTGGAAAAATGAAATTATGTAGAAATAGTTAGCATTTTTGCCTCATAAAACTAATGTATTTAACTATACAATTTTGATTTTCTGAGAATAAACTATTAAACACTGAGCTATCACCAAGCAGTTATGATATATAGTCATATTTAGTGGAAATGATTTGGCGCATGACATATACAAATTAACATAAATCCTAACCACCATACTAGTAATTTACCATAGGTATACGCTAAAGATTGTGTCCAGTAATAAATGAAATAGGTTGTTTATTTCTTTGGTGAGGGAAAAGAGGAGAAAGCAGTATTGGGGTCTTCCATCTGAGAAGTTCAATCTTACAGAGTGGATATGCTTGATTTATTTATCCATTTCACATAAGTATAGCAGAACCTTGAAATTTATAAGATGTCATGATTCCTTTGATTTCTTTGAAAAATTTCCAACTGTGGGTATGCTACTCACTGAGATGCCTGTGCCAGGCTCACGCACTAGCTGTTTCCTGACCACCAAGTCAACAGCACTCAACATTCTGACCTCAAGATTCACAGGTTAGGTGTCATTATCCACAACACAATTGAATATATTATGGATAACTCTCTCATTCAAAACCTCAAATGTTAAAACTATAAATGCTAGGGGTTTTTTTCCACTCTGTAAATATTATCTTCTGAGTCACAAGTTTCTTGTATACTTAAAATAAGGAGTCATAGTAGAATTTTTCATAGAAAATCACACTTGCTGATGTCAGACTGGGAATAAGAGCTGAATAGTGCTTATCTGGCAAGTTGCAGGGGAAGGTGCCCAAAAGCGTATGAATGCTATTCACTAACCCAGAAATGTTAATCTTCTCACAACCATGCATTCTCGTGGCAGTCTAACGGTTCCAATTTTATAGCTGAAAATCGAATGGAAAGCACAAGGATATCTACCTTTTACTTGCTTCTGCCTCTTTTGCCACAGGTCTTTCAGCAAATACATGTACTGAAAGGAAGAAGAGGAGGTCTGGGAAACAGCTTCCACATTGTTATTTAACTCATCAACACTATTTCTGATTGGCCTTTCCTGTTGTAGCAAAGCCTCTTGCAACTGACATCCTGTAGGACACAACACCCCCTAAAAACAAAGAAAATAGCAGGCATTAGATGAAGGATTTGGGTCATGGACATTTGTTAAAATAGCACATAGGAAAATTCAGCGATACGATTAGCCAACATAAAAATTTATTATTTGGTTTTCTGTAAGACCAGAAATTCGAAAGTCATCATCATACTCTCATAGAGATTTAAAATATTACTTACCCCAGAAAAAATATAATTGGGCTATGAAAATTTTACCAACTAAACAAAGGCAGTGGCAAAATACAAATGGAAAGGTGGCACCCACATATCCTAATTTGAAATTTTGGGCCCAGACCAAAGAAAACAAGAAAGAAAGCCTAAACCAAAGGCCCAATATGTTTATGTTTTGAATTTTATTTCCAAAATAAACAAACAAAATAACAGTGATGGTAATGTGGGTCAGTGAAACATTAGCAGACTGCCATGACTACAGGCTTTCTCTGCATGAGAGAGCCACCACTGCAAGAAACATCAGTGCACCCACCAGGTCTGGGTCAGCGTGAAGACAGCCTCCAGCATCAGGGGCTTTTCTTTCTACTTTCTTTTGAGTGGCAGCTGCTTTGGCTGGACGAGCCCGATAGCCACCTCCACTGATGGGCGGTGGGGCAGGCCTCAGGCTGGGAGCCTCTTCTCTCTTCTTGTCAAGGGGTCGATGACCACGGGCACTGAAGAAACCCTACAAGGAATGAGGCAGAAATATAATACAGAGTGTTATAGAAGATTTGGAATGTAACTATTCCAACACCCTCATTTTATAATTTAGGTTATCACAAGCTTGATAATTTGCTTAAGATCCATCAACTGGCTGGTTGGTGATAGTGAATCTGTAGGTTGCTTACTGTTCAGTAACAGTAGAAAGACCAACTGCACAAAAAAGCTATGATGCAGTGTAGTTTTTAAAGAGAGGCCTTAGGATAAAGCTGTATCAGATTATGAATAGTAATGACCTCATATTCCTAAAACATACATTGGAACTTACGAAATTGTAAAGAATCTATACTGTCAAGAAGAATGAATATTCTCAAGCCACTTGGATTGTTAGATTCCTATGATTATTGTTAATCATTTCCCTACTTTCATTTTTGTGAATTGGTGATTAGACTCCTATATAAACATATTTAAGAGACATTAAAGACTTATTAAAGGTTGATTCTACTTGGAATTTATTTGTAATAAGACAATCTTTGACCCTCATAATGTACTCTGGAGCTCGGCTACTTGTAGGTCTTGACCGTAGGGTTGACTTACAGCTATGAGACCTTGGGCAAGTTGCTTTATCTGTGCCCCAGTTTTCTCATCTGTAAAATAAGTGTAATGATAGTTTGAATCTGCCTTACAAGATTATTGTAAGGATTAAATAACTTATTGCATATGGTACCCTCAGAACAGTACTTGGCAATAATAAGTGCTCATTACTATTTTTACTGGAATCACACATAACAAGTACTACAGTTTAAGTGTCCTCTCCACTTCGAATTTCACTTTTAGTCTTATCTTCTATCAACAAAATTATTTGTTAAACCATTATCTTGAAATTTCTTACATGATTTCTTTATCAAACATTATGATTTTCTTATATTTAAAATAATTCTCAAGGCTTGTGCATTGTAATTAAAATTACTTGCTAACTTAAAATATTATATTAAAGGATAATGAAGCAGAAAATACGCATTGCAATAGGAAAGTTTTGATTTGGATTAACTACATTCTCATTTTTTTTTTTGTCAGTAGCTATACATCCTTTGGAGCTTAATTACAAATTAACAAACGACATGATTTGGAACAACTGAGCAACAACTGAGCTCTCTTGCAATTTTGTGAGTCTAGAAGTCATCAGATGAACTCTATTTGGAATTGCATTGTCATTTATTCATTAGATTATAATATTATTTAACATTTAGTAGGATGGTGCTAAGATTAAAACCCAGCCAGGCTGGTTCCAGATTTTCCTGTTTAACCAGTTGACTATATACATTCTTAATATGTAAAGATTCGGAGGATATATACATATTTCACATTGAAGTCATGGTCCTAGTCAGAGCTTACCCTCTCTAAAACAAATTTTAAGAAATGTGATTCATCTGCTTATTACAAATACAATTATAACAGAGAAAACTATTTTCTTTTTATTTCAGAGTGCCACTAGAGAGGTAGCATGGATGGTCTGGCTTTACTAGAGAAAAGGAAATTTTAAAAAATATTTAAAGAAAGTATATACTTAAAGAAAAACACTTAAAGAAATTATGAAGGCCACTTGTTGAATAATCAAAATCCATTTTAAAGCCTAAACTATTAAACTATCTCTGTGAGGTTTAGTTGATAAGCAGAAATGTGAAAGTGCTTTGCAGAGTACTTTACAAAAATTTCGTCTTACACATTCTTTACATTTTTCTTACCTAATATGATTAACCAGACTTAACCAGATTAACCATATGTTTTTACACACACAACCAGATTAACTATATGTTCTTACATGTAGAGTCTGATAAGTACAACACTCAAGTTCCCTTGAAACTCAATAATGATCCGAAATGAATCACTTCATTTAAATATTATTGTGTATTCTTATTTCTAGTTTAATGATACTATGCTATATGTAAGAAATTTGGCCATGATACGTTTGATGATAAAATTTAAATTTCTTAAATATCCATTGTCCTAAATGCATTTCTGTATTTTTAGTAACTGCAAATTAACAGCAATAAGTCAGCAAAAATAATAGTTGAGGACAAACTGTTCTACAAATAAATAAATTAGACTGAACCGTGTTTCATAACTATTAATAATAACAATACACACTAACTCTAATTTGAACTTTTCATCTGAAAAAAGCAATATTTCATTTTCTATCATTACACTTGATGTATTTTGCTTTTAGGCTTAGTTATAATTTTTATAAATAGTAATCTCAGTAACAATATATATTACCTTCCTTCACCAAAGAACAATCTACCTACCACCAGTTTCTTTTATCTTAAAATTCTGCTCTTTTATTATTTTATAGTTTGTGAGATTTTCAGATCTTGTCCTCTTAATTGTAATCCTGTATTGCTAGAAGTAAATGAAAATCACAGTACTCAGAATAGCAAGTGAGAAAAACACATCTTACATTAGCTAAGCCATCCTCATCTTAAGAAAACAAAGGTGATAAACTAGAAAACAAGAAATTACTTTGTTTTTATATAAGAAATACTATGAAACATTCTTTAAATACAATAAGTCAGAGGTTAACAATTCCATTTCATAACTATAAGCAATGCTAATTTCATTAAAATAAGCACATAATATGATTATGTTACATCTTATATTAATAATACTACTAATAATATAATAATGCTTTAAAAAATTCACCTCCTCATTGTCGTTGACACCTTGGGACTTAACTAGAAAAACACACAATAGTAGCAATAATAGATGTTTCATGGTTTTAAGTTTGTGGAAGCTCCAAGAAACCATCCTTTTCATGTAGACTTAACTGAGAGATCTTCAATCCTATATATATCTGAGTCCTCTGCTAGGAATGACTTCAGAAATGGTTACCTTTCCTTAGTTAATATTTAATTTTTGGTTCACTTGTTGGCTGAACCATTTTATCATTTAAGCAACATCTTCCCAGCAAAGCTTATTTACTTGTCATACAACTATTATTCTTTGTTGGTCTAGTTTAGAAACATTAAATTTCTTCAATTCATTTAATTGGACAAAATGATGGGAAGTTAGGGCACTCCTCAAAGAGAGATGTGTATCTTGTTTCTGGTAAATTAATGTGGAAACTACACAAGCTCCGAAAGAATATGTGAGAAAACAAATCTAAGCTTAGTAAATTTGACCTACTCACAAGGCAACCACTAAAATCGTGACTCATTAATGATATACCATAAATGCTTATGTTTTCTGACAATGACATAATTCTATTTCAAAAGGGGCCATTAAAATCAATAGTAATGTTATATCATAATGTGTTTATCTTTTGTTTTAGACATTAATCAAAATAACAAAATAACAAATTCATACCCTATTCTATGAAAAATACACATCAGAAAGACCCTTTTTTTGTGCTGAATAGCTTTAATATTTTGTCCTTAATTCACATAAGGTAAAATGTTCAACAAATTCTAAACATTATTAAGATAACTAATAAATTATAGATTTCTGAATCAAAATTATGATGATGATTAAATACATGTTTAACATTCTATTTTATTGTTATATAGTTTATATCATATGATTTATAAAAACAATGTTATTTTAACACTGGTGAAGTCTTCATACATCTATTTCAATTAGTATGCTCACAGACTAAATGAGGCCCATTTTCCTTCATTTCCCACAAGCCACAAAATTTATCTCTCTTGTCTGTTCACTTGTGTGTTGCAATCAGGATTAATAACTCCTACAAGAATCAATAGGAACACCAGTCAGTAATCCAAATCCCAGTAAGTGCATTGATTCAAAGCATTTTTCTGTTTTTTGTATGGAAAGTGAAACATTCTCATTAAATTTATAAATTATTTTATTAAAAAGATGGCAGGTTATCAGGGTTTGGATCAGCGTATTGAAACAATGCTTTGAAACAGAGTCTTGAGAATGGTGTGGGACCCACGACATTTCTTTCTTCTCCAGGTAGCAGAGATTGCATTCCCAAATTCTTTTAACTCAGATTCCTAGAAACAAATTATTCTCTTGGTAGCATAGGTTGTCCTCCCAAATTCTTTTAACTTAGCTTAATAGAGACAAAGTACTCAGTTTAAATTAAGAAAAAATATTCACTTGAGTCTTTCCAAATTTGTGTTCCCTTTATTAGCAATGAGTAAATATTATATTTTAAGATTTTTTTCTTTAGCTTTAATGGTTTTTAAAGGGATACATGATCTGACAGAAAAAGCAAATATCTATGTGGCTATTAATTAAAATATATACAGGAATATTTTCCATGAAAATATAACTGATAACAAAGTTTATTTTAATAATCTAGACAGGATTTTATTTTAGTGACGTACAGATTCTTACAGATTTAAAAAGAATTATCTGTTAAGAAAACTCTAACCTTTTTTTTTTCTTTTGAGGTAACGTATTACTACATTTTCAATGACTGATGTTTGATCAACTAACAATAGAATCATCATTTAACTTTCAGAAGTCTGTAAATTTGTAAAGTTTTTTCTAGTATATAATAGACTCTTGTTCAACACTAAAGTGAAGGTTCCTTTACTTTCCTACTTTGTTCTACTCTGATTGGCATTCTTCCCATGGTCAGAAGGAGGATGGATTCAATCCAGCATGCATGCACCATAACAGCACAGACTTAACATTCATCTTACAAATAGTTCTTGAGAGTCTCCTCAGTGACGGGTAGTGTGATAGGGGCTGGGAATGCATTGGTGAGCAAGACAGACATAGTAGGCGTTCAATACATAATTACGGGATGAATGAGTGAACTGGCTGTCATTGGTACATGCCTCAGATGCCAAATTATGGTAGTCATTTATCGTATTTAATTCTTGAAACCACTATGTTCTACAGATGGTGAAACAGGTTCAGAGAGGTTAAGTAAACTACCCCAGAGTGTATAGGTAGTAGGTGCTGGTATGAGGACTTGACCCCTGACTGTCTGACTCTACAGTCCACACTCTGTGCCCATTACATTATATTTCCCAACAGGATACAAACATTATAAAAATTTACCTCTACCTTCTTTTTGTGTGTTTGTTCTTTTGGAGTATTTTGGCCAGCCTGTCATCTTGGGACCATAATGTATCAGGCTGACACACTCACTCATAGCTTTTACTTTCACTTATCTTTTTACCCTCATATGTGGGTATAGTATTCATGTCTGTGTGAAGCATGTGCAATGCAGTGATAATGAGTTTTTGTAATTCTAGTTCTTGTTAGATATGTCTTTTTTCTGTAGAGTTATGTACAGTTACACTGGGACTCTAAATTGCCTAATATTACAAAGAATATTATCATGTTTTCAGGGAAGAAATATATTTGCAGAGACACCGCTTATTAAGATGCTTAAATTTTTTTAGAATGTTGATGCCATTGGTGGAGGGGAAAGGGAGTACTATTTGTTCAGTTATTTTGAGGTCATCAGTGCAGTGTTCTTCATATTAGCTGATGTCATTGCATAAGTCAAGGGTAGTAAATCAGTGACAGAGAAAACAGAGATAATCTGTCCTGCCCAGCAGCTCTCTGGCTTGAAGGGCAAAGACTTGCCGATACCCATTGTCAATACACTTGTTGATACTTTTACAACTCATGTCAGGCCCAGTCTCCATAGCACAAGGCAATTTGTGCTTAACAACTATTTACAGAGCATCTACTTCATAGCAGGTAGTTTGCTGGGGGCCGGGGAGACCTTGGCGAAGCCTTAAGTCTAAAAGGAAAGACAGAAAATGAAAACTACTTACAATAATTAGTGTTGAGCCTAAGATTGGGGGAGGTGAGGCTTTGGGACTGGTAACTTAAGGATCTAACTTTCTTCAGGGGGAAACGAACTTCAAAGGAAAAGGGCTTTTAGACTTGAAACTTGGTTTGAATGACTGTACAGTTTATGTCATGCACCTGGCACATAGCCAGTATTTAATAAATATCGGTTGAGCAAATTCATGAATATATAAATGAACGAATGACTAAAAGGAATACTGATTCTCGTTGTCTAAATATGCATAGGTTTTGAGGTACTGTAATAAGTTGTTAGTCTCTGTATATATTTTCCTTGTGTTACCTTGATTAACACTGACGAGTTGGAGGCCAGGCTGGACCAGAGCTCTTGGGGCAAGCCTGAGAGCAGTGCAGTGGTGACACCTGCAATTTGTTGGTCATCTTTAGTGGGAAAGCATATGGTGGGGAAGAAATAGGAGATGACGCCATCTCTTGTGGAATGTCTCCCTCTACTGGCTTAGATGTCAGTTTCCATTTCTTATGGGAGCTGACATAGAGCATGGTAATAAGGGATAATAGGACATTTTCTCCTACAACAGGATGGAGATCACAAGAGCTAAGAAAAGATAGAGATGCTCTTCTGCTTTTGTCACATTGAGACCCACAACCATTAAGGGTGTAATGAACACCTCTGGGAGTGCTGCTCCCTTCTCCTGGAATGACCCCTAAAATGGAGGTATGAAGCTCCAGTGGTCCTGTCAGTACTACAACACCCTGACCCTCTAACCACAGGTGACCAAGCTAGGGGTAGACAGACCCTTTACGCAAGCTAAATCTACCAGATTGTCTCTCCAAATTTGATATTTGCTGGAAGAAGAAGGAGGAGGAGGAGGAGAAGAAGAAGGGGAAGGGGAAGGGGAAGGGGAAGGGAACTGGGTCAATTGGACTGATGTTATATCCATGGCAGCATTTTAGAGGGAAAGCCTACCAACTGCATCAACAGAAGTAACCAAAACGTCCAAACATAATAATTTGATTCTTCACAGCCCAGTCTGTGAGACACCTGATGTCCTTTCTATAGTACTCATTTTACCTTTCATTAACTTTGACTGAGATGATTTTTGGCATTTGTTGAGAAAATTAAGATCAAATTTTTAGGAATCAGACTGGCTGTCTTATTTTTAAGCATAAATTGCAGGTTAGAAAGAGAAGCTTTATATTCAAATAATGTAATCAATCACTAAAAGTTTTCATATATTAAGCATATGGGCTGGGCGCAGTGGCTCACAGCTGTAATTCCAGCACTTTGGGAGGCCAAGGATCACTTGAGCCCAGGAGTTCGAGACCACCTTGGGCAACGTGGTGAAACCCTATCTATACAAAAAATGAAAAAATTATCTGGGCATGGTGGCACACACCTGTAGTCTCAGCCACTCCAGCTACTTGGGAGGCTGAGAGGTGGGAGGATTGCTTGGGCCTGGGAGGTTGAGGCTGCAATGAGCTGAGATTGCACCACTATACACCAGCCTTGGTGACAAAGCAAGACCCTGTCTGTCTCTCTCTGTCTCTCTCCATCTCTCTCTCTCTCTCTCTCTCTATATATATATATATATATATGTATATATGTATGTATATATGTATTTTTTTGTAGAGATAGGGTTTCACCATGTTGCCCAGGCTGGTCTGGAACTCCTGGCATCAAGTGATCCACCAGCCTTGGCCTCCCAAAGTGCTGGAATTACAGCTGTGAGCCACCATGCCCCGCCCATATACATAATATATGAAAACCTTTAGTGATGGATTACATTATTTGAATATAAAGCTTCTCTTTCCAACATGGAATTTATGCTTAAAAATAAGACAGCCAGTCTGATAGTATTAGCAGTGAAACTCTAGGGAAAATGAGGACTTTTATTTTGGTGCATGTCAGTAACATGCATTTCAAAAATTTCAAAAATCTTTCACAATTTAATAACTAATAAGTATTACTTGAATTAGATTAACAATATTTTCTGTAAAATGTGCACAGGATTAGACAAAGGTTTAATAAAATTTTTATGAAGAGTTACAGTTTGATGAGAAAGCATGAGCCCTATAGATAAAAATGGGCAAAAGATATATATACATGTATGTATATCCATATATATATTTTAAAAAACACAAACATGTACTTGAAAAAATATGGAACCTAGATATAAATCAAAGAAAGCCAGAAAGGCTGGTTTCTAGAAACACGGATACAATGTTAGGGAAGGGGGAGACGTGGGCAGAAAAATCTCTATCCTCTCCACATAATAAAGAGGTAACGACAAACTAAGAAAAAGACGCAAGTTGAATGAGGATGGACAAAGTATGCTATTGGGTCCAGGATCTCCCTTCAATCCTTTGTTATTTGCTCAATGTTTCAATCTACTTTGCTGATATGGTTTGGCTGTGTCCCCACCCAAATCTCACCTTGAATTCTAGTTCCCATAATCCTCATATGTTGTGGGAGGGACCTGTTGGGAGGTAATTGAATCATGGGTGCAGTTACCCTCATACTGTTCTTGTGATAGTGAGTGAGTTCTCACAAGATTGAATGGTTTTATAAAGGGATTTCCCTGTTTCATTCCGCACTTCTCCTTCCTGCTGTCATGTGAAGAAGGGCATATTTGCTTCCCCTTCTGCCTTGATTGTAAGTTTCCTGAGGCCTTCCCAGCTCTGCAGAACTGTGAGTCAATTAAACTTCTTCCCTTTATAAATTATCTACTCTTGGTATGTATTTATCAGTAGTGTGAGAACAGACTAATATATGTGCTAACTAGTATTTTGTGTACTAGGTTTCCTTGTGGGGAGAATCGAGGCCCACTTTAGGTTTAGTTTAGGATGAAAATAGAAGCTGCCTGTGTTGACCTCTGACTTCTAGGTTACATTTATGCAGCTTTCTCCCCTTTTAGAACAACGGGGATAATTAGTATCATATAACTAATGTTTATGGATCAAGTAATTCTGTGCCGGTCACTGTTACTAGTACGTTACACTTAATTCTTACAATAACTCTATGAGGTAGAGTAGTACTATTATTCCCATTTTACAGATGGGAGAATTGAAGTACAAAAAGAAGAAAGTTACCCAAGATGATGCTGCAGGTAACTTGCAGAGAAGGAGTTGAATCATGGCATTCTGACTCTATACCCTTACCTACTATGATGGACAGTTTCTTCCTGTTATGTACAAAGCTATTTTTTCTCTTGTATTGATGTGGTGTTCCTACCTTAGCAAAATGAACACCTGTGTATGTATATCTTTGCATCCTTCTATGAAGATTATATATAATACATACATACATTCATACAGACATACACACTCTCACACAAACACACAAACACACATACATACATACCAAGGACATTTTTGGAAAGTAAATCCATTGTAACAAAAGGTATGCAAACAATTTTGGGGCCAGGAGTGGTGGCTCACACCTGTAATCCCTGCACTTTGGGAGGCCAAGGCAGGAAGGGTGCTTGAGCCTAGGAGTTCGAGAGCAGCCTAGGCAACATAGTGAGACACCTGTCTCTACAAAAAAATTAAAAAATTAGCCAGGCATCATAGTGCACACCTGTAGTTCCAGCTATTTGGGAGGCTGAGGTAGGAGGATCTGCCTGACCCCAGGAGGTCATCCACTGAAGTCTAGCCTGGGCCACAGAGAAAGACCCTGTCTCGAAAAAAATTGTCAGCTTATTGCTAAACTGCCTATGAAAGTGATTGCCACCATTTATACTCTCATCAATATTTAGGTTGTCCCTCATCCTTGTCATCACTTGTTGTTGTCAAATTTTAAAATTTTTTGCCAACCTATTAGGTGAAATATGTTATCTTATTGTTATTGTGATTAAAATTTCTTTCATCATGAGCACACTGAGAATCTTTTCAATTTACATATCAGCCACAATGTCAGTGGTCTTTCTGTGAACTGCCTGTCCATGTGCCTTGTCTTTTGAGTTGTTCATTTTTTCTGTTGATTCATGAGAGCTCTTTTCTTATTAAGAAAATTAGCCCTGTGGCTAACATACACATTGCCTATATTTCCCAATTTTTCATTTGTCTTTTAACTTTGCTTATGATATATGCAGACTTTGGCCTCATTTTCACTGAGTGGAATTTCAACAGCAGCATCTGCTGGGCTGACATGTTTGAAAAGGGCAGCAGATAGAATGCCTAATGCCTCTTTGAGTTCCTTCACCAGCTGCCAGGCATTCAAAGCATCACAAAAGTTTTTAAATCCAGGGGCTCCATTTAGAACTGTGATGGGAAGCTTAGGCTTCAGTGTGTATAGCTGCACAGGAGTCTGATGAGGGATCATTCTGTACTGCAAGGGCATCTGAGATATTCCTTTACTGTGCTATTTCCTGAGGTAATCTGAAATTGCTTCATCATATTGTGCCATATAAGTGAATGTGAATGCCTTCAAGACTAACTGGCACCTAGTCTCCAAGAAGGTGTCCTTACTCTTGGAGCTCTGCCTGTCTGTGGACACTGCCTCATAGTCCTCTGACACACCACTGTCACTGGATTGTGGTTTTTGGTGGCATCTCTCAGTAAAGTTACTCTACCAGTACCAATTTGCTCAACAGCCTCTCAACCATTACACCTGGAGAAGCCACTGTCTTCAGGAAGGGATAGAGATTACAGGCAACAATCAGGCCTGGCCATGTCAGCATTACCTTTTGGGATATTATGAGCCAGGATTCCAGCATGGATTTCAGGATGCAAAATTTTCACAGCATTTCAGGAAATCCTGTCAGCTCAGAGACCTCTCTGACTGCCAGACCAGCATCCCTGAGATGCTGGTCTCAGGGATTTTTCAGTCCCTCCAGAAGCAGCAGTAGTGAGGCCACATGCACAGAGAGGAGGGAGGTCCCTGATTCAGGTTTTCACGTCTCTTAATTTTTTTTTCCTTTAGGTCTTGCACATTTTAAAATTTATTGCTATTTTAAATAAAAATCCCTTTCCCTGCTGTATTTTTAACTGCATAAAGGAAAACTATTGATTTTTAATAACATTTTTATACTCAGTGAATTTTCATATTGTTTCGAATAGTTTTTTCAATTGGTTTTTCAGGTAGAAAGTCATACCGTTTGCAAATAAAGATAACTTTTCATCCCTATTTCCTATTTTACACAATTTAATTTTTTTGTCCAATTGAATGACTAGTGCTTTCATAAAAAATACACGTGGATAATAGTGGTGATGGTGGACATCCTTGTATTGTGACTAATAAGAATATTTTTAATATTTCTCTGTGAACATGATTCTGGCTTTTGGTAGCATATTTCTAAAAGAAAGCCTGAAGTGTCTAAATAGCATTATGTAATATAAATATAATGGGATCTATAAATATGAATTAATAATAATAGTAAAATATTCAATCAAATGCCTTACTCTTCTTAATTATTCATGTCAAAAGGTATTTCTGCTAACTAAACTGACTGTTGCAAATATTTCTACAGATAAATTGTATTTTGTAACTAAGTTGCTAAGTTTTATAGAAACTAAATAAAATTTAGAATTAACTTACTTAAATGTAATGGAAAATATTTTTCATTGTCATAAAATTTACAAAGATCAGAAATACAGAACTGAACAGTCCTTTTATAAGCAATTATCTGCATTACACACACAGAAAGACTGTGATTAAATTAATGGTTACTGAAATAGCAACTTTTCGGAGTGAGCACATCACACACACACACACACACACACACACACACACTCACAGACCATCCTTCCTACATGTTCAGTAGCTGCAACTCCAAATCAAAATTAAAGTCTCGGCTGGGCTCAGTGGTTCACACCTGTAATCCCAGCACTTTGAGAGGCTGAGACAGGTGGATCACCTAAGGTCGGGAGTGCGAGACTAGCCTGGCCAACATGGTAAAACCCCATGTCTACTAAAAATACAAGTAATTAGCCAGGCGTGGTGGTGCACACCTGTATTCCCAGCTACTCCGGAGGCTGAGGCAGGAGAATCATTTGAATCCAGGAGGCAGAGATTGCAGTGAGCTGAGATGGTGCCACTGCACTTCAACCTGGCCGGCAGAGCCAGACTCCGTCTCAAAAAAAATTAAGCTCTCAAAGCCACCTAAACCCATATTTAAGTGTACAATATAATAGCTTACTTATTCATTCATTCAATAAATATTGAAAACTTACCAGTTGCAAGTCAATTAGATTCTGACTGTGTGATAGTAAACATCATGCCATATTCACCCCATAAGTCTACTGGGAAATACAGATATTTAAACAAATATTACAACAAAACATTCAGCTAAGAAAGCTGGAACCAAGACATTGTTATTTCTTCTGTGGCAGTATAAACACCAAAAATATTTCTGTAAAATAAAAACATTTGTAAATGCCTGCAAATATTTGTAAGTACAAATTCTTATTTGTAAAGGTAAACAACAAAAGTCATGATTATGTTCAATATTGTCACTTATTTTGTGATATAGTGTTGTGGGTTGAACTGTGTCCCCCCAAATTCACATTATGAATTCCTAACCCCCAGTATCTAAGAATGTGACCTTATTTGGAAATAGGGTATTTTTGGATGGAATTAGTTAAGATGAAGCCATACTGGAGTAGGGTGGGCCTTTAATTCAATATGATTGATGTTCTTTAAGAAGGAGAAATTTGGCATAGGCATATGCACAGTGAGAACGAAATGTGAAGATGAAGGCAGACATGACAGTGATGCAGCAGAAGACAAGAAACGGCAAAGACTGCCAGAGAACTACTGGAAGTTAGGGGAGAGGCATAGAACACATTCTCTCTCACAGCCCTTAGAAGGAACCAACTTTGCCAACGCCTTTATTTCAAGCCTCTTGCCTCCAGAACTGTGAGACAATAAACATTTGTTGTCTAAGCCATCCAGTTTGTGGTACTTTGTTACATCAGCCCTAGCAAACTAATACACATGAGATGGGGCTTCATGTAGTAGAGGATGGTGAAATTGTGATAAGTAAGACCCGAGGACTCTCTCTCTCTCTCTCACACACACACATACACCTTGCTAAGATATTTATAACTGACAGTTTATAACTGATAGTACAATCTAATTATTCCCAAAGTCTTTCCAGGCATTAACAGGAAGAACAGCCCCTTCACTGTTCCTTATAGTCCCAGAAGCTTGTTTCAACTATGCTACAAGAAAGTATCTGCTAACACTACCTTAGTATTTAGGCAAATTCATAGCATTGTGCTAAACAATTAAAGACCAAAGTTTTGGAAGAAATGTCCAAGTATCATTTTTCACAGGTTTTGACCTCAGAAATTCAAATAAACAGTGATAACTCCCATGATTACTTCCTTTTGAATTAACGAACAATTTCAAATATGAAATTTAAGGGATGGACATACTGAGCCACACAACTCTAAAGAACATTGCATATAGTGTTTTTTAAAGCTTGTATATTTAACCCTCTAAGTTGAAACAGAAAAATAAATAGTAATATTTATTATTTTATAAGAATCAGAAAACACTTCCTATAAAAATATCATAAAAAGCTGATGAAAATGGCACTCAAATCTATACTCATATGACCTATCACTGTTCAAGAGCAAAGGACAATATTTGAAGGAGAATAAAAAGAGTTTCTGTATTGGTGAGTTTAAAAAATCTTGCCTAAAGAAGGAGGGCTTTCCTTAAAACTTGTATTCTTGGTTTTACACAGACATAATACTAATAATTTATATTAATAAGTTACTTGCCGTGTCTGCTTTAAGGACAGCCCTGAGGGCCCGTACAAAGAGCAGTGGTGACACCTGCTGTTCAAATAAGGCAGCTTCGGGTGTCAGCCAGGCCATGTGTGTATGACGGAGCCTTTCAGGAATCCAATTAAACTTGTGGATCCTTTCTCCAGAAAATAAAACATATTCCCATATAAATACAAAATTTTCCTACAATATACATAATTCATGAATCCCTGAACTAAATAATAGGGTCACTTGAGTTCTATATTTATCTAAAATATTGTAAACTTTCAAGGGGATGACATCATTCTATAAATTCACGACAGTGTTTTAAAAGGAGCAAATTCGAGGCAATTTACCTCAATCATTACCATGTTGTTATTGAGAAATTAAATTAATGTCTCCAGGATGATTAAATATGTAAAAAGTTAATAGATCCAACTAGACAATTAATATATTGCCATATATATTAGTCTTGCTTAGGTTTCTATGGTTTTATTGTCATTTCAAATCATGTTATTTTCTATAGTTATTATTAATAGGTGAGTATATTATTTAGTTCATCAAGTATATATTTTACAATTATGGTATTTTCTTGCAAGGAAATACCATCACCTGCCACCTTTACAGAAAAGCAATTCTTAGGCCAAACTCACAGTTAAATTCAGAGATGCTGTATCTTCAAGTAAAAACATGACCTTAAGGCAGGGCTCAGTGGCTCATGCCTGTAATCCTAGCACTTTGGGAGGCCGAGGCGGGCGGATCACCTGAGGTCAGGAGTTCAAGACCAGCCTGGCCAACATGGTGAAACGCTGTCTCTACTAAAAATACAAAAATTAGCCGGGCATGGTGGCGGGCGCCTGTAATCCCAGCTACTCCAGAGGCTGAGGCAGGAGAATAGCTTGAACCTGGGATGCTGAGGTTGCAGTGAGCCAAGATCGCGCCATGGCACTCCAGCCTGGGCGACAAGAGCGAAACTCTGTCTCAAACAAAAACCCATGACCTTAATGTTTTTAATGAATTTCCAAGTAAGGTTGATTTATATTGCTATTCTTTTGCTAGATTTTTTCCCCCTCTCAAAGTGTAAGCAGTATGCTCTCAGGACAGGATTAGTGAAACTGAAACAGGGCCAGTAAAATGTTTGTCTATTTAAGTTTGTAAATGCCTAAGTCCATCCATTTTTTTTTTTACATAGAAAAATAATTGGGTAGGGTTGATCACAAACCACAGATTTTACCAGGGTAGAAAGCAAAAATACCAATACTTGGCACAAGGATATGTATAAATAAAAATGGCTAAAGTCTCCAATTGTGTCTTCTACCAGCTTTGAAAAGCTGTACCCTGGCATTGTTGAAGCCACAATAATCAGCAGGCAACTAGGAAATGGACAAGAGCTATGCAGTTTTGAGAAATTAAAAAAAAAAATCTATTAGCAGAAAATAAATATGGGGTTTTGTTATAACTACATGTCAAAATTTTCCAAATTAAAACAGCTATTCCTCAACGTTCACTTAACAAGTGTTTACTGGACTGTTTAAGCGAAATTGTTTTCAGGTGTTAAGCCTACAAGTGTCCAAGTGCTTCTCGCCAGGATTAGAACCAGGAGACACAAAGCACGCAGGCGACCTCCAAAGAGATCAAGGTAGTGGAAATGCCTTAGATAGAGCCCACGGGAGTTTGCTCTCCAGACGCTTAGGTTCTCTGAATAAAAAGCGTTAAGCTTCCGGGGAATACAGCACGAACAACCAGGACCCCAACTAAGGCAGAAAACATAATTCTAAGATTTCTTCAGAGGGACGAGTGAAACCCTCCACCCAGGCCCTTCCAGGAGTCTCCGGCTTTCAGCCTCGAGACTCCGCCCTAGAGGCGGTCCCGAGGAGGGAGACCCGCCTCCTGATCCTAGATGGCCGAGGGAGACTAGCGCGCGTGCGCAGAGCTTGCATCACATCCGCCGCCTGGGCGCCCAATTCCGGAAGGTGCTGCACAGCTGTGGCGGCGGGTACTGCGTTAGTGATTAGAGTTTCTTCCCTGCCGGAGGTGGGATACACGGTAGCATCATGGTCGAGGTAAAGTGACACTGGGGCTCTCAAGAGTCGTTTGTCTCTGGACTGTTTTTTTTGGCAGTGCGCGTGGGGGATTGAGAGTACTTGGAGTCCAGAGAGAAAAGAGGCTACGAGGGGAGCTATTTGGCCAAGGCCGAGTGGTCTCTTCTTCGGGTTTTCGGGGAAGGGGTAGAAGCCGGATGAGAACCCGAGTCGGAGGTTCAGCCTGGGCGCGAAGCCTGAGATAATTCGTCCAGTCCTCGTTTGACTCTTGGGAGCTGGAAAGTGTCCTCGGAGGCGGGGCCTCTGTTGGTGATCGACCACTGGTACTTGCCGCCCTCGGGGCAGTGTCAGTGAGTCTGTGCCCTAAAAGATTGGTAGTCTTCTCTATCTTGCGTTCAGGTCGTCTCTTATTTCACCTCTACCCCCAGAAAAACTTGCCGTTCTTTACATCTTTCCCTGGCATGAACAGCCAACGCTGTTAGCTGGTCTTGTCCATCTTACCCCACATGTTTATTGATTCCATTCACTCTTCTCCATATCCGCTGCAGTCCACCTTAATTGAGACCAACATCATCTTTCACCTGGACTGGTGCATTAGCTCCCCGTTGGTTGGTTTCCTTGCTTCCATTTTGTTCTATAAGTTGTTCTGTTTAAAACGTAAGTTGTTCATACCTTTCTTGTTTAAAACCCTTTACTGACCCTATGTTGCTAGAACAAAATATAGGCTGTTGTAATAGTCTAAAAGACCTTACCTAATCTGGACCTTGTCTACCCTTGCAGCTACAAAGCACCATCTCATCCTCCATACACAGCTGTACTGCGCTCCTTGTATTATTTCAGTTAACTGAACTTTTTTTTACATGACATTTCCATCAGCCTGGTTCGTTCTTACCTCTGTTTTGTGCAAGGCTAACTCCCTTTCTGCTTAAATATCACCTTAGTGAAATCTTTCACAATTATACTTAGTCCTTCATTCCCTGACTCAGCGCCTTGCTTGTTGCCTTCATAGCACTTATCAAAATGTGGAATTATTTTACTTTTTATTTGTCTGTTTCCTCTTGAGCACAGGGACCATGACCACCTTTTTATCATTCTATTGTGAGATTCTAGCACAATACCTGCCAGACACACAGTAGGAGCTCAGTAAATATTTATTGAGTAAGTTAAACTCCGGCATCACTCAGTTGCTAAACCTGAGGTTCTAGCCAAAGAGGAGCTTCCTCCTCTTCTCTGAACTTGACTCCTGTAGCTTGCAACAAGTAGCTATGGTGAGTGGTATAAAGCTTTTTACATATTTAAACACGTGAAGTGTATAATCAATCTGACTTTAGGTTATGATTTGTGTAATTTGTAGATAGGTGTGTAATTACATTCTTTTTTTTTAGGAGGTACAGAAACATTCTGTACACACCCTTGTGTTCAGGTCGTTGAAGAGGACCCATGACATGTTTGTAGCTGATAATGGAAAACCTGTGCCTTTAGATGAAGAGAGGTTGGTGTAGTTTTTTTTTTTCAATTGCTAAAATACTTAACATTCTAATACTAGGGGAAGAGAGCAGGGAGAGGGAGTCCTTTAAAGATAAGCTAGTCATGGGCTAATTATTCAATAATGAGTGGTGTTTTGGCATAATTTAAGCTGATTTAACTTTTTTTTTTGGCCTTTTACAGTAAAAGTTCCATTAATTAATTGCATTTTACAAATACCCAGTAATTAAGAGAGTCCCTTTTAGGTATTTTATTTTATAATCAATCACTTTGTATGTGCTTTCAGCTTCCCGCTGCTCTCAGAGCCTTGCTGAGCTGAAATTGTACCTGGCTAGTACCTCTACTCCCATCTTTTCTCGTTAGTATGATGAAGATTTTTGAGTGGTGGCATATTTTTGGTTCTACATATCCAGCTCCAGTCTGGGAATGCATTATGTGCAGTGTTCCTTCTTTGTCCTTTACCTTTTTAAAATCTACTTAACTCCTCAAACAAGCATTTATATTTAATTTATAAAGTAGACTATTTTTAAAAGTAATATAAATGCATTTCTTTTTAAGATATTGAACCAATTAAGTACTTTGATTAGTTCTAACTAACCTGTTTGGATACATCTAGTAAAGGTTGCTATAGAGTTTTTACTATATTTATATTTTGAAGGAAAGTATATTGACTTTGAGGTTTCTTAAAGGGTATGTTAGTTTCTGTATATCTTTCAGTCAGACCCTTGACAATTTATCATAAAAGGTTTTCTATTTATTAGGTAACAAACTAAAATATTACGTAGGTTTAATGAATGCTGTGTGGTCGAATGTAAGCAAAAGAACAGATATGGTGGGGAAATGCCCTTGGAAATTTTTGATTCTTTTAAATACTACTTAAAATCATACTAGAAACTTTTTCTACGTGAATGGGCAAACTTAAGCTAAGTGTTTGTTTTAAAGTATTTATGGATACGTTCTTATGTTTATAATTTCTAAATAGTCACAAACGAAAAATGGCAATCAAGCTTCGTAATGAGTATGGTCCTGTGTTGCATATGCCTACTTCAAAAGAAAATCTTAAAGAGAAGGGTCCTCAGAATGCAACGGATTCATATGTTCATAAACAGTACCCTGCCAATCAAGGTGAGTATGGTATTATCAGAAATGTCAGACTTATATGTGAATTTTAAAAACAGAAAAATAAAATATGTTATTTTTGCCCCTCCTGGCAGGACTTATTGTGGTCGTACAGTATTTAATGGCCGTACCTGTATTATAATGGAAGTTTTGATCCTCATGGGAATACTGTTGATGACTTTTTTCTTATAGGAAATAAAAATGGTAGTATAATGATGGCAGAGATTCTTAGAGTGTGGAGAAGGTCACAGTAGAGATTAAAGGAAAAAATTGGAGAATATTCTTAACCTGTGAGGACACCATCTATCTTGTCTGTAATTCAGAAAGATGAAATTAAATACTGAAATCTTAATAAGTAAAGAGAATTCAAGATTCCACAGGAAACCATTTGCTTGGAAGAAATACCAGAGTGGATTGTCACTTGATAGGAGGGCTTCTTTGTATACCATTGCTATATAGCAAATGGTCAAGGACATGGTTTACAGAGATCAAAGCAAAAGTGATCAACTTCCCTTATTTCTGAGGCTTGACTTTAGTTGAGAAAATTTGATAGATCCAGTTGAAAACTTAATATTACTTGATACATTTAAAGAGATGATAACTTTTGTATAAGGTAAATTCACTACTGTTGATTTTTTTTGTGTTTTTTTAGGACAAGAAGTTGAATACTTTGTGGCAGGTACACATCCATACCCACCAGGACCTGGTTAGTGAGCTGTTATATATTGAAAATGTCTTAAAAATGTCACATATATTTTCACTAACGAGCCAATAATGAGATTCTTGTTGCCTATAAAATGCAAGATAAGCTCAGTAGCCAAGCATCCATGCATAGCTTTGTAGGTAATAATGAATACTCATATGCCTTCATTCAGCAAACATTCTTAAGTACGTATAATTTTTCAGGCAATGTGCTAGGAATTCAAAGACAGTAAAACTGTTGCAGGCCTAGTTATTTATTATCTGGTGGTTTAGGCAGACATGTAAATATCACTAAGCTTGTAAAAATGATGGAAATGTTAGAAGCAGTATCTGAGAAACATGTCCTCTGTCTGTATTAAGGCATTGGTCCACAGATGGAGTGGCCAGTGTAACAGGGTAGAGGACAAAAGGCTTAGTATGTAAAGAAAGTACAGGGAAATTGGGTGTTTCTAGTTTTAGTAAGTTACATCCACTCTTGGAAACATTCTGTTAGTATTTGAGGAACTGCTTAATACTGACTTGAAACTAATACCCAAATATAATGGAAATTAACTTTACTATTCTGGGCTGCTTTAATACCATGTGGGCTGTGATCAAATCAAATTTGAGTTACGTGTTATTAAGCAGTATTTATTGTAGAAATTAAAAACAAAGATGAGCAAAACTTAATCAAATTTGTATAATATCACTGCCTGGAGATAATAAACATTTGGTGTATGTTTTCCTTCATCATTTTATTTTAAGTGCATGTAAATGAATAATACACAGCTACTAAAAGAAGTTGATTTTTCATTTTAATAGGGGTTGCTTTGACAGCAGATACTAAGATCCAGAGAATGCCAAGTGAATCAGCTGCACAGTCCTTAGCGGTGGCATTACCTTTGCAGACCAAGTATGAAATATTATAATTACAAAGATCTTAAAAGCATATTTCACTGTTCACATTTTTTCTTTTTAAAATTTCTTTATAACTATTATATGACATTTTCCTTTATCAGGACTTTATAACAATTTAAAATAAAGGGTTAGTTTTGCAGAATACATGACTGGAGGCATTAATTACTTTGAAAATATTATTTCTTTTGCCCCAGGGCTGATGCAAATCGTACTGCCCCTAGTGGAAGTGAATACCGACATCCTGGGGCTTCTGACCGTCCACAGCCTACAGCGATGAATTCAGTAAGTTTTTCTGCATCAAATAGCAGGTTTCTAACTTTTGGAACATGTTGCCATATTTCCCTCTTCTTTGGAATTATTAAGATAAATAGCAGCCTGAGCTAGTCATTCATATTTCATAGCCCTAAAACTCAAGTTGGTAGTAAATTAACGTATTTTTTGGAATTTAATTCTGTTATTTGTCTACTTGTACATTGTGTGTAATATATATTTTGATAAAGATAATGTGATGTTGGTATTTATTGCCCACTATTAAAAATGCAAGGAGAGTTTTTCTGAAACTTGTGTTAGTATGTATTGAATATGAAAGTCTTTTTTTTTTTATTAAATTTTAAGTTGGTGTGTACAGTTATCTTGAGTGCTGTTAGTGTTGTACTATTCATGGGCTATACAACTAGTCTTATAAATGAGCATTTAGAAATAAGTTTATCTGTTTGTAAGTAAATGGCAACTGGTATTAGTATGGTAGAAATAGTTGTTGAATTTTCTATAGTTATTTTATTGATTTATCTGCAGCATAATAAAATATGCTGCCACTTGAAATAAGTGCTGGTTTTGCTTCTCAGCTCATTATGCAATTGATTTGACTTTATGAAGTGAATGAATGTGTAACTGCCACATCTCCTTTCCTCCTTTATTCCATTCAGAGCACGTCTTCTGTCCAGGCTCTCTACCCTCCTTATGAGGGTATAATTTAAGCTTCTTGAGGGCAGGAACTTTATGGGCTTATTTATGTTTTGGATGACTAGATGACTGCTAACAACAGATGGTATATCAGGCAGTATACCTGTTAAAATAGTATTTAAATATTGTATTAGAAGATAAATAGAAGGAACTGTCAGTCTTTGCTATATTAAACCAATAATGTTAAAATATGACAATGAAAGACAGTGGCACTAATACACTTAAAATGACTTTAATATTGGGAGCTTACATGGAGCATTTACTACTTATTAAATCTTTGTAGTAACCCTATGAAATAGGCACTATTCTTCCCATTTTACAGGTGAGCCACATAGAGGTTACATGATTGTTACCTAATGTCAAACAGCTAGTAATTGGCCAAGCTGGGTTTTGAACCCGTACACAGTGATGTGTGCTCTTAAGTCTAATGCTCTGCCTGTCTGTGATTTTATAATTGCTTTTTTAAGTTAACATACAGAAAATTGTATTTCTTCATTTATGGAAAAATTCTTTTGTAAGTTCCCTCTTTCCATTTCCATTTCTGAATTGATATCATGAAGCCTTAGGTATGATGTCTTTAATAATAATAATGTCTCTTCTATGTCTAGATTGTCATGGAGACTGGCAATACCAAGAACTCTGCACTGATGGCTAAAAAAGCCCCTACAATGCCAAAACCCCAGTGGCACCCACCGTGGAAACTCTACAGGGTGAGTGACTCTGCATTTATTTTATTATGTGAACCATGATTGCTTTGTAGTTGACAAGCACTGAAGAATAGAATAAGGAGGAAAAAGAGTGAATATGAAAAGCTGGTAGAGCGATCTGAGGTGGATTGAGAAGAGTCGTAGGGAGTATCTTAAAAGATCTCTTGGGAAGGTGACTTCCTTAAGCAAAAGTTATACTTTTATATAAAATAGTATGAAATGTCAAGATAAAGCTACTAAATATGGATGGCAGACTAAATAAATGTAGAAAAAGTGTTCAAAGTATTTAGTTTGAAGGTGAAGGGGAAAAACACCATATAAAGAAATTTATTTGGGCCTACCAGTTACTCTTTCAACTACAATAAATGAAAATGATTCAGAGTGTATCATCTAAAAGAAAATGGACATGCATGCTAACTTCAGCAGCACATACACTAAAATTGGAATGGTACGGAGAAGATGAGCATGGCCCTTCCACAAGGATAACACAGATTCGTGAAGTGTTCCATACTGTTTATTTTGCATTGCTTGCCTATACCAAAATATCTCATGTACTCCATAAATACATTTCTACTGTGTACCCACAAAAATTAAAAACAGAAAATTTTAAAAAAGAAAATGTACATAGTAGGAAATGTACAGCTACACATAATTTAATATGTATCTTAAAAATTTCATTTTTCAAATGATTGTACAGTAAGAGCCTTTTTGTTTGACATACAGCTCTAATGAATTGTAATAGATGTATTGATTTGGGTAACCACTACCACAATTAGGATATAGATGTTACACCACCTCAAAAAACACCCTTGTGCTATTCGTTTGTAGTTACACTTTCCTTCACCTCTGACAATCACTGATCTGTTTTCTATCACTATAGTTGTCTTATTTTTTTTCAATAATTTCAGTTCTAATTTATTTTTAATTTTTATGGCTAACATAATAGATGTGCATATTTATGGGCTACATATCAAATTTGATACAAGCATACAGTGTGTAGGCCAGGCATGGTGGCTCATGCCTATAATCCCAGTGCTTTGGGAGGCCTAGGCAAGCGCATCTCTTGAGCCTAGGAGTTCAGTACCAGCCTGGGCAACACAACAAAACCCCGCCTCTACAAAAAAATACAAAAATTGGCTATGTGTAGTGGAGCACACCTGTAGTCCCAGCTACTCCAGAGGCTGAAGTGGGAGGATCACTTGGGCTCAGGAGGCGGAGGTTGCAGTGAGCCAAGATCACGCCACTGCACTCCAGCCTGGGCGACAGAGTGACACCCTATCTCAAAACAAAAAACAAAGAAAAACATACAGTGTGTAATGATCAAATCACGGTAATTGGGATATTATTTCTTTGTATTAGGAACATTCCAATTTTACTCTTCTAGTTATTTTGAAATATACAATAAATTACTCTTAACTGTAGTCACTCTATTGTGCTACCAAGCTAACTAGCCAAACTAGTGCTACCAAACTAGCTAACCAAACTAGTGCTACCAAACACTAAATCTTACTCCCTTTATCTATTTTTGTACCCGTGATCCACCTCTTCTTTATCTTCTGCCTCCCCACTATTCTTCCCAACCTCTGGTAGCCATCATTCAACTCTGAAGATCATTTATTTTTTAGCTCCCGTATATGAGAGAGAGCACGCAATATTTGTTTTTCTGTGCCTGGCTTATTTCACTTAACATAGTATCTTCCAGTTCCATCCATGTTGTTGCAAATAACAGAATTTCATTCTTTTTTATGGCTGAATAGTATTCCATTGTGTGTATGTACCACATTTTATTTATCCATTCACCTCATGATGGACACTTAGGTTGGTTTAGCTGTGTCTTTTTGACTATGTCATATAAATGGAATCATACAATATGTACTTTTTGAGACTGGCTTCCTTCACACAGCTTAATACTTTGTGAGTCATTGAAGTTGTTGCAAGTATTAATAATGTATTCCTTTTTATTACTGAGTAGTTTACATTATATAGATGAGCCACAATTTGTGTTAACTATTAACTCACTGAAGATAATTTCATATTATTGTAAAATGTAATAGTCATTATCTTTTATGATTTGAAGATGGGAGGGCAATTCAAACTCGGGCTGCAGTTAAACTTAAATACATTTTAACTTCTACGTTGGCCTGCCCATTCTACTTTGTTTTATACAGGTTATCAGTGGGCATCTTGGCTGGGTTCGATGTATTGCTGTGGAACCTGGAAATCAGTGGTTTGTTACTGGATCTGCTGACAGAACTATAAAGGTAATAATGAAGGAAGAAAAAATAAACATGACTTTGTGTTTGTCATGTAAGTTTAATCAGTTATTATTTCCTGTGGCAGGAATTGCTATTGCAGTTCCTCTGTTATTTTAGACCTGAATAAGGAGTAAAATTTATCATTTATACTAATAAGTGTTCTAAATAAATATCTGTTTGAAAAGTGCTATTTAAACCACTTTTTCTTTACCTACTGAATACCTACCACTAATTCCTTTATACTTACATTGTTCTCTCCAACTGGTTACAAAATTAAGAGCATGCTCATTCATAGAAAATGTGGAAAATATAGAGAATTAGGAAAGTACATAGACCTGTATATAATCCTACCATTGTTAGATATTTGGATAAGTTTCGTTTTAGTATTTATTTCTGTAAGTATCAATACCTTCACTTCTAAGCTCTTTTCCTGTGTGTGTATCTTTTAAAAAATCATTCTTAGTATGTAATTTTGTATCTTGCTTTTTTCACTTAACGTTGTATCAAAGGCATATTCCTGTGAAAAATTTACCATCTTTTAAAGTGGTTGCATAATATTATATCATTTAGATAGTCTGTAATCTGTTTTCCTATTACTGGACAGTAGAGTTTTTAGTCTGATTTTCACCATTACAAGTAATGCTGTTAAGTTTTGTATATAAGACTTTTTCTGTATTTTAAATTATTTTGTTATGGTAGAGTTCCATAAATGGAATAAATGGGTCAAATATTTTTGAAGCTGATACCCAAAGTACAAATTACTTTCCAAATGGGTGAATCGATACTTGCAGTGTATGAGAGGATCCTTTTCAGCACATTGGTTGTACATTCCTTTACAAATATCTAATATGGTAAGCAAAAATGGATACTTAATCTTTTTAAAAAACTTTGTATGAAATTTCTAATGAGTGTGAACTTTTTCATATCTGTATTTGCTGCTTTTAGGATTTCTTTAAGTTGTTGCCAGCCTCAGTTAATTTAATACCATACTTTTCTTACTGTTATTATCAAAGATATCATTTATATAACAAGAAGGTTAACCTTTTGTCATCTAATTGCAAATATTTTTCCAGTTTGAGCATGCCAGTTTTTTTCTTGCTTTTATTTGGAGGGGAGTCATTTTGCAAAATTTTTTATTTTTACGTATTTGTTATCTTTTTCCTTTTGTCTTTGAAAGCTCAGTTTTAATAATCAGGTTTCTAAAATT
Organism: Homo sapiens; assembly: GCF_000001405.40. Taxonomy (NCBI): domain Eukaryota; kingdom Metazoa; phylum Chordata; class Mammalia; order Primates; family Hominidae; genus Homo; species Homo sapiens. Next base: position 154,540,985 of record NC_000004.12, on the reverse strand, counting down.
TTGTTTTGCAGTAACCAGTGAAAGAAAAAAATAAATATTCTTTGATTGCAGATCTGGGACTTGGCTAGTGGCAAATTAAAACTGTCATTGACTGGGCATATTAGTACTGTGCGGGGCGTGATAGTAAGCACAAGGAGCCCATATCTGTTCTCTTGTGGAGAAGACAAACAAGTGAAATGCTGGGATCTCGAATACAATAAGGTAAGTTTGGAGTTAAGGATTTAAAACATTGTGAACTACTATTTATCTTTCTAATTCTAGAAGTTTTAACTTTCCTGCTTTGTCTTTAGGTTATACGGCATTATCATGGACATTTAAGTGCAGTGTATGGTTTGGATTTGCACCCGACAATCGATGTGTTGGTAACCTGTAGTCGAGATTCAACTGCACGGGTAAATGGGATAGAGTTGTGTATTTATCTGTAAATATATTGCATCTTGTAGGGTGCACTTTCGGTTTCAGTGTCTTCAATTGATTGATAGAGAATTAAAGATAGCTGTCTTGAGTCATCAATATCCTAGTCCCTAAGTTTCTTAACTTGCATTTTTTTCCACCTTAGTCTTCAGTTGTATGGCCTCACCATGTTAGTGTTATTAGTGCCCTGCCCCTGAAATGTGATATTCTCACGTTCCATTCTGTAACAACTATTGTCCATTAGTTCTTTCATTCAGTAGTCTTAAAAAGTAGTCCCATCATACTCATTCTTAGATTTTCAGTACCCTGATCTTTTAGCTTTTTAGAATTCTTGCAAGTTGTCTCCTATTTATATTCGTCCTCCAGTTTGTAAATCATTATCTTTCACTTAAGCATTTTCTTTATTATATTCAGGCACTAGTTATGTAGTAAATTTTCAGCCTTGAATTGATCCAGTTATCTTCTTGAGATAATGAATACCTATTCTCTTTCCTAATATGTCTATTGTGTTTTTATAGATTTGGGATGTGAGAACTAAAGCCAGTGTACACACATTATCTGGACATACAAATGCAGTTGCTACAGTGAGATGTCAGGCTGCAGAACCACAAATTATTACAGGTATGATCGATACTTTTCAAGTTTACAGAATATTCATGTCAGAATCCATGTTATTATACATATACTTTTAATATTCATGATGACTCTTGCTCTGTATTGTGTTTACAGTGTTTCTGTGTCATATTTTAATCATGGACAATTGAAATGTATTCAAATGAAATTTCATTCCACTGTTTTTACCTCATGCTTTTTACATATCATAGAGTATGCCATACATAGTATCCTGTAATGTCTGACTAGAATACTGTGTTATGAACAATTATTATTTTATAGTGTCAAAATTATTTTTCTAAGAAATTGAAGTTAGAAGACAAAACATCTTGAGACTAGTAATCTTTAGAACTGATTTGAATCTTACTTTGCTCTAAATAAAGTTAGTAACAATGGATCTTTAATACTAGAAAATAATTCCTTTGCCTGATGTATTTTATTAACTTAAAAAAATCATTGAAGTTTTTTCCTTTTCACTAGGGTATACAATTATATATTTATTTGTTATTTGCATTTGTTTTAGCTGTTCAATTGACAGTGAATCAATTGTTGTATTGCATTTTTTTAAAGAATTAAAATCAACCTAAAAATTTGGAACTATGAAGAAATTAGCCAAGACTAATTTGCGTGTGATATGACTTTCATTTAGAACATATGTGTTTTGGAAGAATGCTTTGTATTTTATTTAACTTTTGCATTATTTTTCCTGGTCTATGTTTTGAGGGATATATGTGTTTCCATTACAGGAAGCCATGATACTACAATTCGATTATGGGATCTGGTGGCTGGAAAAACAAGAGTGACATTAACAAATCACAAAAAATCAGTTAGGGCTGTGGTTTTACATCCAAGACAGTAAGTGTATTTTCCTAATTAGCTTCTTGTTTTTCTTCAGTTCTTAAGATAATGCTGAAATGCTAGTGGTGTTAGCACTGCTTTTGGCAGTCATTTAGCTGCTGTCATTTCTAGGCCTGTGCCGCATAGGAACGTGTGTTTCTTTTATTTTCCTCATGCACTATTTTGCTTCATGCCCTATAAAACATGAGGAAAGCCTTCTACTTGATAACAAATAAATAATGTCAAATGAGACAGTGTAAATCATGATTAAATGCTGCATGTCAAAATAAAAGATATTAGTGGCTAGGCTTAATGTTTTGGACATAAATGATTTTGGACACTGAGACATTCATTGAATAGTTTAATTCTTAAGGAGGAAGTTAATATATGTAGAAACAGAAATAATAAGAACCGTGAACATTACAGTCAGAGTATCCAAAAAGGTGGAGCATAATATCACAACTATTGTTTGGTGTATCAGATCACTCTGACACTTTTCTGGATTCTTCCTCTCCTTCCTTTCCTCTTCTCTGTCTTCTACTCTCCATACCCTTTTCCCCCTCTCTTCTTCCTTCCTTTGCTTATCTTTCTCACTCCCATTTCGCCTCTCCTCCCTCCTGTTCTCTCTCTTCCTCTTGCCCTCTATTCCTTTTCTCTCTTTCTTCCTGTCCTGTCTTGCTCTCCCTCCCTCCAAAAGAGTTGCATAACACATTGCCCTTCATGTGAAATAGGGCTTCTGCACATTTATTGCTCTGGCTTAGTGCAGAGCATTAAGGAAATGAAAGGAGAACAAAACATTAATCTAGGACTTAAAATATACTGTTAAAAATGTGAAGGTCTGATTTAACCTTGAACAAATGTCTTAATATTTTTACATTTTGATACGACTATTTTGCTGAATATATAAATCATTGAGTACACACTGCAAAATATAACTGAAATAAACTTTTTAAAACCCACCACTTTATTTAACTTGGTTTACTTTGTCGTTAATTCTTTTTAATATTATTTCAGTTACACATTTGCATCTGGTTCTCCAGATAACATAAAGCAGTGGAAATTCCCTGATGGAAGTTTCATTCAAAATCTTTCCGGTCATAATGCTATTATTAACACATTGACGGTAAATTCTGATGGAGTGCTTGTATCTGGAGGTAAAATAAGATTTTTATAATAAATATGTTTAGTCTGTTATTTTTTCTTTTAATGATGAATAAACATTTGTAATGCTTCTAAGCTGTCACACTTAAGTATTATAGCAGCACTTGCCTGGTTAGGGCATATTTGCATGTTATTATGTGTGTTCATGCATATTCATATTACATGTAGTATATTTCATAGCTTAGTCCTCTTTGAGTTCCCATCTAATGAATCTCAGGGATTTATGCTGGGAATTGCTTAAAATTTTGTTTATTATTCTGGAATTGGATGTCAGATTTTCAGGTGCTTTTTAAGATCTATAAGTTCTGAACCCAGCCCAAATGAAAGTAGACAAACCAATATTAAGAGAAGGTGGAGTGCCTGTGTCTTATGTATTTTTATAACCGTAGTATTCCCATGCTTGGGCTAATGATGCTTCATAAATGTTTGTCAAGCTGTACTGCTGAGGGGATACCAGGTGTAACTAGATTTTTCCCTTTAAGCTGACAATGGCACCATGCATCTTTGGGACTGGAGAACTGGCTACAATTTTCAGAGAGTTCACGCAGCTGTGCAACCTGGGTCTTTGGACAGTGAATCAGGAATATTTGCTTGTGCTTTTGATCAGTCTGAAAGTCGATTACTAACAGCTGAAGCTGATAAAACCATTAAAGTATACAGAGAGGATGACACAGCCGTAAGTTCTGTGTTTCACATTCGTTAAGTAAAACAGCTATACCAATTTGGCAGCATATTCTCATTTAATTATCAGAAGGAAAAATAATCTTTATAGTATTTAAGATATCTGTCTTCTTGAATAGTGTCCATTTATATATTTCTATATTGTTTCACTGATGCCAGTGAATCCATGGATGGCTTTAATTTTATCCCAACTTCCTTTGTTATAGTTGCTGGGAAATGTTGCACCAAGAATAACAGCAAATAAATAGATTGCTATGTAAATTAATTCGAGAATCATAAGCTTTGGTGTTAGTAGAATATCCAAGTAGAAATGTTATTTTAGATGGAAAACTACAAACTAAACATAATGAATCCATCCATCTGTTATTAGACTTGGATAATGCCAGAAGTTTATCAACTCTTCCTAAAACTGTCAAAGAACTAAGTGTATAAAGCCAATGAATAATGTTAGATACCTTATTTTTGTTAGAAAGGAAGCCTATTAGACATGAAGCAAACTAATAATACTTTATTTTAACTCACTTTTCTATTTTTAGACAGAAGAAACTCATCCAGTCAGCTGGAAACCAGAAATTATCAAGAGAAAGAGATTTTAATGAATGTGGAATTTTTTCTCTCTCTTTTTTTTTCTTTTTAATTAAAAAAAAAAAAGCTTGGCGTTCATGAGGATATCCAGTCATTTTGTGCTCTGGCTGGGAATATAAAGGAGAAATTCACTTGCTTCAATCATTGCTGCTTCATATTTTACAATAAACTGTCCCCTGTCCCCTACCCCTGTGTTTTTATTTCTAAAACAATTTGTGATACTAGGAAGATGCAGATATCAAGTAAATGCAGGTTTATTGAACATAACTATTCTAGATGTAATATTTTGACAGTCTTATTAGAAAACCCCCTTTTTTAAAAAAAATGTATGAAACCGATAATTAGGACATTTGAAGGAGCAGTAGTTTTTTTTTAGTCCTTTAAAAAATAACATCTGTGACTAATAATTTGAGATTAAAAGATTTGAAGTCTTAATTTATGTATGTTTATTCCAAAAACAGTTTTTGAGTGTATGTTCTACAAAGTTCTGCACTAGATACTGTTCAGGAAATAGACAAGTAAGATGTGTCTATCCTCTAAGACTTCCAGTTTGGTAGCTTAGTATAGAAATTCTGTAACAGAGGTGCAGGTGAAATGCTGGGGGAACAGAAGGGATAAGACCATTTATTTTTCTCAGGAAGGATTGTGGAAGACTTCATAGAGTAAGTGGCATTGGAGATTACCTTGAAGTGAAGGAAGACAAAGAAGGAAAAGAGATGAGGCATAAAGTGATGAAACCAGGCACAAGAAAGTGTGCGGTGTGTTCTGGGACAAAGAATGTTCTGCTACTGTCGAATAATGGGACTAAAGCTGGCTTGTTCTGGGGAAAGCTCATATAAGTATGGATTTTATTCCTCAACTAGTAGGATACCAATACTGGTATTGAAACTTGGGGAAAATAACTGGAGATACCAGTGCAGCTATTTAAAGCTGTAGCAAGGGCTGCAATCTTGCGGAGATTTTAAAGAGAAGTTTTAAAGTTTCTAATACTGATGCCTCTTTTTGGTAAATACAAGTTTTATAAATCCTGCCCTGGGATCCTGATTCCCCATTAATCAAGATTTGTCAGACTTCACCTTCTATAATTAGAAAACACAGTTATAAGAACAGTCAATTTTTTAAATTTTCCAAATTAAAAAATTGCACCATGATTTTGAACAAGCACTTCCAATTACATTACCCATCTTGTATGCCATAGGTGGGAGTATAATTGTCACAGCCTTTAGGAATGTAGTTTTCTGGGATTTATTGAAACTTTGAACCTTTTGGCCTACTAAGTTCATTCCTAGGAAACTGCCTAATGGGAATGATCTGACAAGTGTACACAAGCAAAGTCATTGCACCTTTGTTCTTTAATACTTAAAACTAGCCCAAATGCCCTGTCAGTAAGGGACTGGTTTAATAGATGGTACCTTTATGCAATTTGTTTCTAAGTATTCGTTAAGAGAGTGAGGAATGTCTGGATTATTAGGGCAAGATTTCTAAACTTGGGTAAAAAAAAAAGTTGTGCAAGCATTTTTGTGGACAACTTGATGCTCTAAAATATAAGTAACACCACATTACTAACAGTGGCTTTGTTAGGAAGCAGAATTATGGAAGAACTTTCATGGGTGGCTTTACATATTTCTATAATGTTTTAATTTTCTATAAGCATGTATTTCGTAAACTTAAATAAAGAAAAAAGAACACTACACTTGCATTCCTGAGAGATTCTGATATGCCTTCTAACAAGAAAAATCAGAGGTGGATGCTGTTCCATCTCTAAAGGCCAAGAAGAAATTACTAGTACAAGGAGATGAGAAAGCCCCTACCGACCTGTCTGGCAAAGCTTCAACTATTGTGTTCAAGTTAGGTATACGTATCAAATTCTGAAAAGCATTAAAAAAAAATCTCTTTCCCTGCTCCATGCTGCCCTGTATTACAGTGTTCTTGAATCCTCTGTTGCATTAATTCATATACCATAATGTGTTTGTGAACCCTATGAAAGATGCAGAATTTCATGCATGTGCCCTTTTACTTACCTGACAGACATCCAACCAGGGTTAAGCTCAAATCTTTTCCACTGCCCATTCCGTACAGCTTGAGTGTAGTCAAGCTATAAAATGTTACCAAAGAAAAACAGCTCCACTGACTGGACTCATTCTTGGTCTATAACCACATATCTCAAGTGGGCCATCAATAATGACCAAATACACATTTCCATAGTTAATGCCTTCTGCCTGCTGTTACAGAGGATGAGCAATCTGCCTCACAACAATTCCCTCTGTGCAGTTGTTGCCATACACTCTTGCCCACTCAAGGACCTTGCTCCCATGATTAAACTCTTTCTCTCCTGTACCATGAATTTCTTCCCTCTGCCCTAAATGAGTGTCATCAACAAATAGGTTGCAATACTGCTTCTTAGAAAAAAAAAACACTAAACCTATTGTTTCCCTCTAGGAATACACCCATTTCTCTACTCTTACAGCCAAACTCTTAGAGTTTTTGATAAACTTATTTCTATTTCCTCACTTTACATTTTTTCAACCAATTGCAAAAAAAAAAAATAATGAAAATGTGTTAAACATTTTTCTTTTGAAAAAAGGAATTGGTAAGTTAATAAGGAAAAATAATAAATACTGATTTTTTTGGTACAAAAATAGATAAAACTAGATAAGCCAATTAAACAGAAATATAAATAATAGAAACAAAGGGAGGAGGGAAGTAATAACTAAAAGAGCTCTGTCCAATTCCATGCCATTTGCCAAACAAAATGATTAAAGAAAAAAATAGCCTATGGCTATTTCAAAAGGATACAGAAAACATAAACAAATTAATTGCCATAAAAAAATGAAGTTGTCAAAGACAGCCACCTCTACCACCACTAACACATACATCACTAAACCTGAAGAACTTCAGAATTGAATCCTAACATAATTTAAATGCACTTGAAATTTTTCCTAGGACCTTGATAAACAAGGAAATCTTTTGTGTGTTTTTAAATGTTACTATAACAAAGACACCTAAATCCAATAAAGAACAAATAAATTGTGATTTCATCTCACTTATGGATGCAAATATTATTAGGAAAGTTTAATAAAAGAATCAAGCCACATACCCAAGTGGAGATTATTCTAAGAATGCAAGGATGGTTTACTATTAATATAGCTAATTAAGTTAATTAGCTATATTGATAATTAGCTATATTGATTTAGATAAGGTAGAAAATATGAGCATCTTCATAGATGCCAAAGAAGGGTTTCTATACATAGAAAAAAGCATATGTGTGTGTGTGTGTATATATATATATATATATATATATTTTTTTTTTTTTTTTTTTTTTTTTGAGACAGAGTCTTGCTCTGTTGCCCAGGCTGGAATGCAGTGGCACAATCGTGACTCACTGTACCCTCTGCTTCCTGGGTTCCAGCGATTCTCCATGTAATTTGAAATTTATTCTTGGTTAAGAAACTTATTAACACAGCAGTAGATAGATACTTTGATTAAATACGGCTCTTCTTTCTTAACTTGGTCAGAGGAAGTTTCTCCTGAAACTTCTTTAGGAGAATTTACAAAGCTGAAAATCAGAATTCTCATGGAGAATTTCTGTCTTTCTTTCCTTGAGAATAATTTGTTAGCTAATTAACATATCAAATAGAAATATTGATACCTAAGAGTCATAAATTATAGTTTAATTTTGTAAAAACTGAAGTTTATTGGACTACTCTGCCTTAGAATGGGGGGAATGGGTGTGCTTTCCGCTTGATTTAAAATTGTGACCCTCCTATCTAAATCACATAGTACACCCTAGCTATCGCCTATTTCTGCTCTATTTTTCTCGATTATTATTTTTTATTGTTTGTTTCACCCAATAGAATGTAAGCTGCAAAATAACAGGTCTATTTTATCACCAATGTGTTGGCTGGTATTGTTTTGTTAGATAACTGAAGTCAGAAATTTTAATAATTAGGAAATTGGAAGAATCACCTTCAGTGATCTGATTTGAATTTTTAAACTTTTGTAACAAAAGCATATTATTGAATGAATTATTAAACAATGGGATTTCAGAAGTAATTTTAACAAGGTTAATTTGTACATTTATGAATTTAAAATGTAATTAATATTTAACAGCAAACTCATAGATTTGGAAGATACTATGATGTGATTAAGCTGAATTTAGAAAGTGCGGGTTACAATCTCACAGCATTTGTACTGTTCAATTTTTCAAAAAGTAAAATTTTCTTCTTTGAACAAACTGTACCCTCTACTGCTCTTTTTTTTAAGTAGCTTATGGTTAAAAGATAGTGTCAGCTGGGCATGATGGCTTGCGCCTGTAATCCCCACAATTTGGGAGACCAAGGCAGGAGGATTGCTTGGCCCCAGGAGTTCAAGACCAGACTGGGCAACATAGTGAGACCCAGTCTCTACAATTTATTTTTTAAAAAATTAGCTAAGCATGTTAGCACAAGCCTGTAGTCCCAGCTACTTGAGAGGCTGAGGTGGGAGGATCACTGGAGCCTGGGAGGTCGAGGCTTCAGTGAGCCCTGATGGAACCACTGCACTCCAGTGCAGTCAACAACAGAGTGAGACCCTGTCTCACAAACAAAGATAGTGTTTGCATTTCTAAAAAATTTAGCTCTGAAATATATAAATAATATAAGTAAATAGAGTATGCATTACATCCTTGCTTAATTTCTGTCTGAAATTCAGAAATTCAGATAAGTGAGGATGGTCTGAAGGTCAGTGGTAAAAATGTTTCACCTGTTTGGATACAAAACTGAGATTCCTATAACCTGCACTGAGTTGTTTATACCTCCTGGGGATAAACATATTTTGTCTTGTGGCTTCACCATAAACCAAATTTATTAAAGAAAAGGACTGACATGCATTTCAAGTAGTCTTTCTTTATAGCTTTCATTTGTGGTGATAAGTATCAACTGGAAATTTCTGAAAATGAAATTGAAATGACCCACCCCTGAGAAGAGCAATATTTGGTTGGCGTCTCTAACATCATACTTAAAAGACAGCCTATGAATTTCTTAAAAACTTTCAGACATTTCAGTTTGTTCATCTTCAGCACCATCCTGATGATTCTGTGATATCATGTGATCTTTTCTTCTGATCAGATGTCTGCACTTCTGGAAGAGGAGAAGGTATAGTTCAGAGCAGAATAAAACCCTGGTTTTATTCTTGGCTCTGACGCTGATTAATTGTGCAATGCGCTTGTCTACAAGTGACTTCAGTGACTGCATTTTTCTGTTCCTCAGTTTTCTCACTGGTGAAAACGAGTGATAATAGTTCTAGTCTCATCGAGTTGTTGTGCCTATTAAAGAGTAAAGTCATTGCAGGGCCTACCAAATAGTAAACACTCTACGAATATTAGCTATTATTTTGCTGGTTATGTTAATTGCCATCATGGTTGGTTACTGCTGCTGAAGTTTTTTATGGTGTCACAGGTTCTTTGCTCTCCTTTCTATCCTGAGCTGCTGAATTAGTTCTAGACTCTAGGACACCTGTCTCTCCCAAGGCCTTTGGTAAAGCGGCTCTTCATGTTTTAGGTGCAAATCAAGATGTCTCTAGACATATCCAGTTTCTGGTGAATGTCATGTTGATCATTCAAGGAGAAAATAACATAAATGCCTTGGATGGCATATCTATATATTATGCATAATTTACTGTATGTTTATTTTTAATATAATTTATATTTTATATAATCATCTTCATCTTTATATGTAACATAGATAATTGTATTATATATAACACACTTGAAATATTTGGCTTTGTTAATTGCCATTTAAAAATCTTAATGGAACCTTAATTACTTGGTTATTTATCTATATATTTCTCATGAAACAAGGATTATTTTTCCCCACTACCCAGTCCTCCCCCAGATATGTACCTGTGAATTAATTCCACATCAACTCTCTTCAAAGACCCAGCTCTGTTTTTGTTTTTTTTTTTTTTTTTTTTTTTTTAGGAAAGGGGCATATGGTAGGGTGAGTTAATTTCCAATAAGCATTCTCCTCTTTCACTTTATTTTATTTTATTTTTATTTTTTGGCAGGGGTCAGTGGGGAAGGTGTAGGGGATGCATCCACATAAAATGCTACATTTCTCAGACTTTTATTCAGTTATGTGTGGCTATGAAGGCAAGTCCTAGCCAGTGAGATTTAATCAGAAATGTTGTGTGGGACTTTCAGAAAGTTTGTTTAAAGTTGTTGACTCAGCTGGGAGATGTGGGCATTCACCCTTTCTCCTGTCAGGAAAGCAAATGTGATAGCTGGAGCATATAAATGTGACAGCTTGTCCCACCATCTTAGGACAAGAGGTGATCCTGAAAATGGAAGCCAGCATTAGGATAATGTAGCAGGGATACAGAAGCAGCCTGAGGTCATTATGAATACAGTGCTGCTATTCCAAGTCTAGACTGCTCATCTTTAGATATCAATTACATCATAGAGAAATAAACTTCTATCTTCCTTAAGCTACTGTTGTTTTGACTTTTATATTTTATAGGCAGCCACATTGTTTTTTAACAGATCCAGGGGACTTGCTTTTGAGTGCCTCCAGAAGTGGGTACATATCCATGGCAATTCAGATGGGAGCTCATCAAAGTCTCAGGGCAGGAGAGAAGGCGAAGGAATGGTGAGAAGTTGGCTTTTGTTGAATGAGCAACGGTCCATGTATAGGCAACAACGCGAGGAAGGCATTCATAGGAAAGTCACAAGAAGAAACTTGTAGCTTTTCTGCCAGGGGCATGATGATGAGCTCACAGGAATGGCAAGGGATGGTCTGTAGGTGTTGGCTGGGCTTCTTGATGTTTCCAAGGGGTGGAGCTGACTCTTGGCTGACTCTTTCTTTTTGAAGAGGTTATAAACTCTCTGCTCTGGTCTCCTTGGAGCTTCTCTTTTTGAATCTTAAAACCCTAGTTTCTACTTCAAAAATAATATTAAAATAGTTCCTTTCTCCTTAAATTCCTGCTTTAACAATCTTAATTCTCTCCCAGGCAACGTGATTGCCTCCAGCTGATGAAGGGAAGAGTCAGGAAGTGGAGGAGAGAAAAACACAAGGATTAATATGCAGGATGTTATCTCACTGCAAGTACCTCCACCATGGTGTCTTCTAACACTATGGTAAAATGACTGTTAATATGAAAAAAAATTTTTGTTTAAGCAAATCAAAATCAGTGTAGTTTCTGTTGATTAAAAAAGTACAAAAGAAAAATATCCATCAAACTTCCTAAGAAGTATTGTCCTGTACTGAGCATGCCAAATGTAAGAGAAAATTCTTAAAAGGAGAACCCATAAATACGGATGTTGCCAAAAAGCATGACATTATCATTTAGTAGATTGCTTTATGAATGAAAACAGCTATTTGAATAAAAAGTCTTGGCTGTCTACCACCCTCTTGGAAGCTGTTTGCAACGACAATTGCAATTAATAATAATTATATTATTAATTAATAATAATTGCTTCCAATACCTTTGGTGGCATTAGAAGGTACTGTTTTCCTTAGGAATTAATTGTAGGATTTTTCATTTCATTCTCACAAGGTGTGAAGGTGGAGACATATTACAGTAAATCATTTGCATTGGAGTGTGGCCAAGAGAGGGAATGTTGCAAGAGCAAAATACGATGAATGTCCATGAGAGAGTGGGAGGCCATAGTAGCTACAGGGAAGTAGGATGGAGCCAAAATAATCTCAAGTGCTTGTATGACTGGGACTATTAGTGAGGAATAAGAAACAAGACTCCCTGAGCGAGCCTGTGACTAAATGAAAGTACCAGAGTCCACTTTCACTGGGGTCAGAATGTTAGCTCTTCCTTGTCCTCTGCTGGTGTTTGAAAAATTTGATATCCATTATTAACATAGGTTCAAAATACTGAGAGAAATAGCTAAGGGATGATCCCCAGATACAATGAAAGTAACTCTGTTTTCTTTATTTCTGGGTCCTAGCTATGGCAGGTTATCTCCTATTTTAATAAGATATTAGAATTTTGCATGATTCATTCACTCATTCAACAAACACTTATTGACAGGTCACCCTTCCCTCCTTCCAGCACAGAGGCAGGTTTTTCTCTGTTTTTATTTCTCTTAGTTATTTCAGTTGGGAAACCTGTGTAACTATATGCAAAACGTATATATATGCACACATTTATTTAAAATTATTGCTGAATTTTGAAAAATCATTTATGAAAAATTATGACATAACATATATTATTATTCTAGTATACAGGAATTGTAATGTGGGCCAAACAAGTCATTCTTGATTTTCAGATGTGCCATAGTTTTAGTTTTACATTTTATTACTTTGTAACATTACAGATTTTGCCAGTTCATTTAATCAAACTTTATTAAATTGTGTAACTGTAAATGGAACTTTCTAAGTATAAGTCTATTCTAGCTAGCAAAATGTATTTTATCAAGTATAGTAACAGAAGAGTGATATACATAGGTTAGAAGTCCGTATCTATGAAAAAAATTCTTCTAAGACTTGACATAATTGTAACCTTATATTGGACTGTAAACTTAAACTTGGATGTATATATTGTCATTTACATAGTGTCATATATTCACACTAACTTGCTTGTCTGTGAACGATTAGAATGCTGAACTTTCACATTTAGACTGTTTTAAAATTGTCCACTACTGAGACTTAAATCAATTATTGATAATAAAACTGCATTATTGATTAATATGTATAAAGGACAGCTAATGTGTTAGTATTACCCTATCATTTAACTTGAACTATGGATGAAAAATGTAAGATATTCCTTTAAGTACTTTCTGTTCAACATCTTTTAAGAGAGACTTGGATTTGAGGGGGTAATAAAACATTTATTCTAGTGTAATGTCACAGATTTGCAGATAGTTCATTTTAAATCTCTGAGGTCTACACTCATTAACACTGACTTATAAAAAAGAAAGAGTTCCATTTACAAGATATTTGGTAAATGAAGAAAAGCATAAATATCACCAGCCACACTGTTCCCTACCCGCCCCCAAGCCCCAGCCACAGGGTGGAAGACATTCATGGACAGAAGCATGCTTTTCAGGGTAAATGTGACTTAGGATTCTTCCTGGATGGTGCATACGCCTCATAGTTCCCCATTCTTCCATCCTGGAGAGAGCTGGAGGAGTGGAATGGGGTGTCTGGGAATTCTCCTAACACAATGGGGCAATGTCTTCACAGCATCCCTCCCCATTTGTTGTCATGACTTGCACCTGCAGGGCGCTCACTCCACCAGCTACCGCCCACCTGTGCAGAATCCTCATTTCACTTCCCTTCATCAAAGACCCAGCTGGTGGATGGAGCGCTAACTTCTCCTGGCTTAATTTTCTTTTTCTTAAATAAGGAGACAAATTCAATAAACTGGAACATTCTTCTGGTTTGATTGTGTGGACCAATCAAAATGTGGTCTTTGATAGCTTCTGAAATGAAACATACACACTATTTTATTAAAGGCAGAAAAACAAATATAGATGAAAATATCCAAAGTCTGCTACCAACTTTACGTTTTAAAAAATCCTCAGCCCGATTTTATATAACCATAAGCAGAAATTTCAGAAATATTCTCCTCAGAGGACAAAGTGAAAAAAGTTTTTTAATGCTTCTAACCCTCTAATGAGACTTATTTTCCTTAAACGGTTGGTCTGCCCTTATGTCCTGTCCTGTAACCTGTTTTGTTTGTTTGTTGTTTTTTTACCCTCATCTTTTCTGTGATGATAAATCTGTTCTTTTTTGTCAATGTCCTTGATCTTCCCAGAGCCTGGCAGGTTCCACCCCACCCTCTCCACAGACCTCCCTCCCCTTGCCTTCAGTTCCCTCATCCTCTTCCTCCTCAAGCTGCTCTATTACCAGTAACACATTTTAAATGTGTGGTTGGCTTTTTATAGACAATGGTTAGATTTAATATGTATGATTTATGTTTGAAAAGCAAGCAAGTTGTGGAAAGACTTGGGAATCGAGATTTGTTCTCTTTCTTGGATTGAAATCAATTTTGAAGGGTAGCACATAATGCCACATGCAGCCTATGGAACTTTATATCACACTAGACTTGGTTTAGTACACATGGATCAGGATGATGCTTTCAAAGGTGACATGCTCAAGATTTTGTTCCCCTTGGGAAATTCAGGACAGTGTTTCATCTTTTTTTTCAATAATTGAGGCCTCTTGTCTGTAATATCTTATACTTTCCAAAGAATTTTCATGTATTTTTTTTTAAATTGTGGTGAAATACACATAGAATTTATCATAACCATTTTTAATTATACACATCAGTAGTGCTGTGTACATTTGCATTGTTGTGCAATCAATCCTGAGAATGCTTTTCATCTGCAAAACTGAAACTCTGCACCAATTAAACAATAAACCCCCGTTCCCCTTTCCTCGCAGCTCCAGGAAACCACCTGTTTACTTTCTGTCTTTATGAATTTGATTACTCTAGGTTCCTCATATGAGTGGAATTGCATTTATCTTTTTACAGCTAGCCTATTTCACTCAGCATGGTGTCCTCAAGGTTCATCCATGTTGTAGCCCATGTCAGAATTTCCTTTCCTTTTAAGGCTGAATAATATTCCATTTTATGTATATACCACCTTTTTATTCATCCACTCATGTGTCAATGGACACTCGGGGAGCTGCCACCTTTTGACCGTTGTGAATAATGCTGCTCTAAACATGGGTATACAAATATCTCTTTGAGATCTTACTTTCATTTTTTTGGATGTGTATCCAGAAATTGAATTGCCGGATCACATGGTAATTGTATTTTTCATTTTTTGAGGAATTGTCATATTGTTTTCCATAATGACTGCACCATTTTTGATTCCCATCAACAGTGCACAAGGGTTCCAATTTTTCCACATCCTCACCAACACTTACTTTGTTTTGTTGTTTTTCAAAAAAGGCAGGCTTACAAGATGCCTAAACTGTTTATTTCACCAGCCAGTATTTCTGATTTTCTTCCTGAGGCTGAATTTTAAAACTTTAAAAGTCTACACATACTGCATTTAGACTTTCTATATGCAGAGAAAGGGGCTGAGAGCAGAAGAGGTCAGGCCCCAGGCTGGTTTTGGGTGGGAAAAGTGGCAAAGATTCCTCTGTAACAGTCTGTGTCAGTTTTCTAACAATTGAAATGCCTTTAAGCTCTCCAACATCCACAAAATTTCCTCTAGGGCATCTATGACAGAAAAACACTCCTCTTTCATATACACAACACCAGCAGGGAGCAGAGGGAAGGGAGTTGGCAGAAAGGAGTGGACATTACACAGGCACAGGCCACATTTTTAATTCATCCAGAAAAAGGACTTCTGATTCAGTTTAATGGAAATGAGTTGTATAAAACTATAACATGTCCTGCCTCTTCCTCAAAACGAGCTGGGCTGAATTTTTGTGATTGGAAGCATTTCCCATAACGGTGAATTAAGCGCTATAAAAAATAAAATCAGTCCCATCTCTATGAGTAGCATAAGAGCTGCTTCCAGGAACCTAGGGATGCCCACATTCCATACCCCACCCAGATATGGTCAATTCCTCAGACAGCTACATGGGAAGAATAAAACCCTTTTGTCAACTTTTTTGGGGAGTGAGGGAGAGATGGTGTTCAGGGGAGATGTGGGATAGATTTTTTTTAAATCCCTCCCCCACCGTCCCACCTCCCTACCAAAACCTACACACACACACTCAAGACGAACCTGCATGCCCATTTTTAAGAAAGCTTTTCTTTCCTGTGACTACAGGATCCCAGCATCCAGCCTCCTTCAGGCTGCGAGACGATGCCAATTAATGGCACAGATCTAATGTTTCAACATACTACAGAAGGCTCCTGTGTTATCTCACAAGCTGAGGGAACAGGGGCAAAGAAGTGGACTCTCATGGGGGACTTGCTGTTTGTCTTAAGTCCAATCTACTCAGCAACGCTTTCAGGTCCAGGGGCTGGGAGAGGTTCTGTGGGCACTTGTGGCAGACGACCTGATGGTCCCAGCCCATTGTGGTAAGCAGAAAGTGATTGAGGGGGGATCAAGCAGCATCTCTCGCAAGGTCACAGTGGCCTCGGCTTCTAAACACCTCAGAAAGGCTGGAGTCCAGCACAGCCAGTGAGCCATCTTCGCTGTAAGAGGCCGGGAAGGGAACACGGTGTGAGGAAAACACCAGCCCAATGACACATTGGTCTTGTACAGCTGAGCCAAGGGCACCTCTCCCTCTCTTGGTGTCCACAAGGGAGACTGTCCCATTCCCATCACAAAGATGAAGACTTCACTTTGCTGAGGATGCCAAGCCAGTGAGGTGGGAAGGCAGCCAGAGGCACTGCAGCCCACCTGTGACGTCGGCTTGGTCAGAGAGTATCCCAGAATAAAATTCTACTGTTCTCACTGCAGGAAAGAAACACAGAGTCCTTGCGGGGAGAGGCAGCAGCACAGGTGACCTGCCCAGCATGAGATCGGTATGAATTCAGTGCCACCTGCAGAGCAAGGTCCCAATCCTTGATGCTGAAGTCTTTGCTGCCGCTGACAGCCGAGAACACTGAGGGTAGACACAGTGTCTCCATGCTCATACTTGCAGAACTTGCTGACGGTAAGTGGCTCGTTCTCATCCACCTCCCACAATTCACCAGCACTTGAATCAGAAGCCGCTGTGATACCTCTCTCCTCCCCACAAGTGAGGTCAGCCACTCCAGCCTCCATCTGGGCTCCAGCAGAGCAGAAGCCTTCTTTGGGGGTGGCACAGGGGTCCTTAAAAAGGCAGAGGGGACCGGGCGCGGTGGCTCACGCCTATAATCCCAGCACTTTGGGAGGCCGAGACGGGCGGATCACAAGGTCAGGAGGTCGACACCATCCTGGCTAACACGGTGAAACCCCGTCTCTATTAAAAACACACACAAAAAATTAGCCAGGTGGTGGCAGGCGCCTGTAGTCCCAGCTACTCGGGAGGCTGAGGCAGGAGAATGGCGTGAACCCCGGAGGCGGAGCTTGCAGTGAGCCGAGATCGCGCCACTGCACTGCAGCATGGACGACAGAGCGAGACTCCGTCTAAAAAAAAAAGTCAGAGGGAGCCGGCTCAGCAGCGACCACTGAGACTGGAGGACCCGGAGCAGAAGCCCCCATGGGACTGGTACCGCGCAGCCTCCAACTGCGTTCCAAGCAGGCCGGTGCGTTAGGGGGCGGTAGGGAAGACGGGTTTCCTTCGGCATCTCCAGGGTTCCAACTCCAACCTGGATTCTGCTCCGGTAGCAACTCCCACGTGCTGCACCTCCTGTTTGCTTTTGGTTGTTGTTGTTGTTTTCCCCTTGATAGTAGCCATCCTAGTCGGTATGAGATGGTATCTCATGGTTTTAATTTGCATTTCCCTGGTGTTTAGTAGTGCTGAGCATATTTGTATGTGCTTATTGTCCATTTGTATGTCTTCTTTGGAGAAATCTGTATTGAAGTCCTTTGTCCGTTTTTAAATCATGTTGTTTGGTTTTTTTTTAATTGTTAAGTTGTAGGAGCTCTTATCTATTCTGGATATTAAACCCTTACCAGATATATGATTTGCAAATATTTTTTTCCATCCGTTGCCATTTCATTCCGTTTATTGTGTCTTTTGATGTACAATGATTAATTTTTATGTAGTCCAATTTATCTATTTGTACTTTTGTTGCCTGTGCTTTTGGTGTCAGGTGCAAGAAATCATGGCCAAATCCAGTGTCATGAAGCTTTTCTCCGATGTTGTCTTCTAAGAGTTTTATAGTTTTAGCTCTTCAGTTTAAGTTTTTAATCCATTTTGAGTTAATTTTTGTATATGGTGTTACCTACGGGTCCAACTTTATTCTTTCGCATGGGGATATCTGGTTTTCCCAACACCATTTGTTGAAAAGACTGTCCTTTCCCCATTTACTGGTCTTGGCAGCCTTGTTGAAAATCATTTGACCACATATGGATAATTTATTTCTAGGCTTTCTATTCTGTTCCATTGGTCTATATGTCCCTTTATGCCAGTATCACACTATTTTGATTACTATATCTTTGTAATACATTTTGATACTGGGAAGTGTGAAACCTCTGAAGTTGTTCTTTTTAAGATTGTTTTGGCTATTCTGGGTCCCTTGAGATTCCACATGAGTCTTAGGATGGATTTTTTTCTGCTTAAGCAAAAACATTGGGATTTTGATAGGGATTGCATTAAATTTGTAGATCACTTTAGGTAGTATTGACATCAAAGTTCCCATTTTTGGTGATACAGGATCACTCTTGATTTCAGAATTTTTTATCCATAGTTGACGAAAAGAGATAAGGAAAACAGCCATATGTAATGAGTTTCCAGAGATGTGAATATCAAAATATCAAAGAACATTCACTCTGTGTCCTCAGTTCAGGAGTCAGGCTTCTAGTTTCCTTTCTAGAACTCATTCATCTTTTTTACCCCAGCCTGCCTTCCTTGTAACAGAACTGGATATGAACATTCCTGTAAGAGCGCTTACCAAGTTTTCACTAATTGACAGAAATTCAAAATGTGAAACATTTTAAGTACCCATGCTACTTTTTGTTCCAGAGAAAAATGACATTTAAGATGATAAGTGTCAAACAACATGCCCACTCTAAATGTAAACTCTGTCCCTTGCTTTCTACAACAGTAGGCCTTTAACTACCCCCAAGGAACTTCACATTTTCCATTTCACATTTGATTTTTATTTCTTCCTTTCAGGTTTGAAAATCTGAATCTCCTTGACAAAGCTAACTTTTAAATGTATCATTATGAGACAGCCTAATTATTTTTTAGATCCTTCATGGTCATTTATTTTTCTTAAGGGCCATTCATTTACCTGTTTCATTCACTTAGATGGAACACCCAGCATGATTTTCAAAGTCATTTTGAAATAATGGAAACCCTGCCCAGTCCTTTAAAGGAAAGAGCTTACTTTAATAGATTTTGAGGGGTATCCTAGCAACCAGTCCACAGTGAAATTTATCAATTTCTTAAAGGGAATCTGCACTAAATCCATGAAAAAGACATTTCAATTTTGGTTTCTTAGGTCCATCTTTTCTACATTGTTCCAGGGATTGGACTTGATTGGATATCTTCACTTTTGAGACTTCATTTAATGACCATTAAAAACATAGTTGATGTTCTTCCACTCAGCGTAGCTCCTTTCATGGCATTGGACTCTACCTGAAAATAGAAAGATGGATACATAGAGAAATATTTCTAAGTTGTATAAGCAGCCCAAAACTTAGTGCAAAAATCGAATATATATTTGTGCTTTTTGTTCTTATTTCTGTACATGCAAAAATACAAGGCAAAATCTTCTTGATCCCAAGAAAAGCCAGGGCTTGGAAAGCATATTCATTCATGCCAATCTTGGCTTTCCTGGGTGCTGTGAATGAGAGAAGATTTATTTGGTCGTGCTTTCAGATATTAGTCGTTTCCAAGTTGCGAATTTTTTTTTTTTGATTCTGAACCCAAATCAAAATAAAAATTTTCCCCAGATATGTAGACAAGTCAAGCATGAAATAGCATAAATGGAGTACACATTCTGCAAGTAGGATTTAAAATTGAGAAGGCTATTAAAATTAAATAGCATTAACAATTCAACTCTAGATAACCCGGGAATAATGCCTGCATAGGAAATTCATATGGGTGAGCGAGACTTATTCTCAGTCTTTTTGCTATCTTGAAAAGCAAAATGAAATTGTTCTGTGCATTGGTCTTTGGGATTTAGAATTCATGCAATGTTTACAATACATTCATTTAGTGTTTGACTAGATAGAAGTGGACATTTGTTTAAGGACATGCAGGTATAAAAAGTATACACTTGTTTTAATTAGTACTATGATAATTTAATTATAGGGAGAGAATTTTCATAATTCAGCTGGCTGACTAATGTTTCCTTGATATGTGCTGGTGAACAAATGAATAAGCATTTAGTAGCTCATATTTACACTGATAGCCTATTTCTGGCACAATACCCATTAACAGAGTTTGAATTTATGTAGAATATTTTGCCTTTTAAAATATTAGGTATTTGGCCAGGTGCGGTGGCTCACACCTGTAATCCCAGCACTCTGGGTGGCCGAGGCAGGTGGATCATTTGAGGTCAGGAGTTTGAGACCAGCCTGACTAACATGGTGAAACCCCATCTCTACTAAAAATGCAAAAAAAAAAATTACCCAGGCATGGTTGCTCATGCCTGTAGTCCCAGCTACTCAGGAGGCTGAGGCAAGAAAATTGGTTAAACCTGGGAGACAGAGGTTGCAGAGAGCCGAGATCACACCACTGTACCCCAGCCTGGGTGACCTCCGTCTCAAAAAAAAAAAAAAAGAAAGAAAAAATAGGTATTTAATAAAGATTTGTTTATTTCACCATACTAATTATTCTTTACAGTATTTTTATTTAAATGTACTCTGAATTATTTAAAATTTTATTCTTTCAGTTATTCTTTGAGCTCTTTTAATATTACTTTTGCTTTTTTCATCATGTTTGCTTATTTTTTATTTGTTGCATCTATTATTAGCTAGTTGGTTTGAAAGATTATTGTTCTTAAACGATTGATCCTTAGCTCATTGAATCCTGCTTTATTTGTTTTCCTTTATCTTTGGTTTCCTGAAAGGAGTCAGGTTATTATTAGTTTTTGTTGGCAACAAGGAAGTCTGAGACAGGGTGACAGCAGCAGCAAGGACCCACACCAGGGAGGTGGAAACTGTTGGAACCCATCCACTTCCCTGGTGTGGTCCTCCTTTGACTTCTCTCATCCCCAAGGCCGTCAGTGTTGATTCTCCAAATAATCTTAGCCAGCACCATTTAAGCATCCCCCACAGGCTAAGAAGGCTTTACAAGCCAAAATTGTCTTATTTATTCAAACAGCACGCTTGGATTCCCATCACCTTAGGCAGTCCTCAATTCACAACTCTCAGAACAGCAATTATTGACTGAATAGCTGTATGCTGACTTTATGCCCCATATTTGCTGTAAGTTGGTTGTTTGGAACTCAGGAAGCATTTTCCAGAAACATTCCCATTCTTGTGTCTGGGTTCCTAGGTCAGTTGGCAAAAGCCCAGGGAATCTGAACCAGTCTGACTCTTCCCCTTTTTTCTTTTATATATATATATAAATCCTAGCATACCGAAGTCTTTTCTGTATATATTTACAACAATCCCAAGGAATTAGCTTTTTATTGAGTAAGTTTTAAGTCACTCTTTCCAGGGTTAAATGAGGTAATGGGAGAAATAGACAGGGATGGCAAAAATGAGCGCAGAATGTGAGCTGCAGTCTCAGATGGCTGTTCCTGGAGCACATGTGACAACTGGAGAATAATTCCAGCACAGAGGACTGAGGACAGCGGAGGCAGAGATAAGCACAAACACTCGCTGGGTGAAACTGTCGAATATGTGGGGCACTTGGGATGGGAGTACAGTCACAGAGACCAATGCATTTTGGTCTGTGTTTTATCTTCAACAATGCTAAACAGATTTATGAGCACCTTACTAAAATGGCCTATGTGGGAGATCCTCAAGAGATTCCAGAGAGCAAGAGATGTCAAATGGAAATTCATGGTATAGAACTTATCATTACTAATGGTTTTACTCTCAATCTTGATGACCTCCAAACAGTTTTTCCTTAAGATCTTAAATTTCTCAATCTGCAGCTCTCTACAGCCACCATGGTGGCAGGCATTCAGCCACTGAACTGGAGAACTGAATACTGAAAGCAGCCAAGACTAGCACAGTGGTGTTGTAGTACCCTTAATTAAAAGAGAAGAACATTAAACTACATTAAAAACAAAATAGTGGGGTTTTTTTTGTTGTTCTGTTTTTTGTTTTCTTGAATGCTGGTGATTAAGGAAAGGAAAGTCTAATTAGAGCAGGATAGGGAGATTTGGAATGGGACTTGTGGCTGCTTTCAAGTGCTTTGAAAGTTGGTGGCATTGATTCCTTTTGAACTTTTTTCTTTTCAATGTTTTTATGTGTATGTCTGGATCATTGCCCTCCAGCCCTCCTGCTCTTCCCTCACCACACACACAATCTTTTAGTTTGGCTCACAAATGAAACAAAAATCGAACAATAAATGAAAAATAAGAAAGGTGGATTCCTGAGATAAACTATCAGAAAGGAAGAAAGTGAAAGGGATCAAAGGCATATTATTGAGGGGGAAGATTTCTCAAAGCAGAACTGAGAGAATAAGGAGACAGACAGAAAAGGAGATGAGAGCAAGAGAGAGAAGAAAGCTAGGGACAAAGGGAAAGAGTAAGGCAGGGAGAAAAAGAGGGAGAGAGAGGAGCAGAAATAGGAGCGCAGGAGATTCAGTGAGGATCTGATGTTGGCAATTTCAGATGGGGCAGAGAAACTTTTGATCCTTCAGTTCTTTTAGCTAGTGCTGTGGACCTACACGTGTTTGGTTTAGATCAAAGAAACCTGGAATCAGAACAGCTTAAGGACTTCGTTCTTAACTCTGGCTTCACATTAGATCCACCCAGGGAGTTTTAAAAGCCGCCTAGACCTGCCTCCCCTCCCAGAAACAGGGACAGATTGATCTGGGCTGGGACATCATATTTTTTAAAGTTCACTGGGTAGTTCTAATGCCTAGTCACGGTTGAGACCCTAGGCAGGTCTGGAGACATTGGGGCAGTATGAAACTGGCATTGTGTGCTTGTGGGATGCTGTTTGTAAGCTAGTTGTCACCCTGAGGAGCTTGTCTACATCTAAGTACTTTTAAAATACTAGCTCATCTAGCAAAAGAGGACCCACGGGGTGCTCTCCTGTGCTGAACTCTTTCTAAGGAGTATGGACTCCACAAAAGCCATGGATAACCTGAAAAAATATAGCATCTATGATAATTATCAAATAGGTTCTTCCAACCATATTATTCTTACATTATGAATTCTTTCCTTCTTTTTTTTTTCTGGACACAGAGTCTCGCTCTGTTGGCCAGGCTCCCAGGCTAGAGTGCAGTGGCGTGAACACGGCTCACTGCAGCCTCAAATACCCAGGCTCAAGCGTTTCTCCCACCTCAGCCTCCCATGTAGCTGGGACTACAGGTGTGTGCCAACATGCCCAGATAGTTTTGTTTGTTTGTTTTTTGTAGAGACAGTCTCATTATGTTACCCAGGCTGGTCTTGGACTTCTAGGCTCAAATGATCCTCCTGCCTTAGCCTCCCAAAGTGTTGAGATTACAGGCATGAGCCACCACGCCTGGCCAAAATATTTCTTTGTAAAATAACTTGTTCCTAGTCTCCTTTTTGGTGGCTCTTCTGCTGCTCAGATATACAAAGAAAGAAAGCTCTTTTGCTTTAAACTGTCAATTAACATAGGCAAATTTCTCAAACATGAAAGAATTTTGCAGTTGGTCAATAAAAAAATTACTACAGCTGGATTTTTAAAGCAGAGGCCAAGAAATTTGAAAGAAAAGATCCTTATTAGCTAGGATATTACCATCATTATTAACAACTACTCTTTAATGAGCACCTACTGTGTGCCAGGCATCGTATTAGGTGAGTTAGAGAGGAAATGTCATTTCATGCTGACTACTCCCTACCCAAGGTTTAAATGTTGTTGATGGTGATTACAAGAGCTAGTCGAACATTTAAAGGAGTTTTGTTCACATTCTCTGAGAAGTCATTGCAGTATAATGGCATCTTTGTCTGGAAGTTAGAAACCTAAGAGACCTATTCATTTCTCCAAGTTGTGGCTCTTTTATTTGTTAAATGATGTGTTCAGACTGCATGATTTTGTAAGTTTATGAAAATCATGGTAAGAATAAGTAGTTGGATAAAACTATGAGCTGTTGGGTGCAATACTGATTTATTTCTGGTGGATAGTGCTTTGCAATTTCCATTTCCATTATAAATGTCATTATTTTTGATTCTCACTCACAGCTCCCTTGTGAGGTAAGCAGGATAAGATATCACCTCACCATTTCTGGAAACAAGCCTGGAATGTTATTTTTTCCTTAAGAAATGCTACAGAAAAGGCAGTCAGTTTTTGTTTTCTTTCTTGCAGTGTGAAGCAGTGGGAAAAGTAATTGAAAGTTTCTATGATTGCTAAAACAAATATACAAAGAAATGTAAAAGCTTGACTTTTTCACTATGCATTGCAAATATTTTACAAATTTTCATTTTATAAAAGAAGAAAATCATGTGAATTGTTTCTCTCTAAAGTACTCTCCTTGAAAAGGCAGTTCAGTCTCCTAGCAACCAACACTTCTCCAAACGAGAAAAATGTCTGGAGGAAGGGAGAAACTACAATTACACAATGAATAGAGCAGAATTCTCATGAGCCTGGAAGAGATTCATAAAGGGCATCTTAGCCCATTTCCATTCTCCCAGTGTCAGCTTTGGGGATTCTCAGAAGCTCCAAACAGAGTCACCAGCAAGGTCCAATGTAGTGGCTTACCTTATGCCTAGGCCTGGTGCTGGGGCCTCTTCCCTCCCACCCCCTTGGAGCTTTGCTCTTTCTAACCTTAAAAGTAAAATCCTCTGCAGTAGTGCTGTCAAAAATGGCAGCGACTAGCCTCATGGTTTTAGGGGGAAAACCAGTATTTTCTCTTCTATACCACCACAACACTTCTGGTCACCAAAATGTGTAGAGCTTTTTCCTATGACAAGCAATTCTCCAATTCTCTGAGGACACCAACTGGATGTCCTACAATTTAACCCAATTCTGACACCATCTACCAGGAGATAGCATCTGATCCCACAGGTTAAGGACTCAGTCCCCCAAGACAGTCCCCCACTTCAGATGTCAATCACAAGTAGTGAGCCCCAGGTTGCCCATAACTTCCGTCTGACTTAGCTAATAATAACAGGTCCTCTCTGGCAAAGGCAGCTCACGGAACTCAGGAAAACAGTTTACTTACAAGATTACCAGTTTATTACAAAGAATACAATTTAGGTACAGCCAGAGGGAAGAGACACATTGGTCAAGGTATGGGAGAAGGGATGAGGAGCTTCCATGACCTCTCTGGGCCACTCTCTCTCACAGCACCTCCAGGCATTCACCAACCCAGAAGCGCTTCAAACCCCATCCTTTTGGGTTTTTATGGAAGCTTCATCTTGTGGGCGTAATTAATCAAATCGTTGAGCACTGGGATCGACTCAACCTTCAGGCCCTCTTCTCTTCCAGAGGCGGGGGGATTGGAGATCAAAGTTCCGACTCTCTAATCATGTGGTTGTATTCCCTGGCACCCATCCCCCTATTCTGAGGCTGTCCAGAGCCCCCAGACACCAGTCATCTCATTAGTGTATAGAAAGACGTGATTACTTCAGAGATTGCAAGGGTTTTAAGAGCTATGTGCCAAGAAATGGGGAAAGAAGACCAAAATATATATTTCTTATCATATCATACATGGCTATTTAAATTAAAAGATTGAAATTTTAATTACCTGAAATTAAATAAAAAAGCAGCTCCTCACTCACACCAGCCACATTTCAAGTGTTTAATAGCCACATGTGGCTAATGGTTGCTATATTGGACAGGTCAGTTTTAGAACATTTCCTTCATTCCAGAAAGTTCAATGCTGCTCCAGAGGCTGCTCTGGAGAGTGTCCACAGATCACATTTGGATAGAGAAATTTCAGGTAGAAAGGGTTTCATTGTATGAGGGGCATTGAAATTGCCTCTCTGAATTTTACTTACATCCTTAGATTTTTCTCACCATATTTACACATTAGTTTTTTTTTTCATATAGTCCTATCCAATTGAAGAAGGAATTTTGGAAATTGGTAAGTTAACATTATGAATGCAACTAAGAGTTGCAGAGGGCAAGAATGGGAGAGGACAAGAACTTTGGGACAATCATGCAATTGATGTTTTCTGTAAATTTAAATCTGAAAGTTTATGGTACTAGTAGGAGCAGCAGGTCAGTAACAATAAAATTCTACCTCAAGATAAGTTGATATGGGATAGTCTGAAAGCCTTAGACATTGTTATTTTTTATTCCATTTTTAGTTTCCATTAGTTGGCCAGCACATGAGCAAATGCTGGCATTCATGTTTGGGAATGAATACGAATTTCAAAAGATATAACAGGATTTTCTTCTGGATTTCCTAGTCTCTTTTCTTTCTACTTATACACCACGTTAATAAGCTGCTTTGATGCCCTATGCACATGAAATAACTCAGTGCCTTGGAGGATAAGATGAAGCAGAACTGGACTGCAGTGATCCTGTATTCTAAATCCATCTGGACTGAGACCTTGAGAGGACCTGGGTATTAGACAACAGTGAAACCGCCTTTGCAAAATTATGACAGCAAGAGAAATCTGACATAGTTGATTCCATCTTGCTTATAACTTCAGAGCTTTCCTCAGTCATCTCTGGGCATAGGCCAAGCTAATTTTGGAAAGAATTTAATTTATAGTTTAACCTTAAAGTAAAGATGATAATAATCCTTCCGAATACTAAACTGCCTTTGTAAAACTAAAGAAAAGCCACAAGGTTAGGACCATGAGATAGGGGCCTGAATTCTGAGAAGACATAGGTGTAATTAATAACTGACCATTGTTCTAGAGGTCACAAGGTTTGTAACTTCTCCAATTCCTCCTATAGATAACAGCACTGTTTGTAGAACCTAAGATTGGCCTTTTGAGATGTTTTTCTGAGATGTTTTTTCTGCATTTCTGATGACTGGCTGTCTCCACATGGACCCTCATGACTCAGTCAGTCCTGTGGCCCCCCTCAGAGGTAGACTCAGTGCATGGGACCATTTTCCACACACCTATGATTGCTTCTTCAACCAATCAGCAGCACCTATTCCCCAGCCCCCTGCCCACCAAACTATCTTTGAAAAACCTTAACTCCAAGACTTCAGGGAGACTGATTTAAGTAATAGCTCTGTTTCCCTCTTGGCTGGCCTCCCATGGATTAAACTCCATCTTTACTGCAATGTCATGATCTCAGTGAATTGATTTTGTCTGTGCGGTGGGCAGAAAGAACCCACTGGATGATTACATAAGGACCCATCAGTGAAATATCCAGCTCAGGCCACTACCAGCACAGATCCCCCAACTGGAGCCTTAGCTCCCACATGGCTATGGGACCAAGCAGTCAATATGTGCCTATCAAAAATGGATGATCTTACTCTGTTTTTTTTTTTTAATTTTTGAGACAGGGTCTCCCTCTGTTGCCCAGGCTGGACTGCAGTGGTACAATCACAGCTCACAGCAGCCTCAGTGTCCTGGGCTCAAGTGATCCTGCTACCTCAGCCCCCTGAGTAGCTGGACTACAGGCATGTGTCACCACACCCAGCTAATTTTTGTATTTTTTTTTTTTTTTTTGGTAGAGATAGAGTTTCACTATGTTTCCTAGGAGGCTGGTCTTGAACTCCTGGGCTCAAGCAATCCTCCTGCCTCAGCCACTCAAAGTGATTACAGGCGTGAGCCATCACACCCAGCCTGGATGCTGTCACAAAGTAGTTCTAAGTTGATATTTCTTCTTCCATAAAATGAAAATTATTTCTTAAGAAAATATTTTTACAGATAAGTCTCTGGAAGACTTAATTTTAGAAAATATATGTCAGCTTGAGAGGTGAGAATAGAGCAAAACCAAGAGATACCTGAGAATTTGACTTAATGTATAAAAGTGTGGCTTCCTAGGAAATGGCCAAATGTAAGGCTCTGTGATCTCTTGTACCCGCAGGGTGCTGGACAAGACATGATTGAACAGCAATGCTGACAGGGAGGATGTTTACTGACATGCTCAGGGAGTGATATAGCACCCACATTCCTGCCCAAGGGGAATCAATTCCAAATGAGAATCCAAGCCAGAATTGATCCACAGCACTAGTGAAGGTTTAAAACATTGCTCTTTCCATGTGGCTGCAAAATACAGACAGCAGATCATGGCAGAGAAAAAACAGATGCACAGAGTTGGTTGAGTGTCTAAAGGTTTCAGGGTCATGATCTTGTTTCCTTAATAACTAGAGCCAGCAGCCAGCAATCCAGAGCACAGGGAAGCAAGCAAAAAACACCTTCCTGGAAATCAATGAATAGATCATAATAAAAGGGGAAGCATTTTAAACATTCATTAGACTCAGATTGGTAACTTCCTTTATTTTTATGCTAATCAAACTGCAAGCCCTATTTTGGCCCAGTGGTAGAAAAACAACCTTGCCAGTTCAACAAAACTCAGTCGCTTCTGGTTTGAAATACAGTCAGGTCAGAATTTAAACTTACGAAAATATTTCTGGGGCCCTCATCCTTCACACACACACCTAGACATCCAAGCATGTTCTTCCTTATGTCTGAAATCTGAGAAGCAGCTATTTTTCTCTACTGTTTATGGTATCACACTGTCCACTCTGAAACCGCTCTCCTAGAGCGCTATACAGGAATTGGGGCACGGGTTTTCCATACTTTTGAATACTCAAAACAAACTTGGGGGTTCAATATTGCCTCTTTCTGGGGGTAGATGCTGGGGATGAGGTATGGGATGGGGAGGGGCAGCGAGTCACCATTTTGTTGGTGTCTAAATGCCTTTGCTCTCTCCTTTCTTTTCCATCCTCCCTCCAGCCCTCCAGGGACGGCTGCTGTCTGTCCTCCGTGTAGAGGGAAACTGTTCACACACGTGTGCATTCTTACTCTCCCTGTGACTTACTGCATGCCCAAAGCCTCCAGTGCTCCACTCTCTAGCTCTTTGGAAACACAACTCTTTGTCTCTCTTAACAAAGCCAGCCTCCTGCAAATGAATGCCTTGCTTTCTAGTTTGTTATTTATGTTAGAGAGGGACAGAAATTAATTTAGCACTTTAATTGATGTCTTTGTTGTAGGTTTTACCCACCTTCCTCCTGGGAACAATGAATGCCTTTGATTAATTGGGTGCCGATCACAGAGGCTACTAGAAAATACTAGAATCACAGGGAATAAAGAAAACACATTAGTTACAAGGTCAAATATAATGCTATAATGATGATAATGGTGATAACCATCATATGTTGAGCTTTTATTATTTGCCATGCACTGTTGTGAGATCTTCCTTTGTCTCATGTAATCCTCAGACCAATTCTGTGAAGTAGGCACTGCTCCCATCATACTTTTTTTATTTTCCTGAGATGGGTCTCACTCTGTCACCTAGGCTGTAGTGCAGTTGTGCGATTATGGCTCACTGCAGTCATGGCCCTCCTGGTTCAGTGATCCTCCCCACCTCAGCCTCCTGAGTAGCTGGGACTACAGGTGGGCACACACATATCTGGCTAATTAAAAAACAATATATATATTTTTTGTAGCGACAGGGTCTCACTTTGTTGACCAGGCTGGTCTCAAACTCCTGACCTCATGTGGTCCTCCCGCCTTGGCTGGCATTCCAGGTGTGAGCTACCATGCCTGGCATCCCATCCTACTTTACAGATGAAGAAATCCCCAGTCTTAGGAAGGAGAGCACATGTGACCAGGATTGTCCAGCTGGGAACTAGAGGAGAAGGGATGTGAACCTCTGCAGTCTGACTCTGGGGCCCTTGTTCAGAATCACCCACCATATTCCTTCCTCCCTGAGTGTCATGAACATCCCCCAAACTGCAGAAGAACTAAAACAATTATCAGAGCACTTCCACCATATTGTGTTAACTATATACTGTTTCACACTTTCAAAGGAAGATCACTTCCATAATAAAATTCTACCAGAACATTCAAAAAGAAAAAGCTCTTCAGTTGATCTTGCCCATATGAGGGCAAATGATGTTACGTTGCCCTTAGAAGAAAAAAAAAAAACAAAAAAAACCAAGCAAACCAGTGATGGAGATAGCCCAAAAAATAAAATTACAATGCTCCAGAGGCCATATTTGACTTGGAGATGTGTTTGCCTGACCAGCACGAATTCTCAAGGTATCTGTATTATTAGGAGGGGCACGCACTCCTGGTTTCATTTACTCCCTGCTGTCTTAACCTTGGCTCATTCACACATTTATGTTACTCACTGGCTCCTGAAGAGAGTTGAATTGCCATTAATTAAATCATCTGTGATTGTAGGTATAAATGCAATGTATTAGATCCTTGTCATTTGCATATCTACTTTTTGAAGTGTGTGACCTGTAGCTCTTTTAAATTTTATTAGTACAAGTTTTAAATCCTGCCCAACATGTCACACAGGGCCACAAATAAGTGAGCCTGAAACCACCAGAACTCACATCTCCAAGTTTTGTTCTGCAAAACTTGGATTTTTCTATGTATTAGGGGTAAAATAATGAACTATCAAGATAGCCATAAATGTGGATATGTATAAATGTCCTGCTGTGTGCTAGTAAGTATAAAATAATCACCTATCACAGCCATGCAAGGCTTAATCTAGAAAATATTCAGAAGCAAGGCCACCAGAAATCAACACAATGAAAACACCAAGAGTGGCTCCAAGAAACAAAGTATGTTACAACTTAAAAAGACAGCCCAAAAAATCAGTCTGGGATGTTTTATGTAGCAAGAAACAGCTTCAAATACCTAAGCAGGCCCTGGGGGCATTGGGGAGTGGAAGAATCAGATATCCTTAATTACATCAAAGATTCATGGCGGATACTTCAAGTTCAGCATATTTTATTTAAAAGGCAGAATGTGAGTAATACATTAAAATATATACACCAAGAATGTACTCTAAGTCATAAAGGATATTTTCATGTGAAATGGGGCCAAATATAATTATCTGAAAATTTTGCCCAACTCCCTTGACAATACTGTTAGATAGTTTATTAAATCTGCATATCAGTTTTGTAAAAAAAAAAAATTTAAAAATAAGACAAAATGCCTCTCTATCCATATGGTCTTTGCGAACTGTCTGCCTGTGGGAGATTTGTTATGTGTGAGAATGAAAGTGCAAGAAGGATCCAATGTGTGAGAATGGAGTGCCTTTCCTGTAGTTTTAGGGAGAGAACTGTACCCAACATGGGGCCACCTACTAAACAACCCTTGGTGTGTGCTTGGTGCATGACTGGAATGCTGTACAAGACCTATACTATTTCCCAATTTTGTTTAAAAAAAGTTGAATTTTTTGCAGGTAAACCAGAAACATTTGGGTACTCCAGTGAAGTGATATTGAACCATGATCGTGCATATGTTAGGGCAGGGCAAGCCATCTGACCATGTGTTATCGCACACTGCTAAAAGCAGACAGCTGGAATGATCAAATCCATGTTACAGAGCCCAGACAACATCTCCTATTGTCCACAGGATGGACATAGGAGATTGTCCAATATCTCCATACAAAGAAATTCTTCCAGGGAATAATTTCCCAAAAGCAGGCAGAAAATGAAAGCCCTTCCATCTGAATGATATTAATTAGCTGCTCTCTCCACCATGCCTGGTCTACTGTTTACATGTGATCAAGAATGTGGGAGATGGCTAATTATTAGCACAAAAAAAAAGAAATATGGAAATTAGAGAAGGCAAAGAATGGCAAGTTGGTTAGTCATTTGAATTTTAGAGCTGTTCTGGGGGCTGGGAGTCTCAAGGTGCTATTTAAATTCAAAGACCATTTGGAAGCTTTTTTCAATATTCAAGTTATGTGAGTTTCAATATTTATGCTGAAGTTAATATTAGAAAGACTACTCTATCTTGCCTGTGGAAAAAAACAATGAAAAGGGGTTATTTACATGGTTTACCAGTCAAGGCAGTTAAGAGCTTGCCACCTTATCCTGAGTTTGTGCAGAAGCTGTGCTGGGAATTTTATCCGGATG
This sequence comes from Homo sapiens, assembly GCF_000001405.40. NCBI lineage: Eukaryota > Metazoa > Chordata > Mammalia > Primates > Hominidae > Homo > Homo sapiens. Next base: position 154,509,093 of record NC_000004.12, on the reverse strand, counting down.
GCAAATGGCTGAACATGGAAAATTAACATTTCAGATGAATATCTTGTGCTCAGAATTGAAAACCCATCAGGACATGCAGGCTCTGGGCCCCAAAGCCCCTCATCTGGATAGAGCATCATTGACCACCTGGAGCTAAGCCATCTTTACCTCTCTGCCTTTGCAATCTCCTACTTATATGTTTCCTCCTTCTTGTTTGCTTATTTCGGCTTTCAACTCTACTGGGCAAAAAATACTTGTTTTTTGTCCAGGTCTCAGTAGTCATGAAAATCTCAAGGTTTGACTGCACCACAGTTGGGGGTGTTTAATTAAGGCTAGACACCATCCCAGAATTTCTGTGCCCACCAGACTTGCATTGTGATATTCCAGCAAGTCAAAAGGAGCAGACAACTTAGCTAAGTGGAACTGATATACGTGGAACATGGGCAGAGTGAAAGGAAAAGAAACACATGGATTTCTTCTGGCATTTGCCAATTGGCTAGTCATAATCTTCACTGTGACCAAAGTAGGTCTCTTTATCTTGAAAACTTAACTTTTTTAAATGGCAAAGTTCCTTAAGGAGCCTAAGAAGGATACCTTGCATTTAAGGAGACAATGTTAATTTGTTTCAAAATCTCAAGTGCTCGAGATGATGACAAGATCAATGCCATGATTTCATTCTGAAAATTATTTTCTGTTTATTGCCCTGAGTGTGAATTACAGTGTGAGGCTGCCCAGCCCTGCACTTGCCCTGAATTCTGTTCTGTGTCACAGAACCTGCTTCATCTTCTTCCTTGCGAACACAGCTTGCTATAGCCTCGACCTCCTGGGCTCAAGCAATCCTCCTACCTCAGCCTCCTGAGTAACTAGGACCACAGGGATGCTCTACCATGACTTGCTAATTTTTTATTTGTACTTTCAGTAGAGATGGGATCTCCGTATATTGCCAGGCTGGTCTCAAACTCCTAGGCTCAAGTGATCCTCCTGACTGAGCCTCCCAAAGTGCTGGGATTATAGGCGTGAGCCAGCATGTCAGGCCTACTTCACTTTCTTACAACCCAAAAGCTGCAAACATTTTCTAGGATCAGTGATTTTTAAATTCACACCTGTCTAGCCTTGCTTCACCTTGTCCATTTTCCTTCTTTACTATAATAATGATGGGGGAAGAGGACTGCTTAAAAAAGAAATGCAAAGAGAGCAGCTAAGCCAAGAAGTAAATCATGAAGTTTGCTGTTTGGTCAGTCGGCCAATCGTTTCTGTGATGAATCTACTTAGACATAATTTCCAATATGGATTTATTTATAGGGCATGAACTGGTAATTAGTTATTGACTCTGAAAAACAAATTATTTACAAAGCATATATTCTATGATGTCTCATGATACAAATGAGTTTTGGAATGACCAATGACTTTTCAAAGCAGCTTATTCTCTACCTGTGTACAAAAGTCTCCAGTGGCTACTATGCTGCTTATGAGAAATCCAGTTCTAAGTCATTTGAAAACAATCATTCTGAGAACAAACCTTAAAAAATAAGCTAGTCTATGTGATGAAATAATAGTTAAGAATAGAGCCAAAGAGAGGAAGAAGGCTGGGTGTTGTGGCTCTTGCCTGTAATCCCAGCACTTTGGGAGGCCGAGGTGCATGGATCACTTGAGCTCAGGAATTTGAGCCAGCGTGGGCACCTGTTTTTACAAAAAATCAAAATATTAGCCAGGTGCGGAGGCTGAGGCCTGAGAATTGTTTGAGCCTGGGAGATTGAGGCTACAGTGAGTCATGATCACACCACTACACTTCAGTCTGGGTGACAGAGTAAGATCCTGTCTCAAGAAAGAGAGAGAGACAGAGAGAGAGAAAGGAAGAACTGGATGAACCTGTTTTTGCAAAGCAGTATCAAAAGGGGTTTGAATGAATATGTTTTACATTTCCTTTCAGCCTCACCCATCTTTGCAATGCCCTGAGTTGCCCTGAACCTATTTATTGTTGGTATGCCACTAGACATAGGTCACTTCGCCTCTCTACACCTCCATTATTCTTTTATTCAAACCCACCTTAAATAGCTCAAGAGTATAGAATATGTCAATGTTTCAAGATGGACTTGACATTTCAAAATAAAATGACTGCTTTCAAAAATATTAGAAACATTTTTCTCCACTCTTAAAATCGTCATCGTATCTGCTGTTCATTTGTTTATTCATTAATTCTCTCAATAAGCAGCTCTTGAGGACTTCTTACACGCCCTGTTTTGGGTTTGTATTGTCAAATAGCATCAACTCACTGCTGTCCTAATACAGTTGACAGCTATGGTCTGGAGCACATACCTCCTAAAAGTAAAAGGCTTAAAAAAGTTCTCTGGGCTTCAAAGGACCTGAACCTGAAGATGGCTTAAATAAGTGGGTCCTTCAGTATCTTTAAATAATCTGGGGGAGGGAAACCAACAAAACTCTACAAAAGAGAGTCACTAAGAGTAGACCCTAAAGGTAGAGTTTTGTAATTTTGAGTTTCTAGCAGTAATCAAGTGGTTGTTAGTTTTAAGGCCTGGAAAGAGGGACTGGTCAGGGAATCTCTCCAGTTCTGAGCTCCTCTGTTTATAAACATGTTTATAAAGGGAGGACCACTTGGCTTTTCACCTACTCTGTGATCACAAGGTGGCAGTATTTCTGAACTTTGCTGCTGTTATTTCACGTAAAATGGAATTGGGCAGAATTGCTGCAGGGAAGCCAGAATAAATTTAGAAGAACCTTAGCATGTGAAATAAAACCAACCCGCAAATAAAAATAAACTGATTATTTTCCACATTTTATTACTTTGCATTTTTGGAGGCATAAGTCCATGCCTAGGAGTTGAAGGCATTTGAAAGGCTACAATTTAGTGACATCTTCTCAAACTCTCACATAATGAGAGCTGGCTAAGGCCTGGGGAGGACAGGAGGGTGATGAGCCTGGGAAATGAGCCGAGGTCTGATCACAAAGGACATTGCATGCAGGAATAAGGAGATATGACTCTAGTCCTTAATGGGAGAGCCACTGAAGGGTTTTAAAACAAGAGGGGAAGGTAGTGGAGATAATCGGATTGTCTCTTTGGAAAGATAACTATGGAAGTATTTAGTAGTTTGTCAGTGGAGGGATGGAACATGTTTAGGTATTGGAGGTAGGCTGGCTTGTCAAAAAGCAATTCCAATCATTTAAACAAGACCTGATTATCCAGATTCAAGAAATGGTGGAGAGATGGAGAAAAAATTTAAATCAAAAATATAGTCCACTGGACTCAGTGAAAGAAAGGAAGTTTAGGAGAGAAAGTGGTATATTGGGGCTGGTATTTAACAGTTGTTAAATATACCAGCCCCCAAAAATACCAGCCCCAATATACCAATGGGTCCTGTTAAGTATCAGTTGGAAAAGATTCGTCATCCATTGAGAATGAGGAATTCACATTTGAGGGAGAAAGAGGCTATGTGTTCTTAAAGTCATAGATTTGAGTATCGTTGGGGTCTAGGTAGGAAGCTGAAGCTGAAGCTAAGAGAGTGGGAAAATGAGGGGGTGTCAATAGTGGGGACACCCCATCTCTTAGCAACATACCTTAACATCTTTGGCGCCTGGTCCTTCTGAGGCAGCATCCCTTCAAATGATTTCCCCCCAAATGATAATCACCATGGCATAGCAATATTCTTCTATATGGCAACTAATATTTTCTGAAACATGTAAATATTGAATACATGCATCTTACAATTGCCTTTATGTAAGCTGTGTATATGGGCATCTTGATTAAAATTTCCCATTTGTAATGATCTGGAAACGTGTAATCCAAATAAAAGAGATGTGTTTGTCATGCAAAGGCAGTTTTAAGGCAAAATCTGTCCCCCGCAAGCCCAGCCCCCTATAACCTTACCTTGGCTTTTACCCAGTTGCTAAGTTTAAAGCTGTCCCTGGACAAGAAAAGGAGAAGAGAAGAAATCCACAAGAAGTTGTCAGTCCTACCTGTTTATCAGTGGCTCTTAAAACAAAAACCAAACAGGCCAGGCACAGTGGCTCATGCCTGTAATCCTTGTACTTTGGGAGGCTGAGCTGGGAGGATTGCTTGAGCTCAAGAGTTTGAGACCAGCCTGGGCAACATAGCGAGATTTTATCTCTACTAAAAAGATAAAAATAAAAAAAATTAGATGGGCATGGCAGATCATGCCTGTAGACCCAGCTATTGGGAGGCTGAGGTGGGAGAATCACTTAAGCCCAGCAGGTCAAGGCTGCAATGAGCCATGATTGTGCCACTGCACTCCAGCCTGGGTGAAGTGACAGAGCAAGACTCTGCCTTGAAATACACACACACCCACACACACATACACACTTGGGTCTTGTCTATGGAGATTTTGATCCAGCAGGTCTGAGGAATGAAAACCAAGAGAGAATGGTTTTGTGTAAGCCACAGGAGAAGGATTTAAAAGAGAGACTGGGAAACCTTGCCTAATGCAGCAGAGATGCTAACTATGAGACAGACCGAACAGTACCCTAAATATCCCTAAACCCATGAGGTCCTTAGAGGGGCTGCCATTGGGGTGTGAAGGACCAGATCATTTGCTGAAGTGAATTTATAACAGTGGTGAAGGAGGTTCTTATAACTCAAGGAAAGGAATTTGTTGACTAAAGGTTTGTTGAACAGCAGTGGGGACCCAATTGGGATTGGAACCTATAGATTTAAAATGATATCAGTTTGCATGAATTCATAAATTCAGTCAATGCTTTTGTAGGCACTGAGGACAGAGAAGTGAATAAAATTCACCAGAATCACACATTTTAGAGAGAAGGCGGACAATAAACAGGTAACTCAACAAAGATGTTCATTTTAGAAAGTGATAAGTGCTGCTGCAGGAAACAAACAGCAGCGGCGAGACACAGACAGGAGCAGGTAGCATCTCAAGGAAGGCCAAACAAAAGGAAACACTTGTTTGGATTAATCCAAAAGGATGTGGGGAAGGAGGAGGCTGTGGAAGGGGACGACGCCTTGGAAGGACTGGGTGCGAAGGATATTAAGGTATGTTGCTAAGAGACGGTTGAAGCAATGAACTGTGTTAGCCAGATTGGATATGAATGAAAGCGAAGCTGTCTTCTAAGTTCCATAAGTCTTTATTCCCACAGCATTATTTGTCTTGTAATGTAATTAATTTTTGTTACCTACTTCCTTACTAAATCCTGGGTTCTTCCAGGGAAGGGACCTTCTCCACCAGATTCTTCCTTGAATTCCTAATACAAATACTTCATAGGTCAGGATGGTTTCCTTCTAAAATCCCAACTGAAAATATTTGGCACTCACTCCCCCTTGTGGTAGTCTAATATACCCCAAATGATCTTCCTCTTGTGTAGGTCCTCCACAACCCCAGGTAACTTGTTTGTCCAGACAAATGAAGAGTAATGTTAGAGAAAATCCTTAAAGATAACAGAACGAATTCAATGGTTTAAACTGCTTATCTTGATTTGATTTAAAGATTTCTGGGAGAAAACCAAGAGATCAGGAATGGATGTATTATTTGGAAGCTCTTTGCAAGAAGCCGGGAAAACAATTTTTATCCGAATTTGAAGAAAAAGGGGTTAAGATGATTTATTATGCAGTAAAGTGTTTATTCAATAATATAGAAGATAATTATGTCTTTGTCTACCCTGAGACGTTCTTCTTCTTGTTTTATGTTTCTGCTGCAAGCTCAGCCCACATGAGGAAGCTTATATGCATTTAGATACTTTACCTTGGGAACAGTTTTGTAGTTTGATTGTCAAGCTCTCTAGAATTAATAAAAAGATTTTCAGACTTTATTTTTACTTAGTCGTTCTGTTAAAGTGTCTTTTATTTCAAAAATCATTCATCATAAGTTAAAAATAGTTATCTCTAAAGAAAAAACTGTAAAATGTAATAAAATTTAACTACATTCTGTATCTATCTTTAACTGCTGTATCTTTAATGGCTCTGTCAATCAAATAATCCAAGGATTGGATATTACATATGCTCAAATTAACTAGATTGGGGCATCTAGGATCTTATGTGTTTAAATCATGGCACTGGACTATGCTGGAACTTCATTCCAAATTGGCAATGAAAACTCCCTCTGACAATGTGCCCTTAATGTTCCAGCTGCTCATAATTTCTCTCAATTTCATAAATCAACACCCTATTTCCCTTTAGGGCCACTAAATCTAAATACAGATATTAAAATTTTTCTTCAAAATCCTTATTTGGAATTCTGAATGCATTTCTTTCATAAGGAGTATTTGATTGAACCAGCCTAAGTTCTGGTTCTAGACAGATTGGGCAGGTGAGTTTTTTTAATCTCTCTTGTATCCAACATCTACTTTCCAGCATCCTTATTTTTGTATCTATCATAAGAGACCGTGTTCTCTCACACAAAAGAACACTTTTCAACAGAATTAATACGATTTAAAAACAAAGTTACAGAGTAGTTTTGTGATATTGTCAAAAGGCTTCTAAAATAGTGTGAGTTACACATCCCAGCTTAATGTTGTAATGCCTTGAATTGTGATCCTGTCTTAATTCTAAATGAAGCAATGTGAGCTCTTCTTCTTCTTCTTAATTTTTTTAATCTTTAATTTTTAAAAATCAATGTAGCAGGAGGCACTCATTTACATTACAGTTTATTGATGTTATATTTTAGTGGCAAGAACAAAGTCATGTTGATATATGGCAATTTAAAATAATTGCTCTTCTCAGAAGGAAAATTAGTTGGCCTGGTGGATCAGCCTATTTCGGCAATCTGTCTCCGTATGTCATCTCGCTGCTCTCCGCACCACCTGCTTGAGTTCCCATCAGGGACACAGACCGATGAGATCACTGCAGCAAGCTATAGATCTTGGGCAAGTTAACCGGTCTGGTTTTGCTTGGTAATGAGGAGAGTGTCTCTGGAAAAATAGGAAATTGGAATCTGTCACCTCTCAGCAAACTGATGAGTGATTGCTATTGTTTTGCATCTCTGAAGGGTTAGCACAATTTATTAGCTATTCTTCAGCCCTGAGAGTTTAGCATCACTTTTATTTTACAGGCAAGAATCTGACAAGTGTGTTGTGCAGCATAATTGTTAAAAACAAAGTGAAAGTGAGCAGTTTCTCTGTGAGTCTTAGGACACTAGCTTCACCTGCCTTCAGCAATATTAGTGATGAGAAGGGGAGGACAATTTCAAGATGATATTGGCTACAGCATAAATCAAAACACTCTCTGGAAGTGACTCAAAATGCTTTATCCCTTAGGAGTGATTCTAGTTCCCCAACTCCTGAAATCAAAATTCAGAAACACCAATGAACAATGTGACAAAAAAGGTATGGCAAAAATTTCAATAATTTGATTTTCATTAGAAAGACATGTTTGGTGTTTAGAACTAATAATTGAAGACCAAAACGGAATCAGAATTATTTTAGTAAAACCATTTTTTTAAATTAAACAAACTTGCTGGAGAGAAGGTTTCAAGTTATTAGTCATTGCTTTATTTTATTAAAAAAACTTTAGATAAAGTAATATTTCTTTTGATGAAAAACTATAAATTATAGACTTAGAAAGACCTTAAAGGTATTGAGTTCCAAGCTATCATTTTGTTTGAAGTTACTAGGTAGTAATGAATAGCTGTTACTACTACAACCCAAAGAAAATACCTACCTTCTTGATAATAGTCCTACTGAAGCTATGTTTTTAAACTCCAAGTCATGACCACTTAGTTGATCCTGACTAGCATTTTAAAAATGAAAAATAAATAAATGATCCTGACTAGCATTTTAAAAATGAAAAATAAGTAAATGAACGAACATCAGTGAAAAATAACAAGAAGAATTAGGAAATATCAGAATATAGCTCACATTGCAAGGGTAAGTAAGATGTCATGAAAATACTGTTTTAATTACATTGTATATGTGTATATGTGGCCTATGATATAAAATATATTATTTAAGGTGGGTCAGAAAAGTTTGGAAACCACCACATTTCCATTTGAGTATGAGGAGATGAAAAGAAACAGATTCTTTGTGTACACACTAGCAGGTTCCCACCTCTGGAGCCACTGACTCCCATTGAATAGATTTCATGGCCCATTATACAGCACTTAGATTTGTTTCCACAGTCGGGATTTATTTCTCTCCACAGTACAACCAGAACCCCATTTTCTGGCTGTTGGGTCAAGCCCTTTGATTTAAACAGAACCTTTGTGTCCTTGACTCTCTTTCCCAAAGACTCTAGTCTCTCCCTCTGATAAATTATGGCTAACTCAATATTATCCCCAAATCACAGCTAGTTAAAGTTTTAACAATCATGATTGTTATATCTTTAGCCTTTTAAACATGAGTGTTGTTTTGTGACAGGTTTTTTTCTAAAAAACATTTTTACAAAGACATAACTTCAAATAATGCATTTAAATCAAAGAAAAACTTCATCTTGACACTGTTGAGAGACACTTTCTATGAAAGGAATCTGCTCAAATTTCCAGCAGGAATTGATCTCTTGAGATACTGTTGGCTGGAGGCAAAAACTGATGCTGTGATAATTTCTGTCTTCTTTTCATTGAGAACGTAAATGTTCATGTTTGAGAGGGAACAATGGCACTGGGAATGTGAATATTTACTTCAGAGAATTCAGGGAAGAGGAAAAACTGGTCTCGGCACTGCCAAGGGGTGTATTAGTTTCCTGTGGCTGCTGTAACAAATTATCACAAATTTAGTGGCTTAAAACAACACAAATGTATTATCTTACAGTTGTGTAGGTTAGAAATCCCACACAGGTCTCACTGGGCCAAAATCAAGGTGTTGTCAGAACTGTGTTCCTTCTGGATGCTCTGGGGAGAATCCAATTCCTTGCCTTTGCCAGCTTTGAGAGACTGCCTGAGTTCTTTGGCTCATGGCTCCTTCACTCCAACCTTTTGTCCCATCTCCTCCTCCGACTCTGACTTTCCTTCCTCCCCTTTTCCCTTCTAAGGCCCCCTGGGATTACATTGGGTCCACCTAGACAATCTCCACATCTCAAACTCCTTAACTTAATCACATCTGCAAAGTCCCTTTTGTCAAGTAATGTATTTACAGGTTCAGTGGATTATGACGAAGACATCTTTGTGGGCGTAGGGAAGGAGGAATTATTCTGCCTACCACAGGGGACTATGGAGATTAGGTCTAGAATAATCCTTCAAGTTCCCTTGATTTGTGAACATGGCTTTTCTGCTGGTGATATTCTTGCAGAAGGAGAGCTGAGTTCCTGGAATCATTCACTCTGGGCACCTGCAAAGTTCAAGGATTGGCAGCTGTGGCCACTCTGCAGCCGTTTACAGCTCTGCCTTTTTCCTCTTGGGCCACACAATGCACTTGCTCAAAAATGAACGATTACATCTCTGATTACTGGTGTTTGCTTCCCAGCATTTAACATTCATCTGTGCCCCCTGAAGGGCTTTACAATTTGAGCTTTAAAGCATCTCTTCTAAACTACATTTTTTATGGCCATTTTTAAGCTTCTCCGTTATGCCTGGATAAGAGACCAGGGCTTAACAGAAGGAAGAACAGTGAATAAAGCCCACAGGTGAAACAGGGCAGACTGGGGATGAAAATGCATGAGAAGAGAGGCTGGAGGCCTTCAAAAAGGATTTTCAAGATAAAGCACACAGCAAAAACGTGGAAGCTACGTTTATTTAAAAAAAAAAAATACAGGGTCGGGGATAAAAGTCCGTGAAGTCAGAGAAAAAAATTATACATATACATTTGCAAACACAGGAAGCTGTGTTTGAAGAGAAGCTCCTGCACATGCAGTAATGCTACTGCAGATACCCTGGAGGTCAGCTTGATGGCTAAAACACTCAATGTGCAGTGGTCAGAATGGACATTGTTGACCAGGGGATTTAGGGTTGCTTTCCTGAAAGATTACTGTTTATTAATTGAATGCATCCTTTGAGGCTAGAAGCTTCTGCAATATCTTTCCTCCATTTTTCTTTCTCTCCTTTTTTTTTTTTTTTTTTTTTGCACTGAGATACAAAGAGTTATGGGAAATAAGGAATTGGCAGTCAACAGAGGAAAGATGAGGAGAACCTGAATTCATGAAGCTGTTTCCACCATAACCTCTCCTGATTTCTGGAGCAAGTAATTGGGTAAAAGAAATTCTCCCAAGGCCTCAGGATTCTAGAACCCTCAGATGTGAAGTCTGTGATTTCTCAAAACACAGGTTCTCTCCTCAGGTTGATTTTGGATAGCAAACTAAAAACACCTTTAAAGGGATTAAGCACTGACTCACTCCTTATAAATTATGTTAACAATAAGAAACCTCTGTATGATTTAAAGTAGGTAAATCTTAAGTATAAATGATTACTTAATTCATTGGAAATATCTGCCTAATTTTCAGATTAATTTCAGGGCCAACAGTGGGTTTTTTTAAAATAATGGATTGATGAAAAGTTATTTGGAAAATGTAGTGAAAATGTGTCCTTTTGACACAAAAGAAGTTTATGCCAATAAAGGAAAAGATGGGAATATGTGGAAAGTGTACATTGTGATGATAGAGATATAGGATTTTTCCTAATTCACGTATGTTCAGAAAGTCCTGGAACTTTCCTGTTATGATTATGCTACTATATTGTTGATTGTATACTAAAGGAAAACAAGATTGACTTATCAATTTTGCATTTCATTTTACATATATTCGCTGCTCGACCTAAAGAATCTGGATGGACATGCTCAGATCTTGGTGATCCAAGCAACCCTAATCAAAGAGCAGCACTGCCAAACCCACATATGTTCCAGGAGAGAAATAACTGAGATAGTAACAGAGCCCAAAAACCTGTGCCATAAGTTTTCTTACCAAATATCTGTGTATTGGAGTTTCTCATAGATAATATCTGCACTCAGTGTACCCCCATCTGTGTGTGCTAGTCACGAGCTGTGCTTGAATCCAGCAGGAACTATTTATTTCCAAAATAACTGTGTCTTGATCAAATAGGATTCATGTGTGTGCGTCGTACGCAGTAGACACACTGGGCCGGATGTGGCCCTTTTCCCTGACTGCCTTGATTCAATGGGAACCAGGCATTTTCCAACTAAACAGCTGTGGCTTGGGGAGAATCCAGGTGTTTTTCTCACTGAATATTTGTGGGATTGGCAGAGTCCTGGGTATTTCCTTTGCTTTCTCTTGCCTGGAATTATTATAACATATATTATGTATATATATTTCAGTGAACTTTACTTTGTCCCAGGAAACAGATCAGCTTCCTTAACTTCTCACAAAGAACAATAGCACTTAGAAAAATATTGGCAGGATCCAGTGCTATTTATCTTTTTCTTCACCTGCTTTATCTATCATGCCGTCTTATACAAATACATGAATATTCTAAAATTTTTTATGTGAAAGCAAGTAGATTACACTTTCCACACTGAATAATTACCAACTCAGAAAGTGTTGCTTTATTGGAATGGGGGTGTCACACCTGTTCCAACATCCACTTGTTAACCTTTTGGACTTGGCTTCAATTTCTGATTGAAGAAGTAAGTCACCTCCCCAGGTTTGGCAATGCATAGATCCTGTTAGAAAATGGTGTGTGGTTTTGGTTTCCGCATCTGATACAATATATAGGAAAATTGGAGAGAGTTCAGAGAACAGAAACAAAATGATTAAAGGGTCGAGGGAATGAGGAGCTGGGATTATTTCATCTAAAGAAAAGATTTTACAAAAGGCAAAATGGGGTATGTGCCAAAGACAGAATTAGAAAAGCCAAATTGTAGAGCCTATATGGTTGAGCAGGTTTGATTGGACTTTGTCGGCCATCCTGAGTCTGTTGGAGGGAATGGGGAGAAGTTGGTCTGCCTTACCAAGCACTGGGAAGGAGAATAAGCAAGTTAGGACAGAAAAGGGGAAATTAGGCAGGAATTACCTTAGCTAGGGGTTCTGAGATCTACAAATACCACAATCTTCAAAAGCAGGGACAACTTTGGTATACGCACTTCTTATATTCCAGCTTCTACTAGATCTGAAACTATGATTCAATACAGTATGATAAAACCAACTTAACGATAAGCCTTGTTATAGTTCCCTTCAACTATATGATGAAGTGTTGGCATAAAAATAATCGACCAGTTTTTCTTCATCTTCCCCAAAATCAAAGCAAATAACTATATGTTGATATTCAAATCAAAGATTCTTAATCTGTAAAATGTGATCATATTCTGTGGAGTTGAGAATATCATACAGGCATGTGTGGAATTGGTTCTAATGTTAAAAAAAGGAAAAGACTATCATCTCTTTTGAGTGGCTTAGAATCTAAGACAGAAAGATGTACTTGATTACTTATTAAGATCCCTATTAGGTCCAGGATTCTGATTTTAAAAACTTTAAGAACACAAAATATATGTAGATTCTAAATACCAGCTATAATATTAAATACTAAATTATCTCCACTTCCACAAAGCTCTATATTAGTTAGGGTTCTTCCCAGCATGACATAACCTTCCTAGCAGCATCTAGACCAGTGTTTCACCAAACAATGTGGGCACCGTAGCCTGGGCCAACTTGACACATCACATTTAACCATCACAAGCTCCAAACGCTCTTTGGCTCAAACGTTTTCAGAAAGATGGCATGTGAGTCAAGGGAGTATGGGGGCTTCCTGGTATCATGCACCCTTCTTAACCCTCAGAGGGCCATCCCCATGCGTGAGAAGTTGGGAAGAAACCCTCCATGTCACCCGATTCTCCTTACTGGCCTTTAAGTACCATTTCTAAGTACATTTCTAAGTACGGAGTTGGTTTTTTTTTTTGGTTGTATTTTCAAGTACTGACATGTGACTATCCTCTTGTGCCTCCCCACCACTCCCACTAACATGCTCACAAGTTCCTCCTTCTGTAGTTCTCCCAGGTCTTCCCAAAACTCACTATATCACTGTACTGATTTCATCAAGAATTCAGAAGAAGACAATCTTATTAAAGAAAATCATGAAGACAATAAATGACCAGTGAACACCGTGGACACTGGAGCAAAACTGGGTTCAGGTTCCAATTCTACTACCTGTGGGACTTTGGCCACATGACTTGCAATGCTCCTGAACCTCAGTTTCCTCATCTGTAAGATGGGAATACTAATTATAACTCCTTTCCTAAAAGGTTGACGTGAGGTGATTTGAACCCTGCTTTGAGCACTTAGCAACTACACTATTTAAATTAACTATCACAAAGCTGAGGGCTACCTACAGTCTGAGGGAAAATGTTTCTGAAGAGGGACTTCCTGTGTTACTTAAACTGAATAACACAAAGTGAAGAAATGCCTTGAGCCTTTTTGTCCAAGTTTCTGTTTACAATACTGGGGATTTTTTTTTTTTTTTTTTGAGATGGGCTTTCGCTCTGTCATCCAAGCTGGAGTGCAGTGGCAATGACACAGCTCAATGTCTTGGGTTCAAGCCATCCTGGCATCTCAGCCTCCTGAGTAGCTGGGACTTACAGGTATGCATCAGCGTGCCTGGCTATTTTTAAATTTTTTTTTTTTTTTTTTTTTTTTGTAGAGAGAAGGTCTTGCCACATTGCCTAGGCTGGTTTTTACTTCCCGGGCTCAAGCAATCCTCCTGCCTTGGCCTCTGAAAATGCTGGGATTACAGGCATGAGCCACTGCATCCAGCCAGATAGTGGGAATTTTATATCCTCCCCCTTCACACCTTCTGGGGGGCTAAGAAGTCGGAGTTTGATATTACTGAGAATTCCAAAATAATTCACTCCTAAAACATTTCATCATACAAACACCAGAGGGCAAGAAAAATACAATTTACCACATGCATTCTAGGTACCAATCCACATATATTGCCTCATTTAAGGCCCATGACATCCCTGTAAATTAGATGTATCATCCCCAATTTAGAAAGGAGGAAACTCTAAGGCTTAAGATTTAAATAACTTGCCCCAAATTATAGAGCAGAATAAGGATTTTCCAACTTTAAAGCTAAAACTCTGGCCAGTTACGCCATGATGCTTCGCTTACAAGGATCAGACCTTGACCTATTTCTTGCAGGCTGTTGGCTTCTGTATTATCTAAAATTATTTTTCACATATCTGAGAAATGCTCTTATTTCTCTTACTTTACAAAATTGAATTCTTAATTCTATAATTAAGGATATTCAGGACATTCAATGAAGGGTAATTGTGAAATGGACAGGAGACCTTGAATTGTACATGCTGGAGATATAAAGCTTTAGAACTAATAGGAAAATAGATGTCTGAGGTTCTTGATTTTCCATTTGTTTTCCACTGTTTCTAAACTAAACCACTGTTTACAAAGAATGTGTCAGTGAAAGATGCAGTAAAAGATGCTTCTTTTCCTTTATTTTTAGACTCAAGTAAATATTTGTTAACAATATGGTTGATATGGTTTGGATCTGTGTCCCTGCCCAAATCTCATGTTGAATGGTAATCCCCAGTGTTAGAGGTGGGACCTGGTGGGAGGTGACTGGATCATGAGGCAGTTTCTTATGAATGCTTTAGCACCATTCCCTGATGCTGTCCTCATGAGAGTGAGTGAGTTCTCATGAGATGTGTTTGTTTAAAAGTGTATAGCACCTCCCCATTCATTTTCTTCCTCCTGCCTACTTCCCCTTCACTTTCTGCTATGATTGTAAGTTTCCTGAGGCCTCCCCAGAAACTGATCCCACCATGCTTCCTGTACAGCCTGCAGAACCATGAGCCAATTAAACATTTTTTCTTTATAAATTACCCAGTCTCAGGTTCTTTACAGCAATGCAAGAACAGACTAATACAATGGTTTACAAAGTAAGTTGACGAAGCTGAAAAATAAGTTCAAGAAGTCCTATGAAATAATTAAGATGAGTAAGATTGCAAAGACATAATTCATTACAGTGAAGATTCTCATGGCCAATTCATTCTTGGTTATGGCTTCCAACTTCTACTTTAACAGACAAATGCATTCACTTACCCATAGGTTCAACCAACCGTCTGTCCAACACATACTTAGTAAATAGAGACACACTACATGCTAGGTACTGTTCTAGGTGCTGAGATAAAGCAGAATGAAGGTTTTGAGGTTGTAATAATCTAATAAACAAATGAAAAAAGCAAGTTGATTTCAGATGCTGATAGGTGTTGTGAATGAAATATACTGAAAGGATATAGCATTTATAGTAGAAAGGCTATCTGAAATAGGGTAATTAGGGAAGATCTTTCTTAACAGAGGGCATTGGAGTTGAGACCTGAATGAGAAAGAGCTAGCTCTTTCCAAAGCAGAAAAAAGAACTCCCAGGCATGGAAAGTTCTAACAATTCAAAGGTACAAGATCAAAAAGAAGGCAGATGGCTGAGTCCAGAGTGGTGGTATGAGGCAAGGTCAGAAAGATGGATAGGATCCTGTACTACTAAAAGGAGCTTGATTGAAGGAGTCTGAATTATAATCTAAGTATAATGGAATCATTTCAGGTTCTAAGCAGGAGGTAATATGATTTGAGACAGCTTTAAAAACATTAATCCAGATGCTTGTTCAAGAATTACTTATAGGCTGGTTGCGGTGGCTCAAGCCTGTAATCCCAGCACTTTGGGAGGCCTAGGCAGGAAGACTGGCCCCAGGAGTTCGAGACGAGCCTGGGCAATATAGTGAGACCTCATCTCTACAAAAGTAAAAAAAATAAACAAATAAATTAATAAAATAATATAAAATTTGCCAGGTATAGTGGTGGGCACCCATAGTCCCAGCTACTCTGGAAGCTGAGGTGATGGAATCACTTGAGTCCATGAGGTTGCAGTGCGCCATGATTGCACCACCGCACTCCAGCCTGGGTGACAGAGTGAGATCCTGACTCAGAAAACAAAACAGCAACAACAACAACAATAGCAAAAACAGAAAAGAATTACTTATAAAGGGGCAAGAGTGGGAGGGGAGGGACTAGTTAGGGTGCAAATGCAGAGACTGAAGATAAAAAGACTCTAAAGACTCATAACAAATCTCTTTAATGGTTAAAGAGAGTTCATTGGGGGAAAGAAAGCTGAATTTATTTTAATAATGTCCCCATTTTCGGTAACATATATGCTACAAAGTCAATTATTTTATTGTTATTTGGTCACAGGTAGAGATAACGGTGTGGCTGTGGATTAGCAATTACATACACCTCCGTTGCACATTTAAAAAGGCATTTTGTTGTTGCTGCAAGAAACCACTATGCAGGGCTTTTGGTCCTCCCTAAAGGAGAGAAACGGTATCTAGGAAATTAATTCTTCTCTCAGGCCCAAATGCAAAATTGCAGAAACCACTTGCTAAATATGGTCAGCCATTTTTAAGAGTCCAGAGAGTCTTTTCTCAGGCGTACTTTATTAGAGGCCATTGATCAGTTTCTACCGATTATTATAGTTAATTGAAGGGAAATCTGCGACTATGGCTATTTATTGGCATTTGCGTTCGGCTCAGACAGAAGCTAGTTTTGAAAGTGGTATCCGTAGAGTTATCCCGCTTGCACACTTCCTTGCCTAGGGGTGGTGGGGGAGCGCTGAGGGCTTGCGGGGTGTCAGCCACCAGGGCTTTCTGCTCATCAGTCAGCATCGTCAGACATCCTGGAAGTGTTATGATGGCGCTGAATGTAGAAAAAGGGTTCTCAGGGCGGATATATTGTCGTCATTCCTGGTGGCAGAGGGGAGTGACAAGAGGCTCACACGTCGCTGGGTAGTAGCACGCATAATAAAGTGTGGTTTGCACCATGTGTGCCACAGATTTCTCGGGTTTTCTGGAAGGCTTTTCCAAGTTCCGCCTTCTCCCCTTTAAAGCCATCCTGGCCCCAGCTATGCATCGGCCTTTGACTCCATCTGTCCTTCCGCTGCGGACGGGAGTCCCTCTCGCCAAATGGAGAACACAAGTTTGGCACCCCAAAGTGATGATAACCTCTACCCTCTTGGCTCAGCGCGAGCCAAGAGTCAGGCCTGCAGAGGGACGGTCAAGCGGATGGAGGGGGAGGCCGCGGAGAGGCCGCTCCTCTCACCTCCCCGCACCCATCATCACTTGGCACTTGGCCAAGCCCAGGCAGACGCCCCGCCTGCGCGTCCCCCACCCGCCCCGCGGTGCACGTCTCCCAGTGCTTTTGCATTTGCTCCTCTTCCGCCCTGCTGCAGAGCGCGGCTCGCAGGTTGGAGTTTGCCCTCGTGTGCGCCGCATCACACGGCAGGGAGGGGAAGGCAGGCGGCGGAGGCTGGGTCGGAGCAGGAGTCGCGCGGTCCCTGGCGCCCGGAGACACAGTGGGGAACCACCGCCCCGCCCCCGGAGCAGCGGACAGGGCCGCAGACCTCCCTTCCCCCCTCCCTCTCTCCCTCCTCCCCAGCGCCCTGACTCCCTGCCTCCACGCCCTTACTCCACCCCCTACTCCGGCCAGATCCCCATCCTCTCCTTGTGTGTGCGCGCTTCATATAATCTCCTCCTTTTTGGCAAAAGAAATAATGCACCTGACTTTACCAGGGGGGAACAACCAGCCGAGTAGAACAAGGAACAGATGTAAAGGGAATAAAAGGAGAGAGAAAAAGAGATGAGATTCGTTTAAAGAAATCCAGGGGCAGAAGAGGTGGCTGCCGCGGCAGAGGCAGCTAGAGCTTACTTCCCTGTCTGCGTGAGCTGCAGGCAGAGGACGCTTTCACCAGTTGCAGATGTAACCTCGGGAATTCCTGGGCCGTCGGTTTGTTTGCCAAACAAAGTCTTTTCTTCTCTGGCTCAGACACTGAAGAGGCTCCTGGATTTTTCTGCGATCCTGCCACAAGCTGGCAGTTACCCGAGAGCCTTCCCAAGGAGCTGGAGGAGAAATGAGCCCTTGTGGGCGGAAGATGGGCGAAGGGCGTCAGCAGCGGCGGGCTCCGGTCGGGAAGCTCCTTCTGCTCCCCGGGAGGAGAGATACACCCCATGGGCGGTCAGGCAGCAGCGGCGCCAGGACGCAGCGCTCCCTGCTCTGGCTCTTGGTGCACGTGTGGCTGTGGGCGGCCTCGGGCTCCTCTGCCCAGTTGTTCAACCTCACCCTTTCCGTAGATGAGGGGCTTCCCCCGGACACGCTGGTAGGTGACATCCGCGCCGGGCTGCCGGCCGCGCAGCAGCAGGAGGGGAGCGGCTTCTTTCTGTCGGAGGACTCCGATGACTCCCCGCTGCTGGACGACTTCCACGTGCACCCGGACACCGGCATCATCCGCACTGCGCGGCGCCTGGACCGCGAGCGGCGGGACCACTACAGCTTCGTCGCCGCCACGCTGCTGGGCGCTGTGGTGCAGGTGGAGATTCGCGTCAACGACGTGAATGACCACTCGCCCCGCTTTCCCCTCGACTCCCTGCAACTCGACGTCTCCGAGCTCAGCCCGCCAGGGACCGCCTTCCGCCTGCCAGTTGCCCACGATCCGGACGCCGGACTGTTCAGCACTCAGGGCTACACCCTGGTGCAACCGTCCGACCTGCCCAAGGACCCCGCAGGCCCGTTCTTCCAGTTGCGCTACCGGACTCCGGGGCCACTACCGTCACCGCTTTTGCCAGGCTCCTCGTCACCCCTGGAGCCTCTAGATCTGGTGCTGCTGCGGCGCTTGGACCGAGAGGAGGCGGCGGCGCACCGGCTGCAGATCGAGGCATGGGACGGCGGCCGACCCCGGCGCACCGGCCTCCTGAGCGTGGAGCTGCGCGTGCTGGATGAGAACGACAACCCGCCGGTCTTTGAGCAGGACGAGTACCGCGCCGCGGTGCGCGAGGACGCCCAGCCGGGCGCCGAGGTCTGTCGCGTGCGCGCCACCGACCGCGACCTGGGGCCCAATGGCTTCGTGCGCTACAGCGTCCGCGCCCGGCAAGTGCCTGGGGCGGGTAGCGGCGGCGGGGCACTGGGCGACGCGGCCTACTTCGCGGTGGAGGAGCTGAGCGGCGTGGTGCGAGTGTGGAGACCTCTGGACCGCGAGGCACAGGCCTGGCACCAGTTGGTGGTGGAGGCCCGCGATGGAGGCGCCGAGCCTGAGGTTGCCACGGTGCGCGTGTCCATCGCCGTGCTGGACGTGAATGACAACCGGCCAGCAATTCACGTGCTCTTTCTCACAGAGGGAGGCGTCGCCCGTGTCTCTGAAGGCGCCCGACCGGGCGACTACGTGGCTCGCGTCTCGGTGTCTGACGCGGACGGTGACTGGGAGAAGGAAGATGAGGCCACAGGGGAGCTTGGTGTGGGTCTTGGAGACGGGAGCATCTCTCTGTCCTTGGAAGGCGGAGAGGGAGACTTCGCGTTGCTACCCGGCGGCCCCCCAGGGGTATTTTTCCTTTGCGTGGAGGGGCCCCTGGACAGAGAGAGCCGCGATCTGTATGAGTTACTACTGGTGGCCACGGACGCGGGGTCCCCGCCGCTGAGCACGGAGGAGACGCTGCTACTCCGGGTCGCTGACCTCAATGACCAACCACCTCTCTTCAGCCAACAGCATTACAAGGCCTCAGTGTCCGAGGCCGCGGCCCCTGGCACTGTAGTCATGTGGGTCAGCGCCTCCGATGCCGACGAGGCAGGCAGTGATCACGCCTGGCTGCGCTACACTGTAGTCCAACTCTCGGCTCCCTGCAATCTCGGCTCCCTGCAATCAAAGATGGTCCACACCGCAGAGTGTGGACCATCTTTTGCCATTGATTCCGAAAGCGGTGCGATCAGCACTATCCGGACTCTAGACCGAGAGGTCCAGGAGGCGGTGGAGCTGAAAGTGGTGGCCCAGGACCTCGGAGAGCCCCCACTCTCTGCCACCTGCCTGGTGAGCATCACCGTAGATGATGTGAATGACAATGAGCCCATCTTCTGGAGGCAGGTGTACAATGCCACCATTGCAGAGCATGCCCCGGTTGGACACTGCTTTCTGCAGGTGAGTGCATCAGGCCTGTGGGCCAACCTGAAGGCTTGGGAAGGGATGGAGAGGGTTGTGAGTTGGCCTAGGAAATTGTGATGTGGAGGATAATATTCCGGCTCTCAAATACAAGACTGGCGGTAGTGCCCCCTCTACAGTGAGATGAATGATGCCCTCTAGTCACCTAACTTTTTTTTGCCAGGGTCTTGGCTACATGATCTCTAAGGTCCTTTCAACTTGACTTTTAGATCTTGATTTATCTTATTGAAGCCTGATTTCTTTCCTGCTGGATGTATGCACCTAAATAGGTTCAGGAGGAACTGCCCATTCTAAATCAGACCTCTTCCAACTGACAATGTCTCACATCATATCATATAAATACATGTATACACACACACACACACACACACACACACACAGACACACACACACACATATATATATTTTTGTCAAACAGAGTGTCACTCTGTTGCCCAGGCTGGAGTGCAGTGGCTCAATCTCGGCTCACTGCAACCTCCTTTTCCCAGACTCAAGCAATTCTCCTGCCTGCCACCATACCTGGCTAATTTCTGTATTTTTTTAGTGGAGATGGGGTTTCACCATGTTTGCCAGGCTGGTCTCGAACTCCTGACCTCAGGTGATCTGCCCTCCTCAACTTCCCAAAGTGCTGGGATTACAGGGGTGAGCCACCACGCCCAGCAATGTCTCATATATTTTTTTAACAGCTTTATGAGGCAACCTAGGGAATAAGGTAGTTCTCGTAAGTGAGTTTTTAAAATGACCAAGTGTATATCTTTATACACTGACACTGTTTTGAGTTACCTTTTCCAGAGACTTCTTACATGTTTTCCTACCTTCCTTCGAAGCTTACAAAGGTTGGATGAAGACTGAAGTCATCTTTATTAGTTAGCATCAGGTGTGAGCTAAGCTTCTTCCATGATGCTTTCAGGACTCTGAGGGGCAGTGGGACTCAATTATCCTTTATAAAATGGGGCACTGTACACTGCTTTTTGATTTGGGTGTTTTGCCTCTTGTAGTTTTCCTGATCTCTCCTTCACTATCAGAATGGCATGTTTTGCCCCCTTCCAGGCCATTCCTTTTTTTTTTGCTTCCGATTTCCTATTTGTTTCTTTTTTATTTTTTTGAGACAAGGTCTTGCTTTGTGGCCCAAAATGGAGTACAGTGGCACAATCATGGCTCACTGAAGCCTGGACCTCCCAGGGTAAAGTGATTCTCCCACCTCAGTCTCCCAAGTAGCTGCAAGCACAGGCATGCGCCAACATGGCTAGCTAATTTTTAAATAATGTGTAGGGACGAGGTCCAGCTGTGTTCCCCAGGCTGGTCTCGAACTCCTGGGCTCAAATGATACTCCCGCCTCAGCCTCCCAAAGTGCTGGGATTACAGGCATAAGCCACCTTGCCTGGCCAATTTCCTATTTCTTATCTGATGGGAGATAATCAAAGTTCCAAGACTGATTTATTTACTCTGAAATAACTTGAGTAAATATATCTAGCCTGAAGAGCTTACCAGGGCATGAAGCTCTAAAGCTTAATTTTGCTCTCAGCCTGGGTTGTTTTAAGATGTTTGCTGCTTACTTTCTGGTTCTCAGTTAGGGAGTTCAGGCTTTAGCTTTGCAAATTATGTCTCAAATAATAACCTTTAGATAATTGAGGTGCTACTGCAAAGTAAAAGTGGGTTTCATGACTGCTTCCACCATTTTAATCTTTTGGGTATATGGGTGATAATAATCTCCATCCCTTTCTTTAGAGTGATTGCCAGCTCTGAGTTGCTAGATTATTAAAAAGTGGCTTGATATGAATTAATGCTTGCTGATGAAATGGACAAATCCACAAATATTAGTGACTAACACTGTCAAAGTATATTTCTCTCTCAAGCAGAGTCTGATGTGAAGCAACTTGGCTGTTTCTCCTCCGTCTGAGAGAGCCAGGCCTGAGAGTGACTTACACAACTTCCGCCAATGTCACATTAGCCAGAGCCCAGCCATGCAGCGTCAGATGTACTGCAAAGGAGGCTGAGAAATGTAGAGGAGCCCGGGTATGCCAGTGCCCACTGATAGTTTCTTCCATGGATTTCTAAAAATGAAAGTCATAATAGGTGACAGGTTGGACAAGTTGACTTCCAATATTCCTTCCACCTGGAACTCCCTGAAGATCTTGGTATGAATAGTACAACTTGGCTCCATTGTTAGGAAAATAAGCAGGGTGGATTAATTATGATTTTTTTGATGAAAGCCTGTCTTTAGAGTTGTTTCTATCATCGTGAGATGATTCTTCTATGAGGTGTGAGTTTATCCCATTGTTACAACTCCATATGTGGTAGATCCATTATGGTGAGCTCAGCTTGGCTTACATGTAGGACTGCACCTCCAACAATTGCAACAAACCTTTCCAGGTTGCCAAGTATTGCTGCAGACAGCATTAAATTGTGCTGACTAGAATTTCTGGAAATTCCAGCGATCTAGCCCCTCAAGATTTGCAAAAGCCTCTTAGTCACTGGGCTCTCTGGTGGCCTCTCCAAGGCAGCTATGTGAACTTTCTGTGTTCCATACGCCCCACAGCTGACTTACCCCCTAATTTCCATATGAGATTCAAAGAAGCGTCTTCCTTCTTTCTACTCTCTCAATCTTTCTTTATACCACTTTGCAAAAACCAACTCCCCCATCTTGCCTTTGAATCTCATGACACCTCCTGTGTTCCATGGCTTTGCTTAATGACATTACATACATTCCTTGTAACTGTACCTTCTTTCTGTTGCCATCTACAAGTTTTCCTCTTTTACAGCTTATATCTGCTCAAGTTGCCTTTGTCAAAATCAAACAAAAACAAAAGGAAATACAGGAAAAACAAAATCTTGCCTAGATTTCCTGTAAGATAATACCATGTCATCTGATAAAAACAAACCCTTTAACTTCAAGTTGTCTTAGTGGTTACTCCACATCCCCAATGTTTGGGGTCCTACCACTCTAGTTGCTGCTGTTGCTGGCACTATGGTGCTGGCCACCCTCCCCTCTCCGAGTGTTGGCTGAACTCTTATATTCTCATGCCCTGACGAGACCTTTCCAAAGACTTATGAGTGAGGCAGAACTGAGGGAATTAATGCAGAGGACAAGAACCATTAGCAAACTGAGATAGATAACCTCTAGCTGCAAAAGGTTTTTACAACATTGTAGGCACTCGTCTGGACTTCTTAATAACTCAGTCCCTGCCTGTCTCAGGTGGACAGCCTCTTCTTAACAATCCACCCCTCAGGAGTTCCTTTCAATCTCTTGCTGCCTTCTTGGTCAAGACAGAGAGGGAATTCCACTCTGCAGACACCCAGAGATTTTCCTCCAGTTCTCATGTTTGGCCTGAAAGATTCCATTTTCGCTCAGATAACTGTCAAAAAGATTAACTTCAACCTCTAGACAAGAGCTCCATCCTCCACCCTACACTAAGTCTGATGTTGTGAGCTGCATTTGCAGCTTTTATCTTATAACCAGATCTTAGTCTGTACTAAGTATAACTCCAGCATTGAGACCTGAATTACATGTGGTAACATGAAGAGTATTCTTTCATACTCCCTCAAATACAAGTACTATGTTCATTCATCAATTCATTTATTTATCCAAACAACAACATTCATTAATTCAATAACATTGATTGAATTCAACAACATCTAACCAACAAATACTTATTGAATATCTATTACATGCCAGGAACTGTTCTTGGTGCTGGGGACAGCAACAAGCAAAACGGGCAAGGTGCTTGCTAGCAGAGCTTATTGTGTGTGTTCTCCATCTCCTTCCCTTCTCCGTCAGTCCTTGTGAATGAATGACATGTGCCTGACTCCCACTTGCTGATCACCCCTTCTCCATGTGTTCTGACCTTCTCCCATCACTGTACTAAATTCTGCCTCTCAAGAGGCGTGTATCTGTTTCTTTCAAATCCAATGGGCTTTTCTTAGTCATAACCTCTCTCATGCTCTCTGAAGCATTTTGGACTGCTGACCACTTCCTCTTTCTTGCATGCATCTTTTTCACTGCCCATTGTCTCCTTACATTCTGCCTCTCGCTTGCCAATTCCTCTTTTTCCTTTTTTCTCTTGTGCCACCCCACACTCAGTGTGGTAGAGGCATTCCCAAAGGCTCTGTCTTCCCCTCACTCCTTGCCTTTCTATAATCTCTTCCTGTATATTCCCAGAAGTTCATTTAAAAAAAAAAGCTCATAACACCACATGGATGTAAGGATTGGAGATAACTGGTATGTTGAGGTAGAAAGTGGTTTGTAGAGCTTTATAGGTGGGAAAGTAGATCTATCCAGTAGATCGGGGATTCTCTGTTATGTACATTTTTATTTACAACCTGTCATGGATGCATTCCACTGTAGCTGCACATTTTGTGTGTATGTAGGAATGTGTAATGCATTTCTAGGTATGATCATCTCCAAAAGAGAACCACTTAGGATGGACTTCAGAAAGTTGTGATCAGTAAGATTTCCCTTCTCTGAGGATTGAAATCTTACAATAAATCGATTTTAGTAACAACTAAACTCCAGATGTCTATTAATGGTCCCCTCACCTTTTAAATTATAAATGAAAAGTGAGCAACTGTGGAAGTAATTTATATTTTCATAGCCCATTAGGGAAATTATGCGAAATCATTTTTACAAATGCCAGGTTATTTTAATCTTACTGAATTAAAATCTTCATTTAATCAAAATATGTGTTTTGTAGTGAAAGTAGATCAGGTAAATATAATCGGAAGTATGAATTAATTGAAAATCTATGTAATCCATGGGGATAGGAGGAATTGGAATAATCACGGTGTGTCTGGTTCCTGTAGTGAAGTAATGGGAGGCTGTTTTGGAGACATGGGAGATATCAGTGTTTGCGCAGAGCTTGGCCTTTATTATTATGGAAATACATGGGAGATAATGGGAGGTTTGTGAATAGAGATTGACATGTGAAAAGTAACGTTTTAGGAAGAGTCATCTTAAATTAGTAGAAAGAATAGAAAGAAGTAAGGAGGGAAACCAGGTAGGAGAGTTCTGAGTCTCTTGTAATAACACATATTCAGCTACATGGGCCTGAATTAGGGGAATGGTAGTGAAGCGTAAGAGGAAGGATGGCCTTAGAGGTATCACAAAGGAATAATTGGTACAACTTGTATAGATGTGAGTGAGAAACTGGTGGAAGGAGTAAAAAATAACACCATGTTTTCCATCTGGATTAGTGGGAAGAATAGGAAAAGCTGGAGGTGAGAGTTTTGGGGGAAAGATGCTGGCTCTCTCGAGTTTTTGATTTCAGTGTGAATTAACGGCCAGTAGTATAGGAAAATACATCTTGAAGGCTATTTAGAGCTTCAGAACTACTAACAGGAGAGAATGTAAGGTTGGAGACATAAACTTGGAAGTTACTCATGTGGAGGTGATACTTAAAGCTGTGAAAGTGTCAGGATAATGGGAGAAGAGTCAATGGCTAAGGACGCTGGCTGAGACGAGGGTCTTGCGACTCATATGATGTTGGGGGGCAGGTCTCTGTGATGATAATGCTATGTGCTTGTATTCCTGAGCCTCAAGGACCACAACCCAGAGAGATGGTTGGCATCTTACTCCATTTTCTGAGCTCCTCAGCATAGCTTCTGAGATATTCAGCCTCCCATGCCACAGTCCCAGGCATTAAGGCACTCGTTATTTGAATCTGCCTGTTTCTCTCTCCTCTTCTTCCTGTTTCCTATGGACCATCTGGTCAGTCCCCATGTGCAGTGAAGACAATGAAAGCCTGTTTTAGT
The DNA here is from genome assembly GCF_000001405.40 of Homo sapiens. Taxonomy (NCBI): domain Eukaryota; kingdom Metazoa; phylum Chordata; class Mammalia; order Primates; family Hominidae; genus Homo; species Homo sapiens. Next base: position 154,483,534 of record NC_000004.12, on the reverse strand, counting down.
CATTGTTGTCCCCATTGTAACTCTTGTCATCCAGGCAATTTGGTCTCATGTTTCTTCAGTTGACCCAGTTTTGATGTCCTTATTGTTACTTCCTCTCCAGGAACCCTATCCTACAGCCATCCCCTGTAATCTGGAATCACTTAGAACAACTCTACCTCTTATGTCTCATCTCACTCTCTGATCACAGCTTGCCAGCCTTTCCGCTTTCTCAGCCTTTGATTTGGTTTGCATTTATTTTTTAATCTAGATTTTTTTCTAGATGACTTGCTCTTTCTTTTCTCTTCTTGTATATCACCCCCCTCCTTGCTTTAGTTCCTTCTCTGTTCGGTTGTAATTCTTCTATGCACCAAACTAACCCTTCCTCTTCCATACATGTATACATATTACCAACAGTAGATCTCTCCAACTATATCTCCCCCTGCCCCACACACTCTCTGAAACACTCAGACTACAGGGGACTGCTGGAGTAATTCCAAGTGATAATAGAGTCTACTTAGAGTAGAATTTAAGTATGGTATTTTAATATCAGCCAGGCCCTCAATTCTGTTGAGTAATTTTGTTGTATTCATCTAAGCATCTCTTCCACAACCTCATTCGCTTTAAGCACCATAGCCTGCTGCCTTTACTCTTTACAGGTAACTATGCTTCCTACTCAGTAGAGGCTAGTAGCTGAAAACTTGCTTGTGTTTTTGCCTGCCACCATGAGGCTTTCTGTAAATGCACTATCCAATCCCTAGGGACTAGATGATTTTTCTTTGTCCACATCAAACTCACCCATTCATATTCTCCCATCCATCTATCCATCCATCCAACAATCCCCTATTCCATCTTCTCTGACATGGATTCTCAATCACTCCATTTCTCCTTTATCTTTTACCTCTACCTCTATACTTACTTATTCTCTTAGCACATAATACGACTCTTTCATAGTTTGTAATATTTAAAAACTAAGTATGTGAGGGTCTTTTTCGCTCACTTCTTTCCTCAATGTCCTGTAGGAGTTGATGTCTGCTACCTATTGGCCCATTTTTTTCCCCAAGTCTTTCCTACTCAAAGAAGAGTTCTGGAAACCTGTGCTGCTATCTTTTTCAATGTCTGATATCTCTTGACGATGGACTCAGTACTCTGTTTTGGTTCTTGAGCAAAAGTGGCCTTCTTTCTCATCTGTTAGTGTCAAGAAGTTGTGAAAAAAATGTAGCTGCTAAAGTGTAAGAAATGACATATGGAATTTATTTTTGCTCATTTCTTAATGTTATACACTGTAATTGATGGAAGCCATTAACTAATATGTTTCATATGAGAAGAAATGGTTGAATCAATCAAAATAGTATATTCTATTGAACAGGCAAAAGTGTCTTAGTCTTGATTATTGTTTAAATCATCTTGCTACACTCACTTTTTACTGGATGGTTTTTGGGCATGCTAACCCTACCATATCTGTACAGTAAGACACCGTGTCTTCCTTTCTCAATAATTCTGTTTTGAATTTCCTTTTAAACAGCCCAGGCTGTTACCTTCATTTCAGGCTTTATCACTTTCCCATAAACATGCAGATCTCAGAGTCCACTGATGAAGTGTGTGAAAACTCCTTGGTAGAGAGGATGGAAGAGGTTTGCTCGTTCTCATTATTTCCAGGTGTCCTTCATTTGGACAGAAGAAGAGTAATCCCGTGGATAAAAGCTTGCAATGCAGAGTGAAACATACCCAAGTTTAAATTTCAGCTCTGTTACTTAATAGCTTAACCTCAAGTAAATTCCTAAACCTTTGTAAGCCTCAATTTTGTCATCCATAAAATAGGGATGATAATGGGATTCACCTGGTAGGGTTATTGTGGCGATTAAATGAGATGATGCATATCCAGGACACAGAGCACTGCCTAGCACATGGTAAACTCCCAGGAAAGTTTACCATTATATGTAATTTCACTTGAGTGTGATTAAACTATGGAGCTAAGAGAGAGTGAGAAAAAGAAACGTCAGGCTGGGCATGGTGGCTCTTGTCTGTAATCCCAGCACTTTGGGAGGCTGAGGTGGATGGACAGCTTGAGCCCAGGAGTTTGAGACCAGCCTGGGCAACAGAGCAAAACCTCTACAAAAAATACAAAAATTAGCCAGGTGTGGTGATGTGCACCTGTAGTCCCAGCTACTTGGGATGCTGAGATGGGAGGATTAGTTGAGCCTGGGAGGTCGAGGCTGCAGTGAACCATGATTGCGCCACTGCACCCCAGCCTGGGTGACAGAGCAAGACCCTGTCTCCAATAAAATAAAATTAAATAATAAAATAAAAGTCAGTTCTTTCTTTTAAAAATTCCTATGGCTAGTCATGTTAAATGGCTAGAGATATGATCTCAATAGATACTCTAGGAAAACCATTGTCCTAATTAATACCCAGGGCTTCCATCCCAAATTCAGTCAGCTTCCTGCCTTGGACAGCTAAACAGGAGCTGTTTGTACAAAATTTACCAACAAAAAGGGACATCAGTTAAAAACTATTTGTATACCACTTTTAAGAAAGCTGAACAACACAAATCTTTCCTTAAAAGTTCTTTTGCATATTAAAGGAAACATTATTAAAATAATTGTTAACATATTATTATAATTAGAATATTAGGCCAGGCAGTGGCTCATGTCTGTAATCTCAGCACTTTGGGAGGCCTCTGTTGGTGAGTGCTTGAGGCCAGGAGTTTGAGGCCAGCCTGGGCAACATAACAAAACCCTATCTCTATTTCAAGAAAATAAATTTTAACAAGAATATTAATGTAAAACTTTTTCAGTTGAATTGATTTGTATTATGTGTGTACTAGATATATTGACAGCCCTTCATGAAATCAAGTAAATTGTTTATGCATGCTTTATATAAATTAAAATCTTTATTTTCTATTTTAAATGACTACAGTAATTTGTAATTATTGCATACTTGCTTTGATGACACTGTTGATGTATTTCATACTAAATTCTCAGATTAGAAAATGCCATCTCCTTCATGCTTTTGAAAAATGTATTATGGCAAAAGGCAGGGAAGACCTGTAGTAGAGCTTCACTTTCATGAGAATAGCTAAGAAGAAAGAACCAAACAGAACTTGGCAATTTTTGAGTGGCTTCATTACTGATGACAGTTAATCTAAAAATTCTGTTCAATATGACAAACCGTCCTCCAACTTTTCAAAGCTTTTTTGTTCAGATTATTCTGAAATTTCCTTTGTTCTTCATTTCAATTAACTGTGCAGAATTAGCAATTGTTATGGGTATGATTTCAAGCGATTAAATATTATTTTTAGCCTTACCGTATATGGCCTTAAACACGATTTGATTTTTAACAATTGTTTTGTTAGAAACTCCTCATGTTGTATGTTCATCTTTATTTCTACATTTGGAAACACAGAGGAAGTTAATGTTTATTTAGAGATTGACTTGTCTGGTCCTAAGAATATCTATTATACAAGAACCAAGTTATGAGGTAAAGAGCAACCTAAGCTTATGCACTGTTTACTCTCCTTTGAAGTATAGATTATTTTAAGTAGGAACGGTTAAAAATAATACAAAGGCTGTTCTGTTACATTGTGTATAAACAAGAACACAATATTTCAGAGCTGTCAGATATATTTCCTGGACTCATCTTACAAGAATTTTTATATGGCATTTTTCTTGTGTAGAATCTAATTGTCATGCTTATGTCTGTTTCACTTCCACTGCCTCTATCAGCGTCCAGCATAAAGAAGAGAGGTGACAGGGAGGCCAATTTATAAATTAATGTTTGACGGTATTAGAGGTAATTTGCTTGCTGGCATTAAACATATAGTTTCTACATATATCACAGCATACTCTTAATACCACAACATGAATTTAATAAGTTTACCTTGAGTCTTGATTCTTAGTAGATTTTAAAAGAAAGATAATTTTTTTGGAACACAATAGTATTCAGATTTGCCATTTATACAGAGGAGTACAACTGTGCTCTAATCTAAATTCATAATATCTTAAGGCTACTTTATCATTATTTCTCTAAATGTGTTTTAACCTCTGAAGTACAGTTACCACATTTGTCTGTTACTTGTGAAGAAAACTTTTTTTTAAAATGAGAAAGCTTATTCTATGTGCCAACAGGAATCTTTCTAGAGAGTGCTTTTTCTTTATTTTAAAATATTTTTTTCTGCTCTATTCTTTCTTTTCTGTCTTTCAGAGATTCCAAATATACATATGTTAGACCTTTAGATCTGAGGCCTTGAGACTCTGTTCATTTTTCTTTTCAATAATTTTCTTTTCTATTCTTCAGATCAGATGGCTTGTATTATTTTCAAATTCACTGTCATGTTCTTCATCACCATCCTGCTGTTAAGCCCTTCTAACACATTTTTAATTTATTATATTTTTCACTTATACAATTTTCATTTTATTCTGTCTCATAGTTTCTGTTTCTTTGCTGATATTATCTATCTTTTCATTCATTACAAGAGTGTCTTCCTTTACCTCATATAACTATAATAGCTGCTTTAAAGTTTTATCTGTGAAATATAGTCATCTGTGTTTGGCTTCTTTAATTGTTTTTTGTCTTGTAAATGTATCATATTTCTCTAGTTTTTCAGATATTGAATACTTTTTCCTTGTATTCCGGACATTGTGTATGTTTTGTTGTGGAGACCGTAGATTCTTCTGAGTGTTACATTCTTCTGAATAATGTTGATGTTTTTGTTTTAGCAGGTAATCAACTTGATTGGACTCAAACTGCAAATTCTGACTCTCAGGCACCTGTGAAAGCCCCATTTCAGTTCTGTTTTTTCTTAACTGGGCTGTTTTCAGTCCATATCCCATGCATGTGGAGCTCAGAGGTCAGTCAGAAATTTGGGCATAGTTTATGTACAGAATTTCGAGCTTGCCCGGATTTCCCCTCTCTAAGAGTTCCCTCTTTCTCTCTAATGGCTATGGTTTCCTGGAACCCTATGCTAAGGTTCTTGTGTCCAGAAAGACTGTGTGTTTCTAGTGACTCTAACCACCCTGCATGGTGCCTTGACTGCTACCCAACCTCAGGTTCACAGCCTAAATAAATAATCCTCAAAAAATGGGAAACTCACTCCATATAGGTCCATTCTTCCATTTTGGACCCCTTGTAAAAAGTTGAATGCTTTTACTCACCCCTAGAAGGTTCAAGTATTTTTGTTTCTGTTTTATTTAAAGTTTACAGTTGTTACATGCAGGAGGGTAGGTTTCAGTAGGCGTATACTCAGTCATACCAGAAGCAGAACTCCCGCTGTATTCTTGCATTTCAATTTCTATTACTTTCAATGAGATTCAGATCATTAAGACTTAATAGTAAGAGTCCTTTGAAAATAAAGCCTGTAGAATTTTACTCTAGTTGTATAATATATTACATTGTTCTTGAGTGATAGCTATTGTGCACAGCTGCAAAGGTTTACTAGGTCAATGTGTTTTGGATTAACTAGTGTTACTAGTAGTAAATGCTAACAGTTTAAAATTATTTAAGTATTTTTAAGCTTCACCTAGTGTAAACAAATTATTGCATGTATTTATGATTATGGAATTTTAATTGAATAATTGTGATAATCCTTCATGGAAAAGTAGGAATAGAAATCAACTCCATGAATTAGCTGATAATATTTCCCACCCTATTTGGGATTGACTAGGACATATAGGAAAAGTCATTCACTGTGACCCATTTGAGGAACGTCAGTCCTTAGCAAGCTCTGACCACATGATAAGAACCACCTAGGATTGTTAACAATCATAAAGACTAAGTTTTGAATGCCAAAGACACTTTCATCTTAAGTGGAAATTTATTTTGCTATTTCTCTTTTTGAGAGTCAATGCTCTGGGACCCAAATATCTCACAATTATCTCTCACTGAGTACAACGTTCTCTTATCATGTATCAGATAGAAACTGACATTTCCTTTGATAATTGCTTTCTTTCCAAATAATCTATAACACAAATCTGATTATGTTACTCATGCTGAGCACCTTCCGTGGCTTTGCACTGCTTGTAAGATCAAGTTCACATCTAATCCATTCTGCCTGCCTCTCTATCCTTGTTTCAAGGGACTCTTCCCCAGTCCTCTGTATTTCAAAAAGGCACCGTGCTTTTTCTCAGCTCAGGCCTTTGTGCTATGTTATGGTCTGAATGTTAGTATGTCTCCAAAATTCATACATTGAAGTCCTAATCCTCAATGTGATCCTTTTGGGAGGTGGGGCCTTTGTGAGATAATTAGTTTAGATGAAGTTATGAGGGTTGCATCTGCATGATGGAATTAGTGTCCTTATAAGAGAAAGAGAGAGGAGTTGAATCTCTTTCCGCCACGTGAGGCTACATCAAGAGGTCACCTGTCCACAAACCAGGAGGAGGGCCCTCACCAGAACCCAACCGTGCTGGCACTTTGAGTTTGGACTTTCAGCCTCCAGAACCATGAGAAATAAACTTCTGTTGTTTAAGTGTTTAAGCCACCCAGCCTACAGTATTTTGTTATGGCAGCCTGAGCTGAGTAAGACACTCTAGTTCTTCCCTTTGCATTGAATATGCTGTCCTTGTCCTCTCTGTCATGAGTCTCCCCTTCCCCAGCTAACTTTTACTTGTTTCTTAAAAATATCATGTCCTTAGGAAGCCTTCCTTGACCACCTAAGCTCCCCACTTGCCCACTGTTAGTTAAGTTCCCATCTTATAAACACCTAAAGATAATATGCATTATGCAATAGTAAAGATAATATCTCTTATCATATATCAGATAGAACCTGACATTTCCTGATACCACGTAATGCGTCTTATGTTCTGCAGCATTCCTCACAGGTAACCACTTAGTATCTGCTTCCCTGCTCATTATAAGCATCATGAGATGATGGCAGAGACCTTACCCATCTTGCCTACTGCTGAGTGCTTAGTAAAATACTTGGCACATAATAAAAGTAAAATTTGTTCAATGATAAAATGAAATGCCCTGCATGGTAGCCACATAAAAGAGTGTTGATTACTTGAAGAACTGGGCACATTCTGCAGGGTAACAGTGAAGTCTATCTATAATCTTTCATGTTCTTACAGCTTTCTGAAAAGCAGTGCTGTCATTGAAATGCCTGCCATAAACATTACACAACAGTAAGACAATTAATACCCTTTTTGTGTTGTAATTTCGTATCAGACAGATCTTTCCATTTCATGTAAAAAACATGATCTTTGTCTGTGCCTCTCTTTACTGTCAGAATATGAAGCTATGAATTTTGCATATTAGCAGAAATATTACCAGAGTGATTTTGTTTCTTAAATGTCTCAAGTTAATAATCTGCTGTTTGGTCTTTTAACCTTGAGTTTCCATGTCTCCACTTGTAAGAAATCACTTTTTAAAAAGCATATATATTTCTCATTGTTATGAAAAAAATTTGGGTAGCAGATTTGAGAACACAATATTTTAACTTTTTAGTTTATTCTGTTCTCTAGTTTGAAAAATAAAACAATTGAAAACGTAAAAAGACAATTATAGTAGATATATTTCCTCTTGTTTTTGGAGAAATGCCAATATTGTGAGGCACTTTCCCAATCCTTTTAAGCAGAATATGAGTTGATTTATTAATAGTTATGTGCTCAGTGAGACACAGCAAGAGGAAAGAACAGATAGGCTTGAATCTATCTGGCTCTGTGTTTCATAAGCTGTGTGTATTGAACCTCATTTTATTAATCTAGAAAATGGGATAATAATATGTACTTTGAAGGGTTATTTTGAGAATTGAAGATAATGTATTTAAAGCACTAGCACATGTAAGCACTTAAAAAGTTTCAGCTATTTCTTATAAGTGGAGGCATGGAAAGTCAACCAGACATTGTTGTTAGGACTGCCTCTTAATAGACTGGGTGAGATTTCTGGGTGAAGCAATGTGGGAAATATTTACTACATAAAGGTAAATAGCATGTGAGTCCTCTGCCTGCTGGGTTAATTTTCTTGATTTACTTTGACTAACTAGGACTTACTTGCTTTTGTCTTAACAAATAATGGGACTGGACGTGGTCATAAATAATACATCCTAATCCTGAGAAAAACTAATTTAAGATACGGCTGTACTAAATGCAAAAAAAAAGTCTGGCTAATTTATTCCTTTAAGATTTCAGTCCTTTAAGCTTATGAATTAAATGACTCTACCCTTGAAACTTTATATTGTTCTCCAAGGGTTAATTTATAGCCTTGATGGGAAGAACTCTATAGGGTACTTTTTTGATACTTTAATTGGCTAATAAATTTTAAGATCCAGAGCCACTCTGAAATATTAAACCTTCAGTTTAAATTACAGTTTTGCCCCTTTCTGATTTTGTTGGGTTTGATATATTAAATTTAGAGTAAATATATAAGTTTACAGAAGGAGTTCAGTACATTTGTTTCTTTGATATGTATAAAAAATTCAAAAACCACTTATTACATTCCCTTGCTGAAAATTAATTAATGTGGCAATTAGGATAAGGTAATAGTGATTTTAAATAGTAGTAATACTTTAATTTTATTATAATTAGATTATCAGAAATAATATAAATTATAACTTGATTTTAGATTCATTGTCCTACTGGTTCATAACTTAGGAAAAGCTAAAAAATACAATAATAATATAAAAACGAATTCATTCCTTAATGAATGTTTTTCCTACAGAAGAAAACATGCTTATAATAGTAGCTTGTAATCAACATTTATGGAGCACTTCCTATGTTGCCAGGCAGTATTCTAAGAGATCTGGATTAATTAACTTGTTTCATTTTCACAACACCCTGCATGGAAGGTATTGCTCTTATCCTTATTTCATGGATAAGAAAAATTGGGAGTAGCATGGTTAAGTATCCTGTCCAAAATTCTCCACTAGTAAGTGGCCAAGAGGCTTGGCCCGGGATCGGGGAGCCTGAGGGTCAGGTTCCCCGGAAACAACTGCTGAAGACAGACGTAGTTTATTGGTGTGTGCTCTTGGGAACAACACCTGGACAGCAGTGAGGGCAGCAGGGTCGGGCGTAGAGGAAGGTGAACCATGATGCAAACACAGCAAGACCTCAGTCTCTCCTGTAGGGAGCTCTGGGATGGAGGTGCCCTTCAGATCTGTGCTCAGTTGAGTCAGGGGGCTGCCCCTGAGGAAGGGGCATAGCCTTGCGTGAGGAAGCTCCCTTTAGCTGAGGGCATTTTTCTGGGGGACACCACACTGCCTGATGGAGGAACGAGTGCCTGGGCTTGAAAGGGGATTCTGGGCAGGGCACTGGGCCATCCACTGCAGCCCACCTGTGACTGTGACCTTATTTAGAAATAGGAACTTTGTTGATGTAAGTTAACGCTCTGAAGATGAGATCACACTGGATTTAGAGTGGACCCTAATTCCAGTTATTGGTGTCATGAGACAAGGGAAAGGGAAGTTCGAGACAGGGGAGAAGGCCCTGTAAAGATGGAGGCAGAGACTGGAGTTACACTGCCATAAAGCAAGAAATGCCAGGAGTCACCAAAAGCTGAAAAGGGCAAGGCAGGATTGTTCCTTAGAGCCCTTGGAGGGAGCATGGCCCTGCTGATACCTACTTACCTTTAATATCGGCTCAGATTTAAGATTTCTGTCCTCAAGAACTGTGAGATAATGAATTTCTGTTGTCTCAAGCCAGTTAGTTTGTGGTACTTTATTATGGCAGCCTAAGGAAATGAATATAGCCCCTCTTGGGCTTCCTGGGTCCACTTACTTCCTAAATGTTTGTTTATTCCATCCGGGAACTGCTCCTCCAGGATTCTGGACTCTGGTTGGTTTCTTTTTCTGGGGAAACTTACAAGAAGATCAGTGGGAGGGGCCGTATCTCTCTGCTGCAGATGGTTTTGGGACTACAGCTGATACTCATCATCTTCCGCTTCTCCTGCCCATTCTAGAATCCCCTCACGCTTGGCTAGCACCCCTCTCTGTCAAGGTGGTGTGACTCAGATCTTCATCCCGGAAGGGTCAAACACCTGAATACCATAACCCTTCTAGGGCTGTATCCACTACATTTGTCCATTTGCTATCAAAATTGGGCAAGGCGCACCAAAAAACATTTCCATATGTCACCTGGGTGTCAAATGAATTCTCCCCTGTCTGCATTGTATAATATTAGCTCTCCCTTCCTCTTAATGATCAGAGTCCATTATTCTTGATAGCATAGTAACTTCTTTCCTTGCAGCTGGTCACTCGGCACAAGAAGACCGAATGACCAACCAGATAGCGGCCTCTGCTTAGTTTAACGGAATGATCACTGTGTCCCATGATGAAGTGCTCCCCAACTCTGGGAATCAGAATGTCTGGATGCACTGAGCCCAGAGTTGTGGTGGTGGCCAAGGTTTTTCACATAGAGTTGGAGTGGTCAGTAGAACCAGCTATGCAGAAGGGATGCTTTGAAGTAACCCTAGCCTGAGGATTTCTGGAGCAGCAGCTGAAGAGATGATAGAGCCCACCCGATTGGCTTTCCCCATTTCTGTAGGCTCAGGGAGGTGCTGTAGCTTATCCAGGGTCACACAGCTGAGCAGCAGCTGAACTAGGCCCTGGACACTCCCATCTTGGTGAGGCACTGTGTTGCTTCCCCTTACTTCACATGGATTAATTTTACTTAATAATGAAAATGAGTTGGCTGGTACTTAAAATATACATTTCTGTTGAATGATTTTCAAATTTGGTTTCTAACTGAAATGTTATTCTAATGAAGTCAATTGAGAGATTTTATTCTCTGTGTGATGTGATATGTGTGTGTATGTGAATGTGTGTGTATGTGAATGTGTATGTGTGGGTGTTTGTGTGTGTGTTTGTGTATTGTGGGCAGGGTGGGGTCATCTCTGAAACCTACATATTTAATATGGGTTTTCATATCCAAGGCAGTTTTACAAAGTCTTTATGCTTCCGTCAGTGTTAGCAGTTCATTAAAAAATTACTATTATAAAATGAACTTAATTGTAGACGTTTTGGTGAGAGAATGAGTCTTTCTCTTGCAGTTAGTCTTAATGAACAGTTTCCTGGAAATGTTGTGTATGCCAAAAGTTTAGGGGAAAAATGAGGACTTTCTAATATGTTGACAAAAAGGTAGTGTTCTTTAAAAATGGCTTAAAATATCCCACAACATTTGATTTAATTTAATTTAATTGTTACCTGCTAGCTGAGATTACAGTGGATAGATATACTGACAATTGTCTCAGTTGTCTTTAAGAATATGACAGAGCTCATTTCTAGGATGCTTTTATTATTATGAGATTTAAAAAGAAACAATTGGAACCAAGATTACTTTCATACTGTTCTGTAGTCACAAATGTTAGACTTGGAAGAGATCTCAGTACAGAAAATTACAATCATTGTCAAGGGGATAAAGTATAGAAGAGAAAACAGCCTTTTAAAACTGTGGATTATTTACATATGTGTGACACTGTTGACAACCAGCCAGAGAGCTGCTTTGTGGTTTCATGTCCTGAAGCTTTGCTGTCATGTTAATTAATAACTTCTTGCAATCCAAACCACCTTTTTTTGCCCAGAGCTGTACTTTAATAGCAAGTTGTTTTTGTTAGAGACTAACAGGACATGAGGCGTACAATATTTGTAGTAGTGTAGTAGAATCCTTAATGCCATTACTATTGAAATAAGAAGATGATTTTTCAGTCTGAAAGCTCCAGCAGTGTTCAAATCACCGACCTAACTATGCATCACCTTTAAAATCTGGACTGTGAGCATTGCTGTTCTCTGCTTCTGCTTGCATATTTTTTCCACACTTTTTGTGAAGATTGGGCACAGATTTGCATGAACAATTACTCTTCCAGGGAAAAGTTCAATCTCACACTCTAAAGCATTCTCTAAAGTTTAGAGAATGGAAAAGACACAAAACAAATGCTCTGCACGTGACCATAATGCGACTTTAGTTTTGAGGATGGCAGAGATGTTTGCTCTCTGAGACAGATGTCCTCTTAGGATTGTGCATATGTGTCTCAGGAGGGCCAATGGATATTAAATTCAACCCTGGATTTATTAACTGAAAAGTAAAAATCATCTGTGACTGAGGATAGCCAGTTAAGGTACTACAATAAACCATTTCTAACTCAGTTATAGACATAACTCTTGTTATAGCTGACCTTGAAAATAAAGGGAAGCATGGTTTGATCACAAGTGGGAAGCCTTTCACACCAGTTGCCCTCATGCTGTGATATGAAAAGGGTATTATCAGGAACATATTTTTAAACCATAATTTATTTCAGACCTATGCTGCAATAAATAACACACATGAACCTTAACATATGCAAATAATAGGGAGTAATCTTTGTATGAGTAATTTTACACATTGTATAGATTGTGGAATCATTCTGAAACAAAAACTGGGCTGTCGGAGACACTGTGGAGTTGAAACATTTTTAATGTGTGATTTTAAGCAAGTCAGTTTGTCCTGAACCCACATGGCAATGGTTATAAAATCTAGCCAGCACACAAAGAAATAAAGGATGTGAAATTCTGGGCCAATTAATAGAAACCATTTGTAGGTTTCTTCTCTTCATCCACCGTGAAGGGCTGGAAGAAGGTAAGTTTTGATGTTAGATTGCTTCTGTAGTGCAACTGCAGAAATCCAGTGATCCAGCAGATCCTTGTTCAGGTTCCTTCTCTTGATATCCAAATGTGGTTGCCCAAATCCAGTCTACCTGAAGCTCTAGCTATACTGTAATAATTGTTAGTTAACTTTGACCAAGTATTACAAAGGGAAAAGTATGGTGGTAGGTGGTAAAATCTTTTTCAGAATCCTTAGTCTTGCTTCATGAATTCTTTCTTTGGGGGGAAGATGGTTTGACAAACATAAATTTATGATAAATCTAATTTAACTACAGGTATTAGTTAAACTTTTAGGACTTTTCCAATAATAATTTTCTTGAGATACATAGCTTATGAGATGAGTGACATATGTACAGCAGCGTTAAAACTTTGTACTCTAAGTAAATATTGGTTAAAATTGTGTATAAGCCATTGAAGTCTAAAAACCTCATGCAAGGTAATATCAGAATTAGCTGACAGATCTTATTTAATATTAGTCACAGCTGTTTGACATTTTTTTTTTTTTTGAGACAGGGTCTTGCTCTGTCACCCAGGCTGAAGTACAGTGGTGCAATCATGGCTCACTGCAGCCTAGAACTCCTAGGCTTAAGTGATCCTCCTGCCTCAGCCACCTGAGTAGCTAGGACTACAGGCAAGTGCCACAACATCTGGTTAATTATTTTATTTTATTTTTGTACAGATGGGGTATTGCTTTGTTGCCCAGGCTAGCCTCAAACTCCTCAATTGAGGCTCAATTGATCCTCCAAGCTCAGCCTCCCAAAGTGCTGGAATTACAGGAATGAGCCACTGTGCCTAGCTAAAAATTGTTGAATATTAAGAGATTCCTTCCTTTCTTTCTCTTATCTCTCTGCATCTTTCCTTTTCTTGCTTCTTTCATTCTCTTTCACAATCACTAATTCATTGTCATTCACTCATTCATTCAACTGTTTATTCACCACCCACTACGTCTCAGGCCCTGTTGTAGAAAGCTGATGATACAAGATGGTAGTCAACAACTTTTAGGAGTTGTTTTCTTGTGGGAGAAGACAGACAGAAAATAGAAATAATGAAATAGAAGACTGTAAAAAGTGCTATAAAGAATAAAAACAGCAGGATGGGCTCAAGAGTGGCTGGGGACAAGGTGATGTGCTCTTATTGAGAGTAGGAAGGAAAGGTTTGTCTAACAGGATGATGTTACAGTTGAGAACTGAATGATAAGGAGGCAGCCATGCTAATACTACCTGGGAGAATGACTTCGAAGGTGAAAAGGACCAGTAAGTACAAAGGCACTGAGACAGGTAGGAGCTTGCTATGGTCAAGGGACAGAAGGAAGACCACTGCTGTTGGAGCTTTGTGATCAAAGGGGAGAACAGGTGAGGGCCAGGTCATGTAGGGTGTCACAGACTGTGATGAGAGATTTGGATTTGTTCCAATCAAATTGGAGGGTATTGAGAGTTTAAGCAAGAGAATGATTTGAAACTTACAAGTACATATTAAGAAGATGTTGATTCTCATTCACTACATCACAGAATATCCAATTAATGAGAATACAGTAGAGAAATTCCTTTCAGGTCTTAATATGGGGAAAATCTGAATTTTGAAACAACATAATTCTCCATTTGATATGACCTCTAGGAAGTTCAAAGCTAATTTGCATCTTTCCTCCAGTAATTATAGATTATTGTACACTGTTGTATTGAATACACTTTTTAAAATTTTAAATTAAATGTCATAAATTTTGGACATTTATGACATCCAAAAGTAAAAAAAAAATAGAAATTTTTATATTGAGAAGATGTTTGCACTCCTGTGTCTACCCAGTTCACCAGCCTCCCTTGACCCCAATAAACAACCTTTTCTCTTACTTTCTTATGTCTTTCCAGTGTTTCTCTGTGCATATACAAGCAAGTATAAATATATATATGCTATTTTTCAGCTTTATCGAGGTATAATTCTCAAGTAAAAATTGTATATATTTAAGGTGTACAACTTGATGTTTTGATATATATGTAAGTTGTGAAATGATCACCACAATTAGGCTAATTAACATATTCATCACTTTACATAGTTACCGTTTCCTTCCTTCTTCACGTCTCTCCCTTCCTCTCTTCTTCCACCAGTCTCTAAGTGCCTTCACAATAGCATGATCCGTATTTTAGTAGTCCTAGGAAACCAATGCCTGGTACATAGTAGGCAATAAATATTTGGTATTTTAATGAATAGTTTGTAATATGTTACTACTGTGCCTAGGAGTCCTAACGAATAGAGCCAAGTTGGTATTCAGAGAAGGAATCAGTGAATAAATTTAATAAATTAGTTAATAAATGTAGGATTTTTATTTTAGGAGAAACCGTTGTATCAATAGCAATAAAGAAATATTATCATTATGAAATGGACTAATCTTGTCTTATTTAGCTGGATGCTAGTATAACATAAATTAACATGATATCCCATCAAAACATGACTTTAGAGCAAATGAAATTCTATACTGTATGGCAGGTGAGGATTTTAATGAACATATTCATAAATAAAAGTGTCCAGTGAATAATTAGAAGCTAACATAGAGAAATGGTCAGGCAAAAGAATGATTCTGAGGAGAAAATTCTGCATTGGGGACCTTTAGATGACATGAGTGTTCAAAGAAAATCCTGGAAAAAATTTTAAAAGAAAATGCTTAAACTTTTCTATGTGTAATCATATATGATTGTAACATGCATTCAGTAATACTGCTGCACATTTTGGACTTGATTATTTTATGATTTGTATCTAGATGAGCTGAAAAAACATTCTAAACCATTCAAAATGTGATATTACTGCTCATGAAACATGTATGTGCAATAAAACTCTCTAGTCATTGGGTAAGAATGTCCGGCTGGAGAACTGCCCATATTTAATAATCCTTTTGTATATGAAACAACTAATCAGAGAAAACTGTGGACACCAAATAGCAAGCTGATGAGGTTTTGCTTTTAGGGTAATGGTGGTCAGGCATTGAAACCAACTACCTAGTCAGACTCATTTAAATGTGTACCTGCCAGATTTTACACATCACAATGACTAAATGTGCATGTATCTTCAAAACTGTTTCATGCTATTCAATAATCTTGGCATGAACATATGACAGAATGATTTCATCGGACTACAGGGATTATGATATTGAATATCATTCTGCAAACATTTATAAAGCATTTAAGATATACCTTGTTTTAAACAAGTCTGATTTATAAAAATACACCTATTTTATGAAGAGATTATTTTCTTTATAAATGATTTCTTCAAAATTGCCATTAGGTGTAATTTTCGTCATGCATTCAAATTATAATTCAACCTACAAATATCTATTTTCATTCCATTTTTTCCAGAAACATGTAAATATATTAAGTATTATACTTGGACATAATATACCTCTTTGTTCTTGGTAAAATTACAAACATTGTTTAAACTTTTGACATTTCTGCAAATTCCTTACAAGAATTGGCTAATGCTTCTTTTGAATATTTTCATTATTTTAGCAATTTTAATTGATAGGCTTCCATGTTTAAATTATTACAGTGGCTATAGAGTATGTATTTAGAGTTAAAGCCACTTAAAATATAGTGTAAAACAGTAAATTATTGAGATATACCTTATTTTGCTAATAGGAAATATAACCTGGTATCATTTCATGCCTGGCAATCCTTGCTCACTTGTAAAAGACTGAAGTTAAATATGCAACTTAGTAGTAGGAACTCTATCCAAAGTATAGGACAACTTGACAGCCATCAGGTGTATTGTATATTAAGCTTATAAATTATTTTCTATTCTATACCAATATACTCCATAAACATATAAATGGATTTTATAGCCTTGCACACATTTTGATTTTTTCTATTTAAAAAATGTATACCAGATTAGTTGGAATGATCTCTGGATGTAATTGGAACTATCTCTTCCTGTGGATTTTCTTCAAATTATTCTTTAATCAGGAATCTTGTGTAAACTTCATAGATGCTGCACTAAATACTGTACCAGATGCTGAGAAAGTTTTTGTGTATAATACTTAATACCTGTGAATATGGGAAAGAGAGCTCTCTTGGAACCTTGTTGACCAAGTATTACTTATATGCCAGTAAAGGAAGCTAAAATAGAAAAGGAATTAGAGTAAAATCTAGTTAAACCTTAAGCTTCCTTTTGTATAAGAAGTATAAATACACTACCTATATTTCTTGAACTAAAACAAAAAGTCTTGTCTCTGTTTCTTAAAACCTAGCTTTAAGAATAATTGTCTCATTTGATTAATAAAAATATTGAATATAAACAGTCTGGTTTTTTAAGTTGGCAAAAAATAGTTCAGCTTTTAGAGCTATCATTCTAATCTACCTAAGATGAAATGCACTTAGCATTCGAATAGATCAGTTTTCCCATAGGTCTTACATGTCTTGCTGGGTATGCCAAGAATGCAAGGTCCTGACCACTCTTTACCTGGATTATTTATCAGGGTTGCATTTTCAGCAAGCGGTCTCGAGGGATGAGGTAATGTCTCCATTCAGGATGAAGAGCTGGCTTCGTTACCGCTTGCTATAAAGTGATGGGTTCTTTAGGCTCAGTGTTCCTACTCTATCTGTGTGCAGGCATCATCTGGCCATCTATTTTGCCCTTAAAACTTAGACTTGGGTAATTGATATGAATATGCTGATATGCGGCTACCACCTTTGCTATGAGTAATGAAGGCTTTCATCTCTGATCCAGGAGTCTTCTGTCTTCTCTCAGCCTCTAAACTGGGTAATTGTAAGAATCACCTTGTTTCTCTCAGCCCAGGGATCACAATTTTGTCTTGCTTGTTCTCTGATGTCTGAGAGGAGCTAGTTCCTATATTTTGTCCAGTTTTCTAGTTGTTTATGACAAAAGGGTAAGTCCAGTCCCAATTACACCAGCATGCTGGGAAGTAGAAATTTGAAACTTAATTAATTTAAATTAATTAATTATTTTTGGGCGGTTATCTGTTAAAATTTATCATCTTTTCCTTATCAACAGCAACAAAAAATATACAGCTTTTAAAGCCTCTGTCTGACAATGCAGCTTTAATATCTGAAGCTTTATGGATCTGTTGTTTCTAGTGTATTTTTCTTTTTGTCTTTTTTCTTTGTATTCCTGGTTACCTTTGATTGTATGTGGATATTGTGTTTGAAAAGCTGTTTGCAAAAATACTTTGAGGCCCAGCATGATGAGGCATCCAGGCTCTAAGATAGCCCCCAACGACATCAATCCTTGTGTATTGTCCTTTATTGAGGGTGAACTGGACTTAGTAACTCACTTCTGACTAATAGAAAATGGTAGAAGTAATGGTATGTCACTTTTTTTTTTTTTGAGATGGGGTCTTGCTCTGTCACCCAGGCTGGAGTGTAGTGGCGTGATCTCAGCTCACTGCAGCCTCCGCCTCATAGGTTCAAACAATTCTCCTACCTCAGCCTCCCAGGTAGCTGGGATTACAGGGGTGCGCCACCATGCCTGGCTAATTTTTGCATTTTTAGTAGAGACAGGGTTTCACGATGTTGTCCAGGCTGGTCTTGAGCTCCCGACCTCAGGTGACCCACCCGCCTTGGTCTCCCAAACTGCTAGGATTACAGACGTGAGCCACTGCACTTGGCCAGTATGTCACTTTTGAGATTGTGGCTTCCATATTGGACTCCCTCTTGTGCTCTTGGATCCCTCTGGGAGAAGCACATTGAGAGCAGCCCTATGGTGAACCCACACAGTGAGGAACTGAAGCTCCTGCCAACAGTCAGATGAGTCAACTTGGAGGTGGCTCCTTCAGACCCAGTCAAGGCTTACATGATTGCGGCTCGATCTGGCACCTTGATTGCAGCCTGTTGGAAGTCCTGAAGCAAAACCACCAAGCTAAGCTACTCGTAGATTCCTGACTCAAAACTGTGAGATGATAAATATATCTTGTTTTAAGCCACTAAATTTGGAATAATGTTGTATGCAGCAACTGATAACTAATGCAGATGATGATCTCTTTTTAACAGTATTTAAACCTTCTGCCAGTTGCCTGGGGGTGCTAACACTTTAGGAAACCTGGGGAGACTAGGAGGTAGAAAGATCTCTTTTCCAGTCTCAAATATTGCAATAATTCAAAGCTGAGTTGCAAGGGCGGAAGTTGTGGTTCAGCTTTACTCCTCAGGAACAGCCTTTAGGGATCACAGCCAAAAGTGAGGGAGTCCAGCAGGGCTTTCCCCAACCCTTTGTAGGCCCTGAAGACCAACCTCTGTGGCCTGGGCACCAAGAGGATATTGCAAATCCTGTTCAGCCTCAGTCTCTAGTTCTCCCTGCTGGAACCCATGTAAGTTCCCATGGAAAGAAGTTGCTTCAAATTTGTATTTACCTAGACTCCTTTCCCAGTAAATCTTTACTATACGTGAGAGATCTGTGTGCCTTTAATGGGTTGTTTCTTTAAATATTTTGTCCAATTTTTCTAGTCATCCTCTGAGAGGATTTAATCACTTAGTTTCTTAGTTTTCTGTTCTATATTAATATATTCCATAAACATATAAATGGACTTTATATCCTTGCACACATTTTGATTTTTTTCTATTTAAAAAATGTATACCAGGTTAGTTAGAATGATCTCTGGTTGTAATTGGAGCTATCTCTTGCTGTGAATTTTCCTCAAATTATTCTTTAATCAGGAATCTTGTGTAATCAAAAGTAGGAATCAAACTCCACATTCATTTCTCTCAGAGAAGTTAAAAAGCAATGAGGGAAAAGTTTTTTTCCTGCAAATACTACTTAAGTCGCAAAGCATTTTTGGTGATATGTTTCAGTATGGCTGTTTATTGAATTCTATAGGAATTCAGTGTCCCCTCTATCTAACATGCTGGAGGGTGCTTTTTTGGTGACCAGTCTAATTTTGCCTGCTCACACATTTTACATGGTGACATTGCCGTTTTCCAACAATACATGGGCATTAAGGTGTTAATTCTGACGTTCAATCATTTTCCAACTCGTACTTTGGACGGATAGACTTGTATTTTGATGTTACTTGGGTAATAGGGAACTAAATATCATATTCTATCTCTTTGAATATTTGCTATTCTCTGCAAAGTCACTATTGATGGTTTTTATTTTTACACATGTTTTTTAGTAAAGAAGTAAATAAGCTTGTTCTGAGTTAAGCATAAAATCCAAATCACATGGAATCTATATGAAGTCTCTATGCTGATGTATATAGAGCCCTGACTTTTAAAAATTTGTTGTATTGTATCAACTTTAGTTTGGGGAGAGAGACAGAAGGAGGGAGAGAGAGACAGAGAGAGAGAGAGAGAGAGAGAGAGAGAGAGAGAAAAGAGAGAATAGCTTACAGGATTTTTAGTTTACCTAATGACCTCTGCCTGTACTATTTGTACTAAGACTTAAGGGATACATTTCTATTAGCATTTTAATAGCTCAGTACTGTTCTCCAAAAGATTCTGATTCTCCTTCAAGAAATCAATGAAAAGAGGCTTCGTTAAAGAGTTTTGAAATTGTTAGCGTACAGTTTTTATTACATGCTCCTACTTAGTTTTGTTAAAAATATGTCAGGCTTGGTATGAATTAGTTTCATGACAATAAAGTGTTCATTCTCTAGTCATGCAATTTATGTCCCGGAAAAATGCTATGATAGGGAAATTAATAGTTGGGGATCTTAAGGCCTTATATTGGGGGAAAAAAGCCTATATAATTTTTTAAAGAAGTAGATTTATGTATATTGATTTAGAAAATGTGCTGATATATTCTGAATGAAAAAAGCAGTTGTATAGTATGCTGCCATTGGTGTAGAACAAAAACAAAACCCTCCAAATTCCTGTGTGTGTGTGTGTGTATATATATATACACACACTTATATATATACACATAAGTATGTATATACTTATGTATATACATAAGTATGTACATATGTATACACCTACTTATAAATGTAAACAAAATGTTTAGAAGGATACAGAGGAAATTGAGGAATGGGGTTGAGGATTTGGTATGGGGAAGAGTCTTACTTTTTCATGGTTCATCTTTGAGGTTTTGGCTTTTTCTCATTTCATGTCATTTTCCCAATTAACTAGCTAGTTACTTTAAACATTGAGCATATACATATTAGTTGTGCAATCTTACATTAGTTGTAGAGAACTGTATACAATTATTTCATTTTATCATCTTGTTTTAGGATCTCTCGTTCATAGTCTTTTTACTACATATTGGGTTTATACATTTATGTCTTTAGCTATGGATAGTATAAATTTTAAATCTATTAGATAATGTTTTCCCCTCTATCCCAGTGTTTAATGCTTTCTGGTTATATGTATTAAAGTTGCTAAATCTCCCTAAGCAACATTTTGGATTGGAACAGTTGTCAATTTGTATATACAAAATCCAGAGTCAGACATTCTGGAAGGAATTTAAATTCTATCACTTAATAGCTGTAAGACCTTGTATGGGAAATTTAACCATTTCCAACTCTTCTGTCTCTCTGTCTGTCCATGTGCATAGAGTCAACATTCACAACTATTTTTCAGACCCTCAGTTTTCTCTCAGAGAACATAAATAATGACGCCATCTTTCTTACCTACCTTACATGTTTGTGATGAGCAACAAAAGAGAATATACATGAAAGCTTTCGTATGTTGTAAAACAATATGCAAACATAAAGTGTGATTGTTCGTAGTCCTTTGCTTGACTGTAAAGTGTTAAGTAAAGACTACTGAGTTGAGATGTCCAATTTTCCCATATTTTGAAATAAGAAAAGACATTGAAGGAGTCAGATAATATTTATGAAGCCAAAAATCTAAGGCAAAAATTGGATGTATCATTTGTAACTTGAGACAAAGAGCAACCAAAGATACTCTATGTTAAGGGGATAAAAATTCTGGATAATAAAAGATATTTGTTGTACTGAAGAGAAGGGAAGGAAGGCATCTCATCTTGTTGGGAGTGGGGCGGGTGAGGTGGGTGTGTTCCCGCCAGGTGGTTTCTGTCCCTTTCCTTCCTCTGAATTTTAAAAGCATGACCTCCCTCTTGTGCTTTTGATAAGTTTAACATCAAGTGCAGGGCCTTGAATGTCAGCTCCTGACCTCAGGGACAACTTTCTGGGAAGCCTTGGAAAGTGAATAAGTATGGGAAAGTCTTCCTCTTGCAAATGTCCCCTCCTCACCTATCCCTTGGACAATCCACTGAAAATGTCCAGGTTCTTGCTCTATGTTTCTCTAAATTATAAATACAGTTACTTAAGGATCTATGTGCTGCAGCCAGATGGTAATAATCTTAAGAGCACAAAGGAAAAAAAAGGCAACATCTTTATCCCTTCTTACAATACATGGATTTAAACCTATAATATTTAGAGTGTATTTCATTTTAGTTTATAAAAATATGTTCTATTTCTTAAATTTAATAACCTATATACCTTCTATTCTAAGTTATGATCTGTCATTATACTATGTCACAATCTTTTCCATTTTATATATTTTCTCTTTCTTTCCTACTCTCTTTCAGAAAATAGACTTAGCAGGATAGAAAAACAAATGTTAGCTTTTAAAGGGTAGATAAATATAAATTTCCCACTGAGATATACTAAATACTGATATGTCCTGAGATACAAAGTAGAGTTATTTGTTTTTATGGTTTCAGAACTATGTTTTATTATTTTTTTAAAAAGCTATATCCATCAGCTTTATTTAGCTAGGCCCTAGATGGCTATATATTGGATATATAACAAATGGACACTGAAGGAAAACAGAAATGATATTTCATAGAAGAAAAGGATAAACGTGTTTTCAATGAAAAACTCTACATTGTTAGATGACGGGCCTAAAATTGCATTTGAATTTTGGTGATACTATTGCTTAGTATGGGTCAGGGCCTAGGATTGGAAAGGGCTGTGCCTGAGTCCTCTTTGGGGCTTCCTAAGGCTGGTGGAAGTAGTTTTCTGAGGACCTGATGTTTGTCAGAAGCTTGTGATTCATATGTTATTCCTCTGCTCACTGGATTGCTTCTCCTTTTAAACACATTTGAGCTTTTCTTGGTCTGGAAGCCCATTTTGGGAACAATGGCATACAGTGATTCAATTATGTCTTTCAGTTGAAAGTGGAGGCTGAAAATAGGGTTTTTACATGTTCTGTAGATATTTTACCCTGCTAGTTTTTTAATTATTATTGTTTTAACCAAATAATATATAGATCAGCAACTTTTTCTTATTATATTCCTTTCCAGTTACTGGCATGAAGTTGTAGCTGGCAATAATAACATAGCTAAGATTTATTGACTTCTTACTATATGCTAGGCAATACCATTTAACTTTATATGGAATATCTAACCCATTTATGAGTCAGAAGCACAAGTTTCTGACAACCACCACATTTTCAGAAAACTATTTCCACCAGCCTTAAGATGCCCCAAAGAGAGCTCAAGCAGAGCCCTTTCCAGTCCTAGTCCCTGACCCATACTAAGTAATAACATTGCTAAAGTTCAAAGTTCTTCACTACAACCCCATGAGGTCAGTCCTGTTACTAAACCATTTTATAGATGTGGAAACTGAAGCTTTAATAGCAGTGAAATAATGTGCCTGAGGTCAAACAGATCATACATGGTGGAGTCAGGATGCCTAATTTGTGATATTAAGGAGGTTTACAAATGTCTCAGGAAACAAATCTCCCTTAGGAAGATGTTCCACTTCACATGGAAAATGTTTGTATCAGCATTGACAAAATCATTCAGCACAAAGTGTGTCTAAGAAGGGGTTGGAACTTGAGCTCATCAAAATAACACTTAGCATTTACATAGCAGTATACATTTGTGTTTTGCTTTGCTTTTTCCCTTCTGTATCCATCTCTAATTAAATCATTGGAGACTTTTGTCAGTTGAACCAGTATAATTAATGCCAGCTTAAGATGAGGCACTGAAGCTCAGGTTCATAGATAGGGTATTAATTCATTTGTAACAGTAGAAATGTACCAGTGATCTGTGTACAACCTTGGTATTGCTGAGCTATTCATGCTAATAATATTGGTTACAATGCAGAGAAAAGCTCCAATCAGCTGCTGGTCCATCAGGTGTAGAATTGGTGGCCTGGCAGATTTAATGTTGGGAAGACCCTACCTAAGTATTAGATTAGTACTTGTTGGGTTAAGTGGGTACATTTAGGTCTTGAATATTCTATTTTTACATCTGGATTGGGTTTTGTAAGTTGGAAACCATGAGCGAGAGAAAGAGAGGGAGATAGACATAGAGAGAGAGAGAGAGAGAGAGAGAGAGAGAGAGAGAGAGAGAGAGAGAATGTGTAGATACTGCTGGAGACAGAGAAAAGGACTGCCACATCTTGGAGCTGACCTTCCTTTGGCCCTCAGTCTCCTGCCACATCCCATTATGTAAATCTAACTAGAAGCCACTTCGCAGGGGTGCCTGAGAGAGGTAGCCTGCAGGGTCATTCCTGGGAAGGGCAAGGCAGAGCAGGGCAAGGGAAGGGAAGGGTCTGATATCAGACAGGGAGGACTGGCACATCATTTGTGGGGACGGTGGTCGGGGCTCTTTGCCTTTGCTTTCCCTTTCATTGAGAAGAGAAGAGCAAAAACTTTGATTTTTGGATTTTTTGATGATTTTTTTAAAGTCTCTTTTGTTTCTTTTTTTTTAATGAAACGTAAAATTCCTTTGAAGAAATTCTATAATGAGAGCTTTGAAGGCAGGAGTTTTATCACTTGGGCAAATGCTTCAATCCTAACCTTCCCTCTCAGGGTTTTTAAACGAGAGATTCTCAAATACACTCTACCTTCAGGGCTATTCCATTTTGTCGTGAGAATATGCTTCAGAGGAAGCATAACTCCCCTGACAAATCTAATGTTGAAATGTTCTATGGGAGCTGCTACTTTCTGATTTGGCTTATTTCCACACATGGGGAGTAGGAATTCTTCATAGTTCTTTAAAATTCTGGCCTCCATTGTGTAACTGCAAAGACATTATCTTCTTGGAAATGTAATAGAATATTTTGGGGTCAGTTGATGAAAGCAGTTATCACTGTAGTATTTTCTGTTGTGAAATCTCCATTTGGTATTTTTTAGATCAGAAGATTGGGTACATCAGAGTATTGTAATGATGTTTTCATTGTTTTTTGGGGATTAACTCTGCTGTGTATGCATCTGTGGAATATTTGTGTGTGCACCTGAGAAACTGCAACCTTAGAGGACAGTATTTGAACTGATACTACCACCAGTCTAATAAACTTTAGAATCAGTGAACATTCTAATTATCAACACTTGAAAACAGAGAATTCCATTTGTTTTATTTTCTTTAGAGTTTTCAGCATATATCTGCACATATTTGTATAGTATATGTAGATATTTGGATTGTAACATGGAATATCATTTAACAGCCATGTAAATACAGATTTCTAGATTTAATATGGTGTGTGCAAGAGACGGCATTTTATTTCAAAATTGAGCTCATCGACTTTTAGAATTTCATGAGTCCTGACTTGGCCAGACAATCATTCCCTTTTTAACTTCAAAGCAAACAAGATAAATCTCATAATGGGAAACACTGTGAGGTGCTTATATGATATAATGAACAAGAGAATATTAGCGCTTCTCTGTGAAATTAAGGCTTGGAGAAGAAAAACCGTAACAGCTGTTTTCCAGTTTGTCCTTAGGAAGCATAGAGCTTCTACATACTAAGTTTATGAACCAAGTAACTTGATTCCATAATGAAAATTCCATTCATTTGGAAATATGGGTCTGATTTTCTATTAATACAGTTATAGAATTTTATTTAGAATTTTAGCAAAATATTGTTTCTCTTTGGGTGATAGAAACTTGTTCTAAATTGAAGTATTTCATTTAAAAATAATGTTATACTAATTCTCTGCAGTTACCTTCCCCTCTTGTGTACTTTTTTCTTCTTTTAACTCATTTTAATTGGCAAGAAGGTGAATGAAACTTCAGTTTTCATAAAATAATGTATCCGAATTAACATTTATTTCTATATCTGAACATTTATTTCTGTATATGACTGAAGATTGATGTGGATTAAAAATAGGAAAAAAAGTTAAACAAAAAGGCAGAGGGCATACTGATGTAATTACAATAGTAGAGTGAATGGATTGTCCTGATTATCCAGATCAGTGGTTCTCAAGGTGTGGTCCCTGGACCAGCAGCATCAACAACACCAGAGAACTCGTTAAAAATGCAAATTCTCGTGCTCCCCCCAGGTGTACTGAAGCAGAAACTGGCAGTAGAAAGAGGCGGGGGAGAGAAGCAATTTGTGCTTTAACAAGCCCTCCAGGTGATTCTGTGGACCCTAGAATAATTACTGTAATTGGGTATCACTTGTCAATTCAGCTCACCCTGTTATAAGCCAGATGTAACAGATGGCATAGATACTCTAAAAAACAAAATCGTCAACACTACTGCTGCTGGTTGTTGGATTTGTAGAAGCTTTTCTTGTGAAGAAAAATTTGCATGGCTGTTTTGGGGATGAGCCAATAGTAGCTCTAAAGGCAGGGATGTGTGCGCCATTCTTAAATGTTGCCACGGAAGCATTAAGGCCATAGTGATGGGAGCTAGAGGAACCAGGCATGGGTGAGTACTTTCTCATTTAGTTAAAATGGTGCTTGCTTTTATTTGTGTCATGTTAATAGGATAAAAGAAGGTAATAGACATGAAAATGATTTGCACGACTTGATGGATTTAGAAAAGTTAGACAATTTAAAGTTAGCAGTTGAGGAAGATGTTTTATAAAATAAACTTTGAGTCAGAACTAGAGCTAAAGGGCATGAGGTTAGTAGATGAACTTGTTGACATCTATTTTGGGTTTACGGAGGCCTGTTTTCTTACTTTTTGGTTAGATGTGTTTGAAATTACTATATAATTAGACTATAAGTAGGTAAACTTATGTAAAGCACAACATAAATGAACTTGTGCATTTATTCAGTCAACAAACATTTAAGTGCTCTAGGGGCTGGGGAATCAACAATGAAGAAAACAGATGGTCATGCCTTCATGGAACTCATACTCTAGTGGGTTGCAGTTATATTTTAGTATGTACATGTTACAGGTAAGCTATACATGGGTACTTATGAGTAAACTGAGGTTGATTAGTGGAAAAAATCACAACGCAAAAAAGTCCCATATGGCAATAACAGTTTACCTACTTATAGCCCAAATATATTATAATATCAAACACATCTAACCAGAATGTAAGAAAAAAGTCCTCTGCAAACCCAAAATAGATGTCAACAAGTTCATCTACTAACCTCATGCCCTTTACCTATAGCTCTGACTCAAAGTTTATTTTATAGAACGTCTTCCTTGACTTGTTATTTTAAGTTGTCTACCTTTTCTAAATCCATCAAGTCCTTCCAGTACACCATGACTTTTCTCATGCTCTGTTCTTTTGTGCCTGTAATTCCCTCACTTCCTCTGTTTTGCTTAATAAAATTGTATATATTCTTCAAAATCCAGCTCACATCTCACTTCCGAGAACCGTTCTCAGAGACGGAGCTAGTTTCCGCATCTCCTGTGCACTCACAGCAGCGTGTCATATCTGCATTAGCATCTGGAGCTCCACTGTTGGGTTCCTCTCTCTGTGTGCTTATCTTCTCCGTTGGACTGCAGATTCCTGGAGGACAGGGACTGAGTCTAAAGGAGCTCAGATCATCAGCAGCTACTGCACTGTTGATGATAAATAAAAGAGGCTCAATAAATGCTTGCTATATGAATGATTTTAACATGGTAGTCTGGTTTCCAATCTCACAGCCCCTGAGAGATAGCAAATTAAAAGAAAGTTTCCTGGTGGAGAGATACTATAGCAGCGAAGACAGACTCCTGACAACTTTACAACAAAAGGCAAAACAGAAAACCTATATACTATATATACAGAAGCCTAGATAGAAGCGCAGCCTGGAGAACAAATTATTACTTTTTTTTTTTTTAAATGGAGTCTTGCTCTGTTGCCCAGGCTGGAGTGAAGTGGCATGATCTCAGCTCATTGCAAGCTCTGCCTTCCAGGTTCAAGCAATTCTCTTACCTCAGCCTCCTGAGTAGCTGGGATTACAGGCATGTGCCACCATGCTCAGCTAATTTTTGTATTTTTAATAGAGACGGGGTTTCACCATGTTGGCCAGGCTGGGCTCGAACTCCTGGCCTCAAGTGATCCACCTGCCTCTGCCTCCCAAAGTTCTAAGATTACATTCGTGAGCCACTGCACCCAGCCCCAAATTATTACTTTTAATCTTGTAAATCCTATAGCATGGTAATCTTTTGTGGCCAAGAAACACTTTATTGAGCAGCTATGAATACCTTTTTGAAATATTGTGTTGAGCGAAAGAAAATTGCTGCATGGCATTTTGCAAAGAAGCTGCGTAGTACAGTTCTTATTTGGAGTCTACTCCCCAGTCTGCCACATGGCAAGTGTAAGTTTCATCTAAATCACTAAAATTCCACCAGAAGTGATTTCCTTTTGTGCAAAATGGAGCCAAGCAAACCTACAACATAGAATTGTTTTCATAATTAGATAAAATAATGTGTGTGAAGGGCATTTAATAAACAAAATCACTTGCAGACATGGTGGGAACTCATATCACAAAATGTATGTTAAAGACAGGATCCAAGCAATTTACAGAAGTATTTAATTTTTCCATTCCCATCTCTTCCTTCCTATGATATTTCCCTTGACAATTCATGAAGTCAGATGATTCTTTGTTTACATAAAATGGCCCAGATCCAGTCGTTCTCTTGAGCTGGCCTGGCTCTTTCTAAAGTAGGTTTGTTACTGAGCCTAAATGGTTGGTAAATGAATTATAAATTCAAAGAAGGAAATCAGATGTTATGAACTGAACACCAGTACCAGAAAGCAGGCCTAGACCTGGTGAATTTAACAGAGGTTTGGATTTTAAAGACTTGTGAAGGAGTGTTTACTACACTGGACTTCTGACATATTTACAGGTAATTGAAAGTTTATATGTGCATTTTTCTTATTTAACATTTTTGTCTTCACACAGTTCTTTAGCTGCTGCCTCACATTGACATCATTGATGACAAAGCCTGTAGTGACACACATTTTGACAAGGAATAGTTAGAAAGCTGTGGTTCAGCAGGAAAGCTGAAGTCAGCTGTATTTCACTTTTCAAATCAGTGAGCTTTGCCTTTAATCCCCTCAGATCCAGGTCACAGGGTTAGCTCTGTGGGACAGTTTTCACTGCAGCTCAGATTATTTTCTTTCTGAAAAGCAACTGTACTATGAGCTGGTATCACTTGTTAATACTTTAGAGGATGTCCTCTTGGAGGGAACATTTTGTGGACTCTGGGGAGCCTCGTTTATAGCCTTGAAGTAGTACTGGGATGGAGAAGAACTTGGAAAGACTAAAAATGAATGGGAGGGGGGTCATAGGCAGCTTTACCTTCATTTGCTTTGCAGTTTTGCCTGGTTGTAGTTCCCAGGGTGCTATCGAAACAAAATTAATATTTGTTTAGTGATAACTAACATAATCCAAATTACAAATGTAATAATTTTTAAGTCCATATGTAGAATAATATTTAATTTGGGGTTAATAGGTAGATTGTTAGCCTGGGCAACATGGTGAGACCCCATCTCTATAAAAAATAGAAAAATTAACTGAGCATGATGGCGTACACCTGTGGTTTCAGCTACTTGGGAGGCTGAGGCAGGGGGATCATTTGAGCTCAGGAGTATGAGGCTGCAGTGAGCTATGTTCATGCCACTGAACTTCAGCCTGGGTGATAGAGAGATACACCATCTCAAAACAAAAGAATAGGCAGATTGTTGTCTTATTTCTCTGATTAAAACAATTTCTTTTGAAAGGCCTGAGCATGTTATGCTGAGTACATCGATATCCTGGCAAGGGGTGTGTGTGTGTGTGTGTGTGCGCGCGCATGTGTGTATAAATGCTATTTGAACAATGGGAATATATAAAATGATTGGACCATTGTACATAAGTAGTTATAGTTTCTATTTAATATTTCATTTTCATCAATTGCATGTATTAAATAATTTACTAGTTTTAGTGTATGAAAGCTAAGAGCTATATTAGTATTTGTCACATTAATGCTTTAAAAAATAAGTAATTGCATAGCATTCATGAAATTTAATGTGCTTTTATCACAGTAACAGTATTTCCTTCTTATAAAATAAAACAAATACAAAATAGCACTATTGATTATTATGTCAGTTCAGAGATGCTCTGAGGTTCAGCCTCCATGATGGAATTAGATAGGCAAGAGATTCATTGGGAGGGAAGTTTGTGAAGGACACAGGGACAAGGGAGAAGGAATAGGTGGGTAGGACTCAGACTGTGATGCCAGTCTGACACTTGTGAATGGAAAGAAGGAAGGAAGGAGGTTGGGCAGGAAGAGACTCAGACTGAATAGAGCTTTGAAAAAATCTTGGTTAGACCAGGGGGTCCTCTACAGCAAAGACTGCCCAGCAGATGAGTCAACCATTGAGCAGGAAAGCCCAGCCCCAACATGTTTAGGCATTGACGAGGAGAGGCTTGGGGATAGGATGCTGCCACAGATCCTGAAGGCATGGCAGCTGGAGGCTGTCAGCTAACTGCTGGATACTCTGAAGATGTCTGGAATCCTTGTCTTGCTAGAAACGGTGAAAAAAATCTTTATGATTTCCTAAATATAACCCTCTTGAGCTCTCTCTATCTTTGCCCACCACCCCCACCCCCTTAAATAGATTTCACATCTAGGATGCAATAGGGCCCCTGTGTCTGCCCCTTTCTGTCTCCAGCAGTGTCGCATTACTATGCAGTCCCCTAAAATGTCTAACTGCAGTCCCGTAAGGCCCTTATTAAATAGGAAAGACAGTGCTTCCTTCAGGAGCTCCAGCTGGATGTGGGCCTCTCAGGTTTGGCTCTCCATTTTTGCCTGCATGCACGGGATGGTCTCAAAGTTTAGCTGCATCTCTTTATTCTTAATGCTCCTCTTTCCCAAGACCTGGACTTCAGCTTACACCTCGCTGTGAGCTTAGCAAGGCAATAAGCTTGTTGTAGTCAGTCCAGTTTCTGTTTAACTTATTGCCTGAGGGATTCTTAGAATATCTAGCATTTCATAGTCCTCGAAGTGGAAGTGCTTACTGTGTCCTTTGAGATGTTTGCAAAGCCTTTATCCTGAAGATGATGCTTTTGTGATTGTCAAATAAAAGGACTTCCAGCTGCCTGGTTCTATCATACTCAATTTGTAATAAGTAACAAATACTGCTTGTTTTTCTCACAACATTTTGTTCCTGGAACACTTATGTAGATCCTTCTTAGTTTCAGAAAAAAAATTTAGGGTTATTTGGATGGATTTAGATTTTTCACATTTGAGATATATGAAATAAAACTCAACCTTTAACAGTTTTTTTTTGTTTTTTTGTTTGTTTGTTTGTTTTTGCGATGGAGTCTTGCCTTGTTGCCCAGGCTGGAGTGCAGCAGCACAGTCTTGGCTCACTGCAACCTCTGCCTCCTGGGTTCAAGAGATTCTCATGCCTCAGCCTCCTTAGTAGCTGGGACTACAGGCACGTGCCACCACACCTGGCTAATTTTTGTATTTTTATTAGAGACGAGGTTTCACCATGTTGGCCAGGCTGGTCTTGAACTCCTGACCCCAGGCGATCCACCCGCCTGGGCCTCCCAAATTGCTGGGATTACAGCCTCAACCTTTAATTTTTAAAGCTTCTTTAGTAGGGTGCTAAATTGACAAGTTAATACATGTTAGGAGAGTATTAGATTGACAAATGAATATTTGTTAGAGGCTTAATGCTACCTTATATTAAAGATGTAAATAAACAAATATATTCTTTCCATTCTGTGTAGAAATTGTGTGGAACTATAGTATCAAGCTGTATGATGAGCTATATATATCAACATGGGCACAAACCCATGATGATAATTGGCATTATGGATTTTGTGTTTATGTTGTGGTGTGTCACAAGCACTAGATGACTGTGTGGCCACTTTGTACATCAGCCCTTTGGGCAATGACAGGAGTGTCTGGAAAGTGGTTGACTGGTATCAACAGAACAAGTCATCCTGTCCTCTTGATATTAAACTCTTTCTCTGCTGAAACCACCCTTTGATGAGCATGCACGTGGGACACAATTATCTTCAAGTATTTTTGCCCATTTAGAGAAGTCTGTCCACATATCTCTTCCCCTGACCTTTTCACCAATTTTCCAATCATGTTCCAAGTTTCTCAACATACGACCAAGTCACTGGCTTCATCCCATTTATCAGTATAGAACTGTACATTTGGCCATTTCTCCTTCCAAGCAAAATAAACAACCAGAAGCAGTATTTGAAGTTCTGCCCTCTGGGAGGATTTCCCTTCGCTGCTGTCCTTCATAGGTGTTCCTGAAATGGGCTATAGTGCTGCAGCCGTCCACTTTCAGATGGTGCCTGCATGTCATGTGGAAGCATCTGTGAACAGGCCCAAGTTTTCTCCCATAAGGTTGTAGTTGTGGACAGAGGGAGAGGAGATAACATAGCAGGAGTCAGGTCCATGGGGATTTGGGCCACTTCCTCATGTAACTTACTTGTACCTTCAGTGCCACTTTGAGCCTATATATATTAATAACACTTCCATTTGATAGTGGATTACTGTTATGCACACCCAACTTTATATCTTGGAAGGTCATTAACATCCTGTTCATGATGAGCGTAGTAAGTGTCCAATTTCTATTAAGGCCCAGTAGCAAGCCAAAGGCTATTTCTCAAAAGGGAGAGTAGTTGTCTGCAGAGAATGGCAGGGCTTTGCTCTAAAATCCTAAGGGCTTGTGCTGTGATTCACCTAGCTGGGCCTGCCAAAGGCTCCAGACAGTATCCCTGTCTGCCTCTGGCACTTCAAGCCATTGTATCTGCCAGATCCTTTGGCCCAAGAATCAGAGCAGCCAGCATAGCATCCTGGACTTGTTACAGAACCTTATTCTGTTCAGGACCCACTGAAAACTAGCAGCTTTTGGGTCACTCAGTGAATGGACTGGAGTAGCACACTCAAATGGGAAATATGTTGCCTCCAAAATCCAAAGAGGATCACCAGGCATATACCTCTTTCCTGGCTGTAGGAGGGACCAGATGCAACAAATTATCTTTCACCTTAGAAGGGATATCTCAACGTGCCCCACACCACTGGACCCCTAGACATTTCACTGAGGTGGAAGCCGCCTAAATTTTTTTTTCTTTCTTTTTTTTTCTGAGATGGGAGTTTCACTCTTGTTGCCCAGGCTGGAGTGCAATGGCTCACTGTAACCTCTGCCTTCCGCGTTCAAGTGATTCTACTGCCTCAGCCTCCCAAGTAGCTGGGATTACAGGCATGTGCCACTATGCCTGGCTAATTTTTGTATTTTTAGTAGAGATGGGGTTTCACCATGTTGGTTAGGCTGGTCTCGAACTCCTGACCTCAGGTAATCCACCCATCTTGGCCTCCCAAAGTGCTGGGATTACAGGCATGAACCACCCTGCCCGGCTGGCTCCTAAATTTTTGATGGATGCATTTCTCACCTTCTGGCCAAAAAATTCTTACTAGTAAGTCTAGGATAGTTGCTTGAACCAGGAACATTCTCTGTAGTATCCAGCACTGAGTAAGTGCAGAATAAGTATTCTTATTTTTAGCGATTGGTAAAGAAAGTGTGATGTGAGCATGTCTTTTGGAAGATGCACAGTCCAAGCAAGAATTCCAGTCCACCTGAAACTCCCTCCAGTACTTAACAGCATTCAAGTACCGTTCAAGTCAAATCTCATTAAAGTCCCTCGTCCCCTTTCTATTCTTTGGCACTTATAACTTTGGGAGACTGCAGCCCTCCTAGCCAAGAAGTGTTTTCCTTCATCTATGTTATCCTCCCTTTCCCACTGTCGCCTTTCTCTTTGGATTCTCAGCAACCTCTGTGCTGTTTCCCCAGGGTAACCTTCTCCCAGGGGTCGGCTCCTTCTGCATGTTCAGCCCATGAGGAGTATAGTTCTTTAACTGTTTTCCTCTTGAAGATCCACTTGCATGGAATTTCCCATTTTCTGTACTCAAAGCCACAAGGGACAGGGTAAGGCTAAGCTGGTAACTTTCTCTTGTTTGTGGAAAGGTGAGAGTGGAAGGAGGAAAGGATGTGATGCTCACGTTAAGATTTTTTGTGTAGTTACAAAAGCTATGAAGACACTGATAAAATTATGACGTTGATTATCACAAACGTGAAGGCAAACAAATGATGCCCTAAGGGAAATTTTTAGCAATGCCATTTGTCTAATAAGTTAAACATCTGAAAATTGCATTATTATTTTAACAATATAAAACTCCTTATTTATACACATTTTCAGCTTTTACTTGTGAATTAAAATTTTGAGAGAAAATAAAGATTGGCTGGGCGTGGTGGCTCATGCCTGTAATCCCAGCACTTTGGGAGGCCGAGGCAAGAGTATTGCTCGAGCCCAGGAGTTCGAGACCAGCCTAGGCAACATAATGAAACCTCATCTCTACAAAAAAATTACAAAAATTAGCCAAGTGTGGTGGCACGCACCTGTAGTCCCAGCTACTAGGGAGGCTGAGGTGGGAGGGTCCCTTGAGCCTGGGAAGTGGAGATTGCAGTGAGCCATGATTGTGCCATTGCACTCCAGCCTGAGCGACAGGAACACTGTCTAAAAAAAAAAAAGATTAATTAAAAAACTTATTTACTCATTTTTTTTACTTCTTTATTACCTGTGGAATGGAGATATGGGGAAAAATCAAGATTAATTGAAAATATCATAATTCAATTAAAACATGAATGGTAATATTTAAATAACAGTTGTATCAATGACAGCATTTTTTTTTTCAATTTTGGGGATATTTAAGTGACAAATTTTATCATGTATATAATTATAAAACCTCATCTTCTTCTCCAGCCAGGGTGCGAAGGGGCAGAAAGGCAGAGGCACAATTTCTACCATTTCTAAAATCTACCTTTTATTTTTGGTGCTATTTCCTCAATATAGGTGTGTTTGTGGGAGTGTGTCAGGCATGAGTACAGTGATGAGTACATGTAAACATGTTTCTTCCCTGAGGAGTTTACAGTCCAGTGAGGAGGCACGCATTAACCATACAATCACACAGATGGAAGTTGCATTTAAATATCAGTAAGTGCTACAAAGAATGGCATATGGCAATGTGTGAGCCTATATTGGGGGATGGAGAGGACAGGCATGTCCTGCCTGAGGAAATATTGTTCATGGAGCTGAAGTATGAAGGGTGAGTAGAAATTCATTCGGCAAACAAACTGGAAAGATTGGCTCAGCCAGAGGAAACAGAGACAGCTTCTGTGAAAACCACAAAGAAGTGCTCATATGGCTGGAGTAGAGAGCAGGGGGCCGTGTTAAGGATTTTGTCTTTATAGTAAAAAGTCATCAAAGTGTTTTAAGCATGGGGGTCACAAGAAGCTCACTTGGATGGAGGTCAGGGGCATGAGTGAAGCCAGGGAGATATGTTAGCAGGCTCTTGCTTTAGTTGAGATGACAAATAGTGGTAGCTGGGATATGGGTGGTGGCAGGAGTGATGGAGAGGAGTGCACAGATTTGAGAAATCCTTACAAGGATAAGCGGGTAAGTGGGTTGCTAAGGGGTTGGATATTGAGAGTGGTGTAAAAGAACTCTTGGGTTACTTGCTTCTGTAAAGGGGAAAAGATCATACATCCAGCTTTCATATTGAGGACACTTGAGGCATCTGAGATATAGAGTTCTGGTCTTGAGACATAAAATAGTGAGCAAAAGATACATTCATAGATATAAAATGAAGTCATAGGCCTGCATCAGATTACCTAGGGAGAGAGGAGCGCCCACATGTCATAGCCAGGAATGGGAGGGCAAGCTCATAGGGCAGAGTGCAAAGGAGCACCTGAGATGTGGAGGAAACCAGAAGAGCCATGGAAGAGGGAATGCGGAAGCAGGGAGGGAAAGCAGCCTCAGAGGCTGAGGACAAGGCAAGGAACTGAGTGCAGTAATTTTCAGTTGAATTTAATGGGATGAGTTGTGAGGGTTGAAACAGGACTGAGGTAGTTTGAAGAGGGAATAGGAGGTGAGGAAAGGAAGTCAACAAGGAATTAGGCAGCTCTTTGAAGAATTTTGTCTTCTGCATGGAGAGAAACGTAGGATTGAGGGAGTGTGTTTAAGGGATATGTTTTATGATCAAAAGGTGTCTGCCACATTCAGGTTGCTTGGAAAAGGTATCCTTCCCTGTTTACAATTTTCTTATTCATCTATTTCAGTTACATAAAAATTATCTAAAAAGGTAGTGTGCCTTCCACATCACTGACCATCATATAATAGTTTTAACTTCTCAGTAAAGACAGCACCACATCAGGACTGCAGTTGAATATTGTTATTAAAGCCCTCTTGAGAATACCTCATGGTATAAAGTTTCCAGGTGATTTTTCCTCAAGCTCCATCTTGTTAAGAGCAAAAAATAGTTTGAAATTCAGTATGGAGAATCCAAATCCATTTGAAAGTGATTTTTCAAAATATCAAAAACCCTAAAGATATATATTTTTAATAATTTTTAATTGAAATTTGTATTGAGATAATTGTAGATGTGCATATAGTTGGGAGGAATAATGAATACAGAGACATCCACATACTATTTATTTGGCTTACCTCAGCAGCAACATAGAGGCAAAACTATGGTATAATATTACAACCAGGATACAGACATTGATATAAACCACTTATTTAGATTTCCCTAGTTTTTAAGTTTTTATTCATTTATTTATTTTTTAGACAGTTTTCCTCTGTTGCCCAGGCTGGAGCACAGTGGCACAATCTCAGCTCACTGCATCCCCTGCCTCCCAGGTTCAAGCAATTCTCCTGCCTCAGCCTCCCAAGTAGCTGGGATTACAGGAGTGCACCACCATGTCCGGCTAGTTTTTGTATTTTTAGTAGAGATGGGGTTTCGCCGTGTTGTTCAGGCTGGTCTCGAACTCCTGACCTTAAGTAATCTGCCCGCCTCGGCCTCCCAAAATGCTGGGATTACAGGCATAAGCCACTGTGCATGGCCCAGATTTCCCTAGTTTTACTTGCATTTATTATGTGTGTGTGTGTGTGTGCGTGTGTATGAGTGTGCCTGTGTGTAGTTCTATACACCTTCCTCACAGGTGAAGTGTGTCCACTACCTCAGTCAAAAGTAATTTGATGAGAAAACAAGCTAACACTCTAAGTTTGCATAGTTGATAGTAAATTGTACTTGAATAGGTCGAAGAGCAACTCTAACTAATTTATTTGCCTCCTTTTTTTTTCTAGCCAGTAACTTGCTTTATTCTTGAAATCTGATAATTTCCAAATGTCAGGAGAGGCAGCATTGTAGGTCCCATCATGTAATGTCATTTGGAGGAGTGCTGAGCATGGACTCCAGCCAGATCGCCTGCACTCAGGTTCCAGCTCAATCCCTTACTCTCTGTATATGATCTCAGGCAGGTCATAAACACTCTCTGACTCAGTTTCCTCATCTGTAAAATGCAGATGATAATAGGACCCACCTCCTGAAGTTGTTCTGAGGATTAAATAGTATACTGTGTAACTGAGAACTGCCTCATTATTTTTACAGTTAATTCTTTCAAGACTATAATCTGTCTGTCAGTGAAAATTCCAGAAACAGACTCTAGGCTTTACCTTCTTCACTCTATGTAAAGCAAGACTTTCTCTTGACAGCGGGTCTGTGATAACTTTAGTGTATATTTAACTTTTGGTACAAATCGAAATATGGTGCTCTACATTTGACTCTCAAGGATGTATTGATTCATGAAATTCCATTTCAGAGCCATGATAAAAGCCTTAAAGGCAACCTCTTTAACCTTCAGATTTCTAATGTAAACTATTATGGATTAGACTTTTAAGTCTTATCTATTTCCTGAGAAATCTTATTGATTTATTAAGAGCTGACGCCACATATCTAACATAGGAGAGTTAGACTCATTATTGGAAAAGGAGAAGGTGAAGAGTTCTTTCTGACAGGAAAATGTAGATGAAATTATTTTAAAAAGTTCTCCAAGGAATATTCTCATCTTCTATAAATTCAGTAATGAAACTCTTTTTCTGATTGTACCCTGAGAGATTTTGAAGTCATTTTTCAGGGGTAGACAAATGCATTCTTATAATGAGGATTCTATCATCAGTTTTTGTTCTACTCGAGGGATGTTGGTGGCTCGACCAGAAGGGCAGGTGGCCTATACTTTCTTTCTTTCGTTTTTTTTTTTTTTTTTGACAGTGTCTTGCTCTATCACTCAGGCTGGAGCTCAGTGGCCTGATCACAGCTCACTGCAGCCTAGAACTCCTAGGCTCAAGTAATCCTCCCACTTCAGCCTCCCTAGTATCTGGGACCACAGGTACACAACACCACAGCCAGCTAATTATTTTCTATTTTTTGTAGAGACAGGGTCACACTATGTTGCCCACGCTAGTCTTGAACTCCTGGGCTCAAGTGATCCCCTCACCTTGGCCTCCCAAAGCACTGGGATCAAGTGTGAACCACCATGCCCGGCCTGGCCTATGCTTTCGTTGTAAGGGGAGGTGCACTTAGAACAACCAACTATTTGAGGCTTTTCTAGGAGGTGCTTGGAGGAGCAAGAAGAACGAATTATACGTTAAGAACAAAACAAAACAGTTTCCTTCGGTTACTTGCATAAGTGACCTGGGAAATTGCCTCCTTTGTTAAATGCCCTGAAGAAATTGATTTCCTGTTCAATAAGGTTAGTTTTCTCAGAGCATGAAGACAAGATTGATTTATGAATTAATTCATTCAGGAAATATTTATTTATGGAGGCTTTACTAGGTTCCAGACTCGATTCTAAGCCCTAAAGATAACACTGTGGGCCAATATCTCTGCCTTAAGGGAGCCAGTCTAGTGGGAGAGAAAGATAATGAAGAAGTAACAACTCATGGTGCATAGTGACAAATGTATGAGTAGAATTAAAGCAGGGTGAGGAGACGGAGTGACAGCCATTGCTCTTTCAGATAAGGTGGTCAGGAAGGCCTGTCTAAAGAGGTAACCATTGGTCCAAGACCTGAGTGTGGTGAGGTGCCAGCTGCCATGCCCAACTGTGTGGGACCAGTCGTCTAGGTAGAAAAGACAGCAAGTAAAGCGCAAACACTCTGAGGTGGTAGCCTGCTGGCTGGGTTTGCAGAACTCCAGGAGGGCACTGTGGCTGGAGCTAAATGAGGAATGAACGGGGCGCGTGGAAGAGATGTGGAGAGATGGTCAGGGGCCAGCCAATATGAGGCCTGCCTTGTAGGCCACAGCAACAACTTTGCATCTTATCCTGAGTGTGGAGGAAAGTGAGTGAAGGCTTTTGAAACCAGCAAAGTGACATGATCTGATTTATCCTTTGAGAAGATCACCTGGAGCTGTGTGGTGGGATGGTGTTGTGAGGGTGGTGCTGGGGGTGATACAGCATGATTCCAAGCAGGGAGAGCCGTGAAGAGGCTGTTGCAGTAATGCAGGTGCAAGGTGGTGCTGGCTCAGCCCAGGGTGGTAGAAGTGGAGGTGGAAGTGGGGAGAAGAAATCAGATTCAGGATATGTTCTCATTGTGGAGAAGACAAGATTGGCTGATGAACTGGATGAGGGCAATGCCAGACAGACTGTCTGTGTGAATTTTGGCCTGAGTAATAGGGTGAATGAAAATGCAGGCACCTGGGGGAAGAGGTTTAGGGGAAGAAGTTTGGAGTTGATTTGGGGGTATGTTAATTTTGAGATACCTAAAAAATATCCAAGTGAGATAACAGCTAGGCATACATTGTTGGATATATACATCTGAATATATATCAGAATTGGATATACAATTCTGAAATTCAGAAGAGGTTTGAGTTGGAGATATGAATTTGAGGGTCATCAGCTAGCAGATGGTATCAAAACCATTAGTTTGGGCCCCACCACCAGTGCGTTGAATGTAAATAGGAAAGAGGCCCATGGGCTGGGCCATGCAGAAGTCCATCCCAAAACAGAAGGAGGAAGCAAGGAGGCTGAGAAAAAGCAGCTGGGCAGGGAGGAGAGGAATCAGGAGAACACTGGATCCTGGAAGCAAAGAGAATGAAATGTTTTCAAGAATCAGCAAGTGATCAATTCTGTCAAATGAAAGCTGGATACAAATGAGGGCTAAGAATGGGCCACAAGCAGTGAGCAGCTCATTGGTGATCTTGACAAGCAGTTTTAATGGAGTGGAATATAAAGAGAAGAAGACACTCCTCACTTTCCATGATTCATTTGGATAGCAGAATGGGGAGGGTGGTGTAGCTGGAGAACTGTGTGGTCTCAGTGGAGATTTTTTGAGAACTAACAGCATGTTGTATACTGAAAGAATGATCCTGAGAAAGGGAACAATTGATGATGCCTATGATATGTAATAATTGCAGGTGCAGAGTCCTGGAGTAGGTGAGATGGGATGGGGCCCAGAGCCCTAGTGGAGAGGGTACAATTAATCCATTTCTATGGGAAAGGTGTAGTCTGTGGGTATGTTTGCAGTGGGGATGGTAGTTTGTGGGTGGGAAAATATGGAAGTTCTCTTCTGGTTACCTTTTGTGTTCTCAGGGAAATAAGAGAAACAGGATTGACAGTCATCTCAGAGTGCAGGTGGTAGAGGGAATAGAGCCTTTTGAAGAGAGAGCATTCCACAATGTGTATGTGAGAATGAAAATGTCCACTCAGGAGAGAAATTTATTTTACCACAGCCTTGAGTGGTAATTTATTTTATTTTCCAGGTAGCTTCGATTGTCACTTGAGGTTGTGTTAGTAAGTTTTAAGGGAGATGAGCCAGTGTAACTGTTTTTTTGTTTAGCCGTATTGGTCTAGAGAAATATCTAATAGGTGAAGAGTTGGGTTTAACTAACTTAGGAGCGATGGAAGTAAGGGTTTGGGCATGGGGGTGACTTTAACAGTGGACCATGGAATTTAAATAATATAAGAAGGAAGTGAGGGCATGAGGCGGTGGTGGTTGTTGGAGGTGGTTGGAGTGGATACTGGAGTGAGTAGGCTGGACAGAGGGGAGGAGGTGGTCAAAGAAAGGGAAAGTTGAGTTTGGGGTGTTTGTAGATGGTGCAGTTATTGGCATTCATGATGACAGGGCATGAGCAGAGGGGTGTGTGTCTGAGGAGGACTGGGAGACAGGAGTTTTTTGCATGAGGAGGGCATGGACCTTGGCACCAGGGTTCTGGATGAGTTATCTATGCAGATAAGAAAACTAGTGACCAAGAGAAAGACAGGGAACCATAGCAAAATCTTCTAACAATAAGTGGGGAATCCTCAGGAATACAGTAGATAATTATAAGGAGAGGTAGCTTGTGTCTCTGATGACATGTGCCTTAAAGGGATTATGGATTCCAAGAAGGAGGAAAGAGAAATAGCTTGGAAGCAGCAAAGAGGATATACACCTCTCTTCCAGCCCACTGGCAGTAGGGATGTGGGGGAAAAATAACAGCTGCTACACAAGAAGGTGTCAACGTAAGCAATGTCCTGGTGTGTGTGTGTGTGTGTGTGGGGGGGGGGGGGTGTCCACTTTTCAGTGACAGCAAAAAAGTGAAGAGAATATTCAGAGAAGAGGGTGAGAACATAGGGGATTTTCCTGAGGTCATAGACCTGGATTATTCAAGGTACAGTCAAGGGGTTTGGGGGACTCAGGAAGGGCATGTTTGAGTCAGTTACAGGATATACAGAGCCATGTAGGGTAAGAGAGTCTAGGGATTGAGACTCTACATTTTTATGGGAATTGAGGTCAACAAGGTGGAGGAATGATAGTAAGGTCTGCCCTGAAAGTCACGTAGGGGAGACAGATGATCAGAAGATTGTAGCCTCCTTGGGATGACTCATTTAGGCAGTAAAATGGGGCACCATGAGTTAGGAAGGATAAGTGGTGGTCTGACTGGGAGCAAGTTGAATTCTGTGTACCTGCCCACTAAATTTTGTCACCAGCGGTAACAAGGCTGAAAGGTCACCCAGATGACGATGATATAATGATGTTTGGAGTAGGGGATGAGTATGGTATATTTGATGAGGTTATGAAGGAGACTTTGGTTTAGTGGTAAACAAAATTTACCCATTGACTTACCCAATGGTTATTGAAGATAGAGGCAAAACAAAGCTCAGTTCTTCCCAGTGATATCACTCACCAGAATATTACCTGGATGCAATCGACTGTGGCCCCGGTTTATGTCTTTTTCCCTCCTCAAACCTTTCAACCACAAGAGCTTATTGGTCATATGTGTACATTTATGTTTATTAATAAATAGCTGTTTTTATAAAACAAGAAGTGCTTTATAAACACTGAGACTTTCAAGTTAAAAAAAAAGCCTAATAAATGGTGACGTAGCTCATTCAGTACAAATTTAATAGTTTTAAACTATATTAAATTGAGTTTTGCTAACTGATAAATGTTGTGTTATAGTTTTTTTTTTTAATTCAGGGAAAGAATGTTCTGGTACAAGAGGAGTTTTCACAATGAAAATAGGAAAAAACTTTTCTGAAAAACTTTTATTTATGTTATCCTATTTGCCAGCAATCATCACTGCAAATACAAAGAGCTTTACCAATTTTCAGTTTACTTTTATTTTATGACAAATATTTTGCATACTGTGTGCTTTTAAAAAATAGACTTTACATGTATTTGATTTAAGAAGGTTGGGGAAAAAGAACATTATTTACTGTGTTTAATTAATTCATGAACTGTGTAATCCCTTTGCTTCCCAAAATGCTGATTCAGAATGTTATCTTTTTTGCTCTCAAAGACTCAACAGGTTGCTACAGTTGATGCAGAAATCTTTTGAACATACTGTATTATCATATTGAAGATATTTTGGCTACAGTTTTAAAATATGACCAAACCAATTTCCATTTAGCTTTTAAGTCAATGAGGCTTTCCGTTCTATTTTAGTACATGATTCCAGCAAAGACTTTGCATCCTTTCTTTTAACAACAATCTAATATCAAAGGACTGTCAGTGCTGTGACTCTGCTTTATTTTTGCCCATGCCAGCAAAAGTTTGAGTCATTTTTCTAAAATGCTGGCAAAGTTCAAAGAGACGTCATAGTAACTCTCAACTTACTGGTGAGATATATGTGTATGCCTTTTGCACATTATAACTCCAGGCATCCTGTATTTTCTCTAATGACATATGGAGTAATAAACATGTGAAAGACATTATTTGGTGAAACTGAAAGAGTCTGAGTTATGTGGCAAGGAGTGTAGGGTTCAATTGTGATTTTTTTAAATGCCTCTCTTTATATCTTCTTTAATACTGTGTTCTTTGGTCTTACAACTTCTTAGCCTGTAGGGATAAGAAGGGTACAACATAACATTTTTTCTGTGTAAGAAACACAATGGCTTATGATTTTGATGTCTCATTAAAATAGAATACAGATATACTCATCTTTCTTAGAATTTCATTTTGGTCTATGAATTGTTAGCAGGGGCAAAACTTGGTTTGGGGAAATAAAAAAAAATTATGACAATGGTTTTTGGCCCTCCAAAGGGTCATGGTACATGAATAGCTATACATGTATATTATAGTCTGTAATATTAAAATTTCATGCGGGCAATTAGGAAAAAATGCCCAAAAAAGGCTCTTTTGAGGGACAATAATTTCAAAACAAGGTTGAGAATCGCTGATAGAAGAATAGAAGATCAGCACCACAATAAAATGTGAGCCACCAGCACAGTGGGACTATAGACAGATTTTGAACATAAATTCCAATTGTGCATTGCAAGTACAGTTTCATTTGTTTGCTAACCATCAATCGTACACTTTTTTAGTACATCAGCCTCTTTATAACTCATGCTAGGCCGTGTATGCCAGGGTTCTAAGGCAGGGCACTGGCTCCATCAGCTTCGTCTCACTCTAGTCCTTTCCTCCAGGAGCTGTCTTTTGAGGGAAATGAGATAAGGAAAGTGAAGCACTTGGCACGGAGCATTCTGTGAGTACAAGTGTAGACAGATGTGGGATCACAGAGGAAGAATAGTTAACTTTGCCAGAAGGTGGTTAGGAAAGAATTCAATAAATAGATGACTTTGGACCAAGGAGTTTGCAAAATTGAATGGGAAAACAACCACATCTTTATTATCAATTAACCACATCTAAAATTTACTGTTTCCTTTAATTACAATGTGGCAAACCTCAGTAGTATTAGCAGGACCTGGATTTTGTCAACAGTAGAAATACTAGCTATTTTCGTAGAGCATTATGGTTGTTGCAGATATCTTGAAATATTGTTTGTGGTCATAACTACTTTGAAATTATAATAGTTACTAGATACACCTCTGGATTTTGTTACTTAACATTTTGTTAATAAAGCACATATTTTGTAAAGCTCAGATTTAACTATATAAAATGAAAAAATTCTGTTGACAAGGG
This sequence comes from Homo sapiens, assembly GCF_000001405.40. NCBI lineage: Eukaryota > Metazoa > Chordata > Mammalia > Primates > Hominidae > Homo > Homo sapiens. The sequence goes on along the minus strand of NC_000004.12, from coordinate 154,439,675 downwards.
ACAGCACAAAGTTAAAAAGAAAATGACAGTATGGAATGCATATATAACAGACAAGAAATCCATATTCATAATAAAATAGAGCTCCTTGAGCAGATTCATGGGATTAAGGAGAAAATTCATAGCTTATCAAAGAGGAGCTAGGAAAAGACAGACTGTAGGAGAAAATATTGATATAGCCAATGCAAATATAAATATCTTCCTCAGTTCTTCAGTGTAATATTAACTAAAAAACAAGTATTTCATAACATTTTGGCAAATTGCCAAAAATTAAGAGTGAAAATGTAAAATATAAACGGTATGGGAAAATGGACTTTTTCAGAATGTTGGCACAGGTGGTAAATCCTTCTTTCAGGGCAATTTGATAGTAGCTTTCAATTTCTTAAAATGCTCATATGTTGACCCAGAACTCCCATCTTTATAAATCTCACCTACAAAAATACTGGCATAAATATGTATATAAATCTATGTATATGTATGTTTGGTGAAGTAGTGCTTTCAGTGTGAAAAGCCTCTGGTGACTTAAATGTCCATTAGTAGGGAAATGTATTAAATGTATTGTCAAATTCTTATAATAGCATAATATGCAACTACAGGTATAGCCATATCTATGCACCTGGAAACTTTTCTAAGACAACACTTCTGTATGAAAAGTCATAAAGAAAATACATAGTACAATCTTGTTTATGCAAAACATAACAAAGCCACAAACTCAACAATAGTTAAGGGGCATGGAAAATTGTCTTGATGGACATGAGCCCAACTCTTTATAGATGTCCCCTTTGGTGGGAAGAGTGAGGGTTTGTAGGATTAATGACCAGAGTGTTTGGTTTTACTCTTCTGTAATGTTTTGTAATGACTTTGTATTCATGTATTGCTGCATAATTAAGTAAAAGGAAAAAAATTTAAAAATGATTACATCTGCTATAACAACAGAAATATAGACAACTTAGGAATAAAGCGACTAGGAAATGTGCAGGACTTTTGGAAAGAGAACTATTAAATTTTATGGAGGTACATAAAAGAAGACCTGAATAAATGGAGAGTTGTAACATGTTCGTGAATTGAATGATTCAATATAAGTTTACCGATGTTAGCGCAAATCTAGTCAAAACCCATGGGAAATTAAACTTGGCAAGATTATCCTAAAGTTCTGCAAGAACAAAAAATGTAGGTGAGAATAACCAAGAAAATCTTGAAAAAGAATTGTAAGAGTATGCCTGTACAACCAGATATTAAAGCTACCCTAAAATTAAAGTAATGAAAATAGCGAACTGTTGGCTCATGATTAGACAAGAAGATCCACTTAACAGAATGGAAAGCCAGAAATTAGTGGCCTGGCCTCTACAGTCTCTTGGGCATCGCTTGCCATTGTCCTACTAGAGATTCACATTTAGCCTTCCAAGCTCTTTATTATCACTCAAAATGGGCCAGACTCAGCCCTGTCTCCTTTGCACTTTTCACCATACCTTGTGCCATTTCAGTGTTTGGTATTAGGTAGGGCAGGCAGAGGATGACCATTTGATTAGGTTTACCTGGCAAGATGATTTTAGGGGCAAATGTCTTGTTACTCTAACCTCCTTAAGGAGGGTGACTGACAGTGAGGAAGTATACAGGGGGACTGAGAGGAGTAATTTCATTTATTTATTTTTATTTTATTAACTTTTTTTTAGGAGACAGGTTCTCACTATGTTGCCCAGGCTGGTCTCGAACTCCTGGGCTCAAGTGGTCCTCCTGCCTTGGCCTTCCGAAGTGTTGGGATTACAGGCATGAGCCATCATGCCCAGTTAGGGGGTAATTTTAGAAATAATACTCAAATCTCTACTGTATAACTGTTTAGCCTCTAAGAAAAAAGAATTTTTGGAATAGTGTGTTTCTATGTAGGAGACTAAAGAATACTTTTTCAGTTTTCCTTATATATAATGATTTAAAAACATATTATTTTAGAGAAAAGTTGAAAGAGGTACTGTAAGTCAGTCAAGGAAGAACAAAGTAAGCCAGATTCAACGAATATGTTACTCAAAATCAAAGTTTATTTGCAGGAATGGAAAAAATGTCAGGGGCCATAGCACAAATTGGTTGTATAGATTCTAAAAGATTTCCCCTCCAAAGAAACCTATAAAATACATATAGTATTTATATTGCTTGATTAAAAACATAAACCCAATAAGCAAAGGTCTTTGTTTTGTTGAATTACCTGATTTTGGAGTAATCTAGGGAGTTCTCTCTACCCAAAGAAAGCCTAGATTGGGCTTGTTTTGTTTTAGGCTTTCAGTAGTCGCTGCCTTCCCTTCCCTGTCACTGAATTTATGTTTCCCATCCTTTTTTCATCATGAGAGTGGTTAGTGGTAGGAGTGAGATGGCCAAGTTTTGGACGTTTATTGATGGAAGCAGTGGTTCTCATTTTATTGTGCAAAGGAGTCACTTGGAGGTGTCTCCTTAAAGTACAGATTCTGATTTAATAGTTCAGGAGTGGGACCTGAGATTCTGCATTTTTAATAAGCTCCTGGGTGAACTGTCTAAGGCTGGTCTAGGGCTCACACTTTGAGTAGCAAGGGGCTAAACTGAAAAGGAGCCAAGGAGGCCTAACTTGAATGCAGGAACTAAATCAGCACTGTCCGGAAGAAATGTAGTGTGAGCCACCGATGTGAGCCAGATACATGATTTAAAATTTTCCAGTACCCACACCAAAAGAAGGAAGAGGAAACAGATGAAATTAATTGTAATACTATATGTTATTTAAAGAATATATCCCAAATCTTATTATTTCAACATGTAATCGATGGAAGACATTATTGAGATATTTTACATACTTTGTTTTCAAATTAAGTTTTGAAATCCCCTGTGTATTTTATACTTACAATATACCTCCATGTGCATTGTAATACAGCCACATTTCAAGCACTTAGTAACCAAGTGTGGCTACTAGCTACCATATTGAACCATAAAACAGTAAAAGAATCCTTTCTGATTTATACAAATTTTAGCCCAAATAAAAATCTGGACATGCTGGTTCCTACTTCATGTATACGAGCCAAATACATGTTTACAGTATATGTTTATTGTATATGTATATATCACATCACATACTCCAAAATAAATTTCTGGATAAAGGATTTTTAAATAAACCATACAGTAATGTGGTTGAAATATAGGTGACACATTTTCTGATATTGAGAGTATCACGAGGTATTTTTTAACATGAAAACACAGGGAAAAGCAGTAATAAAAGAAAATAATAGCTTTTCATGCAGTCAAATCTAACATTTAATTAATCAGAAACACTGCATCCCAAATTAGAAATCAAGCAATCATGATGGAAAAAAGTACTTACAACATATAGTATAGATAATAAGCTATAAAGAGCTACTTAATATTTTTAAGAAAAATGGGCAGTGTAAGTGATATAATAATTTGTTGAAAGACACACAAAGGACCAATACAATTTTAAAAATTCAGCCTTATTATTGATAAAAACATTAAAACTAGGAGTGAGATTTATCAATTGAGCATTACTGTGGGAAAAATAACATGAAGGTAGAGGGCAGGTTAGTTCAGTCTTTGGGGAACCCCCTGACAGGATTTCCCTACAGAGAGCAGTAAAGAAGGTTATGCTTTGACCCAGCATTGTTTCTACTTTGGGGAATTTAGCAAAAGAAGCAGAGAGGTTTACAAAGTTTGTGAATAAGGATGTTTATCACGATGTTATATATGATTATATTGTATGCCTTCAACACTTAGCTATCCTACTTTCCACTCTGCCTTGACCTTCACTTTTTGCTGTCACTGAGCCTATTTCAGGTTTCTCATCAAGCTCAGACTCAAATAATACTGGCACTAACAACAAGATAAATTTTTGCAGCTTGCATTTAACATTTGTGTAACAAGTCCTCTATAAAACCTTCAGATGCTAATCTAGTTTATTGGTTTTAATTTTTGGTAGCTGGTAGGTACAATTTGGATTATTTTGTTAGGAGGTAAATGAGAGGATATAAAATCTGTACCCTTTTTTTATTGGCCAGAGGTATTCATTATTTCTAAAGTAATATTAGTCTTACAATTTCTGTAATTTTTTTTTTTTTTGAGATGGAGTCTCACTCTGTTGCCCAGGCTGGAGTGCAGTGGTGCAATCTGGGCTCACTGCAAGCTCTGCCTCCCGGGTTCACACCATTCTCCTGCCTCAGCCTCCCGAGTAGCTGGGACTACAGGCACCCACCACCATACCCAGCTAATTTTTTTGCATTTTAGTAGAGTTGGGGTTTCACCGTGTAACACAGGATGGTCTCGATCTCCTGACCTCGTGATCTGCCTGCCTCGGCCTCCCAAAGTGCTGGGATTACAGGCATGAGCCACCGCGCCCAGCCATAATTTCTGTAATTTTTAAATGTTATCTGGCATAGTAACTGTGATGACTGAGAATTTGCTGATCAATCTTAAAAAGTTAGCTTTGTTTTTGCTTCTAATAAGTTTTATAATTTTTTTAGAATTGTTTTAGATTTACAGAAGAATTGCAAGGATAGTACAGATTCTCTGTGTACCCCTCATCTAGTTTTCCCTATTGTTAACCTCGTATATTTCCATGGTGCATTTGTCAAAACAAAGAAACAAACCTTGGTGCATTACTATGGATTGAACTCCATTCTTAATATCCCTAGTTTTCCCTCTTGTCCTTTCTCCATTGCGAGATCCCATTCAGGACACCACGTTACCTTTATGCAGCATGTCTCCCTGGGTTCCTCTGGTCTGTGACAGTTTCCCAGACTTTCCTTGGTTTTGATGACTTTGGTAGTTTTGATGATTACTCATCAGGTATTTTGTAAAATGTCCCTTAATTTGGGGTTTGTCCTACATTTTTCTCAGGATTTGACTGGGCTGATAAATTATGGGGAAAGAAGACCACAGAGGTAAAATACCATTTTCATCACATCATATCAGAAGTACATGCTATCAACATGGCTTATCACTGATAATGTTAACTCACTTTTTAACCTTACAATTTTTATTGGGAAGCACATTATCTTCATAAGAGTACACAGAATACATATAGGTACAGGTTAGTTATAATAAAAAAAACACTCATGTACCCTTTACCCAGCTTAAGAAACCAACACCTTGGAAATTTTCTGTATTCCACCTTTATAGCTATAAGCTATAATTCTAAATTTTGTATTAATCTTTCTCATCAAATTTACTACTTCAATATGTATAATTTAAACAATATATTGTATTATTTTTGCCAGTGACTTATTTTTTTTCTGAGACAGGGTCTCACTCTCTCACCCAAACTATAGTGCTGTGGCACAATCACACCTCACTGCAATATCCACCTCCCAGGCTCAAGCGATCCTCCCACCTCAGCCCCGCAAGGAGCTGGGGCTATAGGTGCACACCTCCATGCTTGGCTATATTTTTAAAATTTTCTGTAGTGACAGGGTCTTACTCTATTGTCCAGGTTGGTCTCAAGCAATCATCTCCCCTCAGCCTCCCAAAGTATTGGGATTACAGGCATGAGCCATCATGCCCAGCCCATTATTTGCCAGTTTTTGAATTTCATGTAAACATATAATTTTGTATGTATTCTCTGTAACTTGATTTATTTTGCTCAGTTTTACTTCATGACGTTTATCCATGTCTATGACTGATATTTGGATTGACTATCTTCATCTATCATCATATGCACTTTCTCTTTGTCAAGATTTTTGTGTTTCTTTTTTCCTTTTTTCTTTTGCTTTCTGCATTGGTCAAGGTTCTGGCATGAAACTGATGAACTCTGAAACTGGGTAATTTGGCAATTTGTAGATTGTTGTTTAGTGACTATATATGAAGGCATGGACAAAGTGTAGGAAAACCACAAGAGATAGAAGGTGGCCTGGAGCCAGTGAGAGCAGCGAGGCCACTGCAGGAGCCTAGTGAGAGGAGTGCGTTAGTTGCCTAGGGCTATGCAACAAATTATCACAAACTGAGTGGCTTAAAACAACGGGTACTGGCCTGGCGCAGTGATTCATGCCTGTAATCCCAGCACTTTGGGAGGCTGAGGCAGGCAGATCAAGAGGTCAAGAGATCATAGACCATCCTGGCCAACATGGTGAAACCTCATCTCTACTAAAAATACATAAATTAGCCGGGCATGGTGGCGCACGCCTGTAGGCCCAGCTACTTGGGAGGCTGAGTCAGAAGAATCACTTGAACACGGGAAGCAGAGGTTGCAGTGAGCGGAGATCACGCCACTGCACTCCAGCCTAGCGACAGAGCAAGACTCTGTCTCAAAAAAAAAAAAAAAAAAGGAAAAAAAAAAAACTAGTTATTTGTTTTCTCACAGTTTTGGAGATGAGAAGTCCGAAATGAATGTACTTGGCAGGGCCATGGTCCCTCTGAAGGCTCCAAGGTTGAGCTCTTCCTCATTTCCTCCAAGCTTCTGGGGACTCTCAGTAATCCTTCCTCCCTCCTTGGCTTGTGGCTGCATCATTCCAAACTGCCTCCATTGTCACATGGCCTGTTTCCTCTCTGGTTCTGTAACTGAAGTCCCTTTTCTTCTCTTTTTATAAATAAAAATTCAGTCATTGGGTTTAGGGTCCGCCTAATCCAATATGTCCTCTTCTTAACCCTATTATATCTGCAAAGAGCCTATTTTCAAATAAAGTTTCACTCACAGGTACCGGAGTTTATGATTTGAACACATCTTTTTGCAGGACATGATTCAACCCACTGAGGAAGGTAGCAGTTACTGGAACCAGGTGTATATATATAGAGAGAGAGATCTGTAGACCCTTCCCTCTAGAAGCTGAAGGCCCTGTAAAATGGAGCTAGGGAGTAGACACCCTGCTTTCCCTCCCTTTCTTCTCTCTGCTTTCTTATCCTTTCTCCTATTGGATGGCTGAGCTCACTCCAGAAGCAAAGGAACCTCAGTCTGTGGTCCATGCAAGATTAGGCTTGAAGGGCACAGATCCTAGTGGAGAAGGGTTAGGACTGGATCTGGGGCACAGCTGTTGGATTGATTGAGATTTTCTGTCTTTTTCTCATCTTTTTTTTTTTCATTCTATTACTCCATTATCCTGAAAATTTTATTATTTGTGCCTATTCTTTTAGTGTTCACCTGGCCTATTTTAACATGCGTATTTAACTTAAAGTCTAAAACAAATTAGGACCTTTACTCTCTTACTGAACAATGTAAGACCTTTAACTCCTATTATTTCCTCCCAACTTATATGTCATCATGGTTTATTTGAAATAGTTGTTATTACAACACAACTTTTGCCTGATAAAGAAAATGAGGCACTGAAAGTTATGTGGCTTGTTTTAAGACAACCAGCACACCACTGAGTTTTTATTTTAATTTTTTAAAATTAAATTGACAAATCATAGTTGTAGATAAGCTGAGAGTCTTTAGCATTATTGCATGCCTGACTCTAGGAATATAAAGATAAGATATAATCCATGTTGCAGCCTCCAGGAGAATATGTAAAAAGATGGACTATTCAAGTTGCTCTTTAGACAAAATAGCTAACATCATCTTTTTAAAATGATTTGTTTTATGATCTCTTAGAACTTCATGCTAATTATTTTGCACACAGTATTTGTTCAAAACATTTCCCATAGTCGAGAGATAGTAAGGGTGGTTGTATTAACTTCTGACAAAGTGGCACAGGTGGTTTATACCTTGATGCATTCCCTTCTTTATAAACAAATAACAATGGCAGGTAAATATTAAAATATGAAACAAAAATATGTATCCAGGCTTCAAATGAACACCTTCCTCTCTGTGGAATACAAATAGGACAGAAATTTTTTAAATGTTCATTGGAACCAAAGCCTTAGGCTTATTGGGCATTCGGCTTGGGATGGTCTGAAAGCAGAAAGTGATGGCTAAGAATTCAGCTTCTGTATGTAAAGAAGGCTGAAGGCCCATGGAGTCTGGGAACTTAGAGCCAGGTGACCAAAAACTGATTCAGGCCATCTGTGGGCTTTGAGGCTAGAATCATGATATCCCTATGTCCTCATGGGACAAGAATCCTGAAACGCCATTACAAGTCCTGGAAGAGATTTAACTGGGACTGATGTTATTATCTGCATAGAGAATTCCGAGAAAATATATCAACTAATTATAAGATGATTTTTACAATATATAAGATTAACATAAAAACTCAGGAGTATTCCTATATACAATAATATAAGGAATAAGAAAATATAAAAGAAGATGACTAGGAATATATCTAACAAAAGATGTGTGATATATCTAACAATATATATATAAGTATCTAAAAAAGAGAAAAGTATATGTTAGTGCTGAATGATACTGGTATGTTGAACCAGTACTACCGCTTATGATATAAGTTTTATGTTTTCTTTATGAAATAAGTTTTATGATTTCTTTAAGTCATACACACTGCCTTGTTTCAGTAAACAGGATCCCCACCCTCCTGTAATTGTCCAAACTTAGAAAATTTAGTGTTAAATCTCCCCCCGCCTGCATCCAAGCTGAGGTCTGTTCACTCTAGTTTTCAATATTGTAAAGATGCTAATGCTGCCCTAAACTGATCTTTAGATGCAATGCAATCCCAAGAAAAATCTCAGCAGATTTTTTTGGGTAGAATTTGACAAGCTGATTCTAAAATACACATAAACATGTAGACAGCTAAGAATAATTGAGATGTTTGAAAGAAGGACAAGGTGAGGAGACTTGAGCTACCAGATAAGAAGGCTAATAATAAAAGCATAGCAATTAAGATAGGGCATTGCTGGTGTGGGAATAGACAGATCAATCAATGGAACAGAAGAGAGCCCAGAAGCACTTGCACGTGTGGACACTTGATTTATTTCAGAAGTGGCTCTGCAGGGCCACAGGGTAGGATGGTCTTTTGTAAAAAATGGTGCTGGAACAACTGGGAATTTAGAGTGAAAAGATGAAATTGAATCCCCAAAAGCAATGTACTAGATGATCCTGAAATTGAATTCCTATAAGTAATTGTTTTAGATAAGTGGGGGATGGATACATTTTGAAGAAGATTGATAGATGCTACACCACACAACTCATGCTTAGAATTTAAAAGATACATAATTCAGACTTTTGCTGTGAGAACAGGTCCAAGAATTCTACAGCATTGTCTGCTCTACGGAAGAGACTCCTTTTGGAGTTAACTCTTCATCCAGGGGAATTATTTCCCACGTTCCCCAGGGAGGATCCTGTGGGGTCATATTTTAATTTTATCCTGCCTTGGGTCTCCATATGCCTGACTAGAATCCCTAGGGCACATGGAAACAGACTCATGTTCCTGGGGAGTGCTTTTGGATTTTTGATGCTGCCCAGGCTTGAAATGAATGCCTTTTTCTAGTTTTCTCTTTTGATCTTAGCCTGTCAGAAGTTCTCAGTTGGACTCTGAAAACTTTTCATGGCTGTAGGGTATGGCCTAATATTTCAGTGGCATAAATATGGCTGGTTGAAAAAAGAGCATTTTATGAACTGACATGACAACAGGTTTTAGACTCACATTTGTGTCATCTGCAAGCATGCTATGCCATTCTTTTCTACTTATGGAATATTTCACATGTATGCCTCTTGCCTCTTCACTTAGGTCCCAAAGTGCTAAGGACAGAGATCATGGCTTATTTAGGAGACACCTACATTACTCTTGTCATCCCACTATCATAATCACCCCCAACATTCATGGTTACTAGGTGTCAAGCCCTGTGGTAAGCCCTTTATATTATCTCATTTATTCGTACACCACCATGACATGGGTTAATGTTATGACCCATATTTTGCAGATGTGGAAACTGAGGCACAGTGTGTGAGTGGCTTGCATACGATTACACAGCTAGTAAGGAGGAGAGCTAGGGGAAAAGCCCAGCAGGGATTTATTCCAGAGTCGTGGCTACTCACTACTGGATGATGCTTGTTATACACAGGAGACATTGATGACAGAAGAGAAGTTTTGAAATTTTGAAATTATATGACAATGGAAACAGACCATATCTAATAGAAAAAAAAAAACTTATGGGAAGGATATTGGGTAACTTTAAAAAATTGATCTAAAATCTAGAAAATGAGAATAAGGGTTTGGGCAGAAACTGGGAGAGCTGGGTCAGATGGCCAAGATGGTCTAAGAAATGTGCTGCCGCTGGGTGCTGCTGCTGAGGCTGAGTTCTACGCTGCCTCCTTTTCCATGTGTCCTTTCCTCACAAATCTAAGTTTTTGTGTGGAAACATTTTGTTTGGTTAAGCCTAGGACACCTGTCTGCAGTCTATCTGCCAAGAATGAGGAGAGGGAGTATCTGGCCTCCTCTGGCTTTTGAAGTGAGAAGTAGGACTTGGCGTCCCATCAAAACACATGCACTGAGGATGTCCCCCACAAAAGGAAGGAAAGAGGGGGAGTAGGTGTCAAGCAGCCAAAAAAATGATGAACAGTCATTTCGGCTCTCCAATTTGCTGTCATGTGTTCATCCCGAAGCACCAGTTCTGTCTACCAAAAGTGGCCCAATAGGCACTCACATTCTATGCCAGCAAATAGGAGAGCTGTATGCATAAGCCAGATTAGAGACATTAAACGATATCCCCTCATAGTTGCATAGGACATAACTGACCCAGTTTATAAACCATCGCCAGGTTGTACTCTTGCTTTTGAAGATTTCTTTGTGTGTTTATAACCATTATCAAATATTCTGCTAAAACCCTGAACTTAATTTCATTCATCTCCTTTTTTTTTTAAACTTACCCCTTCTTTTGATTCTCTATCAGTAGCTTTGCCTTTTTACCCACTTTCCTTTTTTTTCTTTGAGATGGAGTCTCGCTCTGTCACCCAGGGCCCAGGCTGAAGTGCAGTGGTGCGATCTCAGCTCTCTGCAACCTCCACCTCCTGGGTTCAAGTGATTCTCCTGCCTCAGCCTCTTGAGTAGCTGGGATTACAGGCACGTGCCACCATGCCTGGCTATTTTTTTTGTATTTTTAGTAGAGACGGTGTTTCACCATGTTGGTCAGGCTGGTCTTGAACTACTGACCTCAAATGATCCACCCGCCTTGCCCTTCCAAAGTGCTAGGATTACAGTATCCACTTTCCTTTTTTTCATTTTCATTGGCCTCAACAACCACATATTTACCAAACCTCAGCAGTTATGTTTTGTTTCTTTGTTCTTGTTTTTGTTTTTATTAGACAGGGTCTCACTTTGTTACCCAAGCTGGAGTGCAGTGGTACGATCATAGCTCACTGCAGCCTCGAACTCCTAGACTGAAGCAATCCTCCTGCCTCTGCCTCCTGAGTAGATGAAATCACAGGCACATACCACCACGCCTGGCTAATTTTTATTTTTGTAGAGATGGGGGGTCTCACTGTGTTACCCAAGCTGGTCTTGAACTCTTGGCCTCAAACAATCCTCCCGCCTCAACTTCCAAAGTTCTGGGATTATAAGCATGAGCCATTCTGCCTGGCCAGTGTTTTTTCGCACCTAGAATTGGCCCTGTCTTTTTATTTTCACCCTTGTTATTTTTTTGTATGACTTGCTTTATATCTACTAGATTTCATATCTCCAATGTGTCTCTCTTCCAGTCTGCCTTTCCTTTTTCTACCAAATTAAGTTACTCTGAAGCTCAGCTCCAGTTCTATGACTCTCTTGCTCTTCACTATTCAATGGCTGTAGCCTCCTGAGTTTGAGTTCAAAGAACCACATGGCATGGCTCCAGACCGCATCTCCAGACTGCCTTCATATGCACTTCTCTCCAGCTGAACTGTGAATGAATAATCTATACCTTGTTTGCTCTCAATGTATAGAGCAGTTGATTTTGTTGATTGTTTCTACTATTTATTTCAATCACAACATTCCTATGTGACAAAGTTTTATATTTTCCGTTTTACAGATAGAGAGAGAGGTAGTTAACATTATGGGCTTTTCCCCAGGTCTCTCTGACGGGAGGTGGTAGAAGGAGTCTTCAGACCCACTCTTTCTAGCTCAGAGCCTTTGCTCTCATCAGGACACTATCACCTCTGTCTGTTGGCATTTTCATTTCACTCTGTCTTGGATCCCCTTTCCTTTTACTTCAATAAGACTAAATTTTCCCATCTTTCAAGACATAACTCAGATGCTACCTCTGTTAAAAGAAAAACTTTGGACAAATTAAATTTAACAGAGTTAATTGAGCAAAGAATGATTCGCAAATTGGGCAGCCCTCAGAACCAGAATAGGTTCAGGGTGGCTCTGGGGTTGCTGCGTGGTCGGGCAATAGTCATGGATGGAAAAAGGAAAGTGACATACGGAAAAGAGAAGTGTGGTACAGAACAGCTCTTCTCTTAGAGCTGTTAGATTGGTCAGAGCTCGGCGTTTGCCTTGTTTTAACACAGTTTGAACATTTCACCTGTGAGTGGCTGAAACTCTGTGGTGGTACAAGAGCAAGTTAGTCTATTTATACACCAGTTAGATTACAGTTCACTGTGTACAGAGAAACCTTAAAGCTGAACTTAAAATATGTAAGGAGGCAGCTTTAGGCTAGACTTAATTTATCACTTCTCAGTGAAACATGCTATTTTTCTTTAATTGACACATAATAATTGTATGTATTTATGGGGTACTTATGATGTTTCCATACATGTATACAGTGTGTAATGATCAAATCACAGTGTTTAGCCTATCCATCACCTCAAACATTTATCAAGTGAAACATTCATGAATCACTGTGGCTCTGAGAAATCTCTACCTCTTCTGATTTTGTATGGCATTTAAAAAAATTTAAATGTAAAAATTTTGTGGGTGTATATATTTATGGGGCACATGAGATAGTTGGATACAGTCATACAATGTATAATAATCACATCAGGGTAAATGGGGAATCCATCATCTCAAGCATTTATCCTTTCTTTGTGTTATAAACAATCCAATTATACTCTTTTAGTTATTTTATTTTATTTTTAAGTTTATTTTTATTTTGTAGAGACAAAGTCTCACTATGTTGCCCAGGCTGGTCTCAAACTCCTGAGCTCAAGGAATCCTCCCTCCTCAGCCTCCCAAGGTGTTGGGATTACAGGCATGAGCCATCGCACCTGACCAGTTATTTTAAAATGTACAATAAGTTATTGTTGACTATAGTCACCCAGTTGTGCTGTCAAATACTCAATCTTATTCTATCTAGTTATATATTTGTACTGATTACATGGCATTTTTCTCCCCTTTGTGGACCTGCACTTTGTATTACAATTCTTCATATATAACCTTATGCGGAGACCTGTGTAGCTTCCTGCTTATTCCCTTATGTTACCTAGATCATCATGATGAATGGAATGCCTCCCAATCTAAAGACTGCAAAGTGAGAAAACAGGTGACTTTAAAGAATCTATGGTACTATTACTGTCACCAACTGATGGCAACTTTTCTCTGTTAGGTATTCACTACAGCCTTACACTGTCTGCCACTAAAAACTAATTGAAGAAGACATGAGATATATCAGTGTATTTTTAGATGCGATAAAATGAACTAGAATTTTTTGTCACCTGTTAGTCACTCAAGGACTTTGGTGGCAATAGGCCAGTAGAAGCGGGGTCTGGGGTGGGGGTTGGCAGTGAGGGAACAGTGTTGAAGCCCCTGGAAGAGTCTGGCTTGTAGTTCTGGTTTAGACAGGCTGCACATTAATCCTGAGAAAAAAACAGAGGCCAAGAGGGCAATCAAGGAAGGAAACAAAAAATAGGGCAGGGGAGGGCGATCAAAGAAAGGCCCAGGGATCCATGTAGCCTGGGCTCCAAAGCATCCAAATCTAAAGGTGCAGGCAGGATAATGGAATGCTTTAACAGTAAAATTGAGTGTGATACTGAATTCTTCCTCATTTTTTTGCCCAGGGCCAGAACAGCTCTCAGACTGTGGGTGGGCCAAGCAAAGATGCAATTAGCCACACTTGGCTGGGGCCAGGGGTCTGTGGTGTGCACACTGAGAAGCTGATGACAGTATTACTTTTAAAAAGCTCTGTTTAAAAATTGGTTATGGTTCATTTAAGCATTGTGGCTTTGCGAGTTCCCTCGGAGCTGTGTGTTTTGCCTTAGTTAAGTGGAGCCTGATGAACCAGAAATGCACTTTCTATTATATAATGTAGAGATCGGGTGGAATGGAAATTCAGTTCCTGCTAAGTGTTAAAGGCTGAGATCTCCAAATGAGCTAACTACCATGTCAGTTTCACAGCTCTGGTTTCAATGATCAAGGGCACCTGCTAATTGGCATTTGGCTTCTAAATAGGGCAGTGAGTTTGTACTTTTTCTAGATGTTTTTCAGCAACATTTGGAAATGCAAGTGACCTCGGTAGATTAAATTATCCTATCTGGAAGAAATGCACTCAGCTCAGAAATTTTACTTAGCTTAGAAGTTTTAAATATAGAGAAGAGTCCTCCACACGCTACTTGAGGGACTGGGTATAACCACAAGGGCTCTAAGCGTTTGCACAACGCAGGCATGGTACAGAGCTACCTGTTCTTCGGATGGGGCTGGAGCCTTGAAAAGAAGTTCATCCTTTCATTCAGCTGTGACTTTGGGATGACTTCCATTGTCAATCTCTGTACTGAAGGGGTAGACCCCTCTAGATCCTGTTGCACAGCCATGGTGAATAACTGCTGTCACCTGTTATTTGGCCGTGATCCCTCAGCCCAGCGATCCTGTTTATCTGCTGCTGTCAAGGTGTGCTTATCAGGAATCTGCTTTCTGCAGTGCAGTCTTCTCTCTTGCTTGGAAAAGATGTTAATTAAAAAAGAAATAGAGCTGCCAGAAGTGAATTATTGTGTTCATGGTTATCTTTGACTCTGTACCTGTTGCAGATGTCATTATCATGGGAAGGGTCTCTGTAGCTGGAGACTTCCAGCTGCCATTACCTTGTGATAGAGGAGTGCACAGAATTTTCAGATAACACAATCCTGAATCTTAAATAGGAGGGCTTGAATGAAGATAATCTTTCTGTTTTCTGCCAAACATCTGATTTGAAGTAAAGGCTTACTTGAACACTTAGACCTAGCTAATTTACTGAGACCCTATAAGGTTTCTGACAAGTTGCAGTTTTTAGAACCTCCAGTGTCAGTGTTCATTTACTTCTTCACAGTGTGCCTTTGTGCTGTTTATTCTAAAATCCAAGAGATTCTGGTTTGATGTAGTAATTCAATTTAATGTCTGCCTGATTCATGTTCTCAAAAGAGATCTCATTTTAGTTGTTTGGATCTGTAGCTTGCTTTCATCTTCATTTTCTGGTTCTTGCACAGTTTTTCCTATCCACTGTAAAGTTTCATTTTTGCACATCCTAATTGTCTCATTTTCTTTTGCTCCTTCTAATCACTGCATAAAGACAAGGGAAGCTTTTTATTTCTTTTTTAGAGAGTACACACATTTGCTTGGAATGTTAAGATGTTCTTTTCTGGCTTCCTTTTTACTGTCCTTTACTTTCAGCTTAGTAACGTATTGTACTTATATCCCTGAATTACAGTAGTTTAGGATCTGATTTACTTTTTCTTTTTCTTGAATTCTTTGATTTTCAAAGCTCCTTGCTTTTACTTGATGTTTCAGCCCTATTTTTTTGTTGTTTGTGCACATAAGTCAGACCAAGGATGCAGCAATGAAACCTTGTTATGTCTGGAAGCAATTTATACATTTACTAAGTACTAATTCATCAAGCATTTGTTAAGCTCCTACCATGTATATTGTAAGTACAATAATTTATCAAAAATGATTTGAAGATATTTCTAAAATGCCAGCAGGCTTGAAGAAGATAAACCACGATATTTTAAGACCCTCCTGCTGAAAGTTTGGTCCCTGGACCAGCAGTATTGGCGTTACCCAGGAGATTGTTAGAAATGTAGAATCTCAGGCTCCATCCCAGATTTAGGGAATCAGAAGCTGCACTTTACCAAGATCCCCAAGTGGTTTATATGCATTTTAATGCATGCATATAAGTATGTATAAGTATATGCATTTTAACATATGCATATAAGAAAAGCGTACAGAGTTGTATAACATAAATTTGAGGGTATATTCCTAGATTTTAATTATTCTCTAATTATTGCTACAATGTACCAATATAGAATGCAGAATGAGTTTTATTATTTCAGTGATGAAAAGAAGCTCAGCTGGATTCTTAGCCTTCAAAATTGGAGTGATGTATTGCATAGGCTTTGAGCCAAGTTCACTTTTTTGATTTGTTAGTAGTTCAACAAATCATTTTTGATCACCTCTCTGTGTGATATGGGAAGCAATGAGACATGGTTTCTGGTTTTGTAGGACTTACATTTTAGCAGGAGAGACAACCAATTATTCAACTATGAAAAATAATTTGGGGGTCATAAAAAGGAATGAAGTGCTGACACGTACTACAAAATGGATAAACATTGAAAACATTATGTTCTAGGAAAGAAACTGGTCACAAAGGACCACATATCACATGACTCCTTTCATGGGAAAAGTCCAGGATACAGAAATCTATAGAGGCAGAAATTGGTCAAATGTTAGCATTGGGCTAGGCCAGTGGACTGGAGGGCCAGGCAGTGATAGCTAAAGGCTACAGAGTTTCTTTTCAAGGTGATGAAAACTTCTAAAATTTACATACCTACTAAATACCATTGAAGTGTACAGTTTAAATGGGTGGAGTTTATGGTATGAGTTATATTTTAAATCAATACAATAAATATATTTTATGGTATGTGAGTTATATTTCACATATCATAAAATTTTAACAGTTATAACACTGTTAAAATTATTTTGGACAGAGCTATGGAGGAGGAGTCTTGGGTGCTCTGAGTGTGTACAATGGAGACTTCACGCCTGGACAGGCAGGTTTCTTTGACTGTGTGTCCCTTCAGCTAAGCTTTGGTGAATGCGTGGGAATTGCCTGGACAAGCGTAGTGGGGCCACAGAGAATTCCAGGCAGAAAGGGTGGCATTGCTTGGGGCCTATGGCAGGAAGCACATAGAACATCTGAAGACCTGACAGGCTAGTGGAATGGAGCATGGGGCTGAGGGAGGAGAGCATCATGAGCAAGCCTGGTGAGGCAGCAAGGCCAGGTCACATAGAAGACTTTGATTTTTATGCTAAAACAACAGAAGATTACTAAACAGCTTCAATCATGAATGGGTATATATATGTTTTCTAGATCACTCTTGTTTTGGGTGGAGTATGGATTGGATGGGGACCAAGAATGGAAACTGGGAGACCTTTGGAGATTAATGTAATAGCCCAGGGTTCTGATAGAGAAGGAGAATAGTGGATGTTTCAGGATATATTTTGAATGTAGAGGCAATAGAACTTGCTGATGGAGTGGGTTACTGGGTAAAGAAAAGGGTGACTCAAGGGTGACTCTTAGGTTTCTGACCAGTATGTCTTGATGAGTTCATATTGAGTTTGAGGGAGCTGTGGTCACTCAAGTGAAGATGCTGAAGAGTTGTATTTAGAGTACTACAGCTCAGATGAATGTGCTGGACAGGTGATAAAATCCAAAAGCTGGCATCGTATGGGCTTGAGATCATGGGCAGAGGTGAAATAGCTTAAGCAGAGAGTATAACCTAAGAAGAGATTGAAGACCCCACCTTGGAGGGACTCTAACACTTAGGGTTGACTAGAAGAGGGTGCATCAGCCTAGGAGACTGAAAAAGGATATTTAGAGAAGTAGGAAGAAAATCAAGAGTATTATTCAATGAAATTAGGCGAAGAAACTTTCCAACATGAAGTAAAGAGTGGCAACCTTTACTGAATGATGCTGAGAGATTAAATAAAAAGAGGATAGAAAATGTTTATTGGATGTAGCAACTTTGGCTATTCGTGATTTTAGCAATAATTACTTCAATGGAGTGATGGGATTTCAAACCAGATTGCAGCAGATTAAAGAGGAAGTGAGAAGTGAGAAAATAGAAAGAGAGCATATGAAAACCATTTTGAAATGTTCAGCTGCAACAGGATGGAGAGAGAAAAGGCTGTGGCTAGAAGGGAAAATGGGTGCAAGGTAGTGTTTTTATTTTTTAAAGCAGACGAAAGCGTGTTTAAACACAGATGAGTTCGGGCGTGGTGGCTTACGCCTGTAATCCCAGCACTTTGGGAGGCCAAGGTGGTGGATTTTTTGAGGTCAGGAGTTCGAGACCAGCCTGGCCAACATAGAGAAACCCTGTCTCTACTAAAAATACAAAAATTAGCCAGACATGGTGGCTGGCACCTGTAATCCCAGCTACTCAGGAGGCTGAGGCAGGAGAATCGCTTAAACCACGGAGGCAGAGGTTGCAGTGAGCCGGGATCATGCCATTGCACTCCAGCCTGGGTGACAGAGTGAGACTTTTCTCAAATAAATAAATTAAATTAAATTAAATTAAATTAAATTAACACAGATGAGAAGGGTCTAATAAAGAGAGGAAACTTTCAGACTGCAAAGGAGTGATTCTTTAATAAAGTATTTCGATGCTTAATGAAGTATTTTATATTATAAATATTTCCTGACCTTTTACTTTTTGTTAGGCAATATGCTACAACTAGGATTATATCAATGAAAACCAGTTTCTGCTCTCAGGATACTTTCTATAAGTCCTCTATGTAGCTAAAGTTCCATAAAGCTGCATTTTGAGTCTTCTTCACTATGCTTCCCCAGTATCTAGATAATACCTATCATAGCATCTATGTCAACAAAAATTGCTGAATTGTGTTATTCAAATCACTGTCAGTGAGTGTGACTTCTGAGCCTTTTTTTTCCAATGATGGTAGTGTATATATTATATGCAGTAGTAGTAATTACCAGGTTACAAGTAGGCACTAGTAATTTGGTAATTACTAGTTTAGTTAGTATGCACCATCCACTCATGCCAAAAGAGTATCTTCCCTGCATAGCTACCAGTCCTCTACAATTGTCCTACTATGAGGGTGTGATGGTTAATTTTAGGTGTCAGCTTGACTGGGTTAAGGGATACCCAGGTATCTGGAAAAACATTACTTCTGGGTATGGCTGTGAGAGTGTTTCTGAAAGAGATTGCATTTGAATCAGTGGACCGAGTAAGGAAGATCTGCCCTCATCCAATGTGAGTGGGCACTATCCCATCAGTTGAGGGCCCAGATAGAGCAAAAAAGCAGAAGAAAGGTGAATTCACTGACTCTCCTGGGGCTGGGACTATCTTCTCCTGCCTGTAGACATCAGAACTCCAGGTTTTCCAGTCTTTAGACTCTGGGACTTGTACTAGTGTCCTGCCCCAAATCTCAGGCCTTTGGCTTTGGACTGAGAGTTACATCATTGTCTTCTCTGGTTCTCAGGGTTTTGGACACGTACTGAGGTATGCCATTCTCTTCCTTGGTTTTCCAGCTTGCAGATAGCACATTGTGGAACTTCTTGGCTTCTATAACTGTGTGAGCCAATTCCCGTGATAAATTCTCTCACATCCATCTATGTATGTATGTATGTACGTACGTATCTATCTATCTATCTATCTATCTATCTATCTATCTATCTATCTATCTATCTATCTGTCTGTCTGTCTCCCATCGGTTCTGTTTCTCTGGAGAACTCTGACTCCTTTTTTTTCTCACTTCTTCTCTCCATCTGGTCTCCCCAGCCCATCAAATCTACCTCTAAATATATGTCAAGTCTGCCCTGTTCAGTCAGCCCCCATGGCTGTTATTTTAAGCCTTGACTATTTCTACCTGTGTTAAACTAACAATCTCCTAACTTATCTAATTTACCTTCTTAGAAACCATTCTGTACTGCTACCAAAAAGGATGTTCTTAAATGCAAACTGGATGTCACTCCAGCTTGAAGGACTCCAGGATATACTCTGATTTTTCATCATCTCCTCCCTGCCTATATATGTCCACTTCCCCCTACACACCACAGTCCCTCATGCCCCAATCCTTGTCCACTCATACGTTCTTCTCTGGCTTTTTTTTTTTTTTTGGTCTTGTTCTAGTTCAAACATTTAGTTCTAGCATCACCCTGCTTTCTGTCCTGGAAACCTTCTTCACCATCTTCATATGGACTTAGATGACTCCTTTCCTCTATATTCCTTTAGTGTCCTGCACATCCTTCGTAATGGCATCCAGCTTTTTTTTTTTTTTTTTTTTTTTTGAGATGGAGTTTCGTTTCTTTTGCCCAGGCTGGAATGCAATGGTGTGATCTCGGCTCACTGCAACCTCCGCCTTCCAGGTTCAACGATTCTCCTGCCTCAGCCTCCCAAGTAGCTGGGATTACAGGTGCCCACCACCACACCCGGCTAACTTTTGTATTTTTAGTAGAGATGGGGTTTCACCACATTGGCCAGGCTGGTCTTGAACTCCTGACCTCAGGTGATCCACCCGCCTCAGCCTCACAAAGTAGCATTTTTAAAATATAATTGCTGCATCTCATTTTTCACACAATGTAAAAGTTGCTTGAGTTCCTCATAAATTTTGAATGAGTAGTTTGATATCCAAGCAGGTGAAAAACCTGCTTATAATAACCTACGTAAGTCCAGAACCTTACTCTATTTTCTGTATAAACACACAAAATAATTTTTGTGCTGACTTTATATACTTTGAATTACCCAAGAATACAACTACTAAGTAAACTGAGGTAAGATGAAACTTTATTTGTAACTTTACCATTTTGCAAAATGCGTCACTGATGGCAGCATTGCCTATTAAATTGAGTCACCTACTCAGGAGGCCTATTTTTGTAGCTATTACATTCATGCTGATTGCATGTGTGTTTGCATGTGCACCCACATGCACACATACACATGCATATAGGCTTGTTTTTTCTTTTAAAATGTCAAATATGAAGCATTCATTCATGTTCAGCATTCATGCTGTTTTTCTATGCATACAGCTTTATTTAGTCCTTATTTCAAATTGTAAAATATGTACAAAAGCTTATGGAATGGTGTCTTCTCATAACTCCAAACTTACTCATTAAAAATATGTGCAAATATCTATCTCATTGTGTTTCCTATTGTAGTCATACCTACATAATTACATATTGAAATACATGATATTTTACTATGAATCACTTTTATTTTCCCTTTATATTATAGCTAGGACATTATATCGATGTCATAAAAAATTTATATCAGGGTAGAAAAGGAGATATTACAAAATGCTTAACTAAAAAGAGTGCATGGATCTAAAAGGGGAGAACAACTGGCATTTTGTGTCAATTTTGCAATAGCAAAATTTTGTTACATTGGCTCTTCTGAAATAAATGTTTTTAATAAATACTTTACAAATTCCTTTGATATGTTCTTTTATGTTTTAGCTGCAGTGGTGTGATAATCATCCTTTCTAAATGGTGGAAGAGGAAAAGGGAGTCTTAGTGAGTGGATTAAAGGCACTCTCAGCTGGCGACACCTTGCAAGGGGCTTCTGCCATTTGAAAAGTAGTGTCCTGTTTTTAATCAGGTAGTGAGCTGGGCACTGAGACACCTGGCGTTAGTGCTGATACAGCGGGGCCATGTGCCTAACTCTGGGCACATTCATGGGTTTTCTGAGCCTCGGGTTCTACATATGTAATATGAAAGAAATACATGCAATTATTTGCTGGTTTTCACATTTATTCTGATAACTATATCCCTAGAAGAATACCATGACCTACAGGTGCATTTAAAATTATTGTATTAACTAGAAATAATTGTACGACAGAAATTTGACCATATAATATAAATGTTACAAAAATAAGAATATTTGTTCAGAAAAAGGCAACCTTCCAAACTAAGAATGGGTAGGTCATTTTTCCTACTAATATCATTTAAGGATTGTTCACTTTTTCTGACATCCACTGGTGTTTGCTGGCAAATAAGCAAAGATGAAATGGTTAGAAAAAATATTGGGAAAAAAAGCTTAACATTGAGAAATTTTAATTAACTTAGTTTGTTCTCTGAAAGTTGAGAAAATACCATATTCTGGTAGTAGAATATAGAAAGAGAATTGAAAGCCTAGTTGATTTTTAAGATAGTTTCTGCTATTAGAAGGATTTTATGTTTTGTTTTCCAGGTCTTCCTAAGACAACACTGATTCTCACAGAACCAGGACACTTTTTTCCCCCTGGCCATGTTAGGATTGTTCAGTTTAGCAAAGAAAAAGGGTGCTCAGTGAAATCTGAATTTCAGATAAACAATGAATAGTTTTTTGTTTTGTTTTTAGTATAATCATGTCCCAAATAGTGCATAAAACAATTTGATTTCTGAAACAGCTCAGATTAACCAGTCCACTACTAATGTTTGTAGGTTTTTCTCGTGTGAGGTCAAAAAATATCGTGAGATCCCTCCCTTGAAGCAGCTTATTGGGGCCACAGTTGCTCTGAGGGAGTTAATTAAAACAACTGTTGAGTAATAACAAAGTGCTTTGGCTTAAATGGAAATAGTTCTTGAATTTGGCCAAGGAAGTCTGGTAAGGCTACTAATCCTGAACATTAAACTGTCAAAAATGTGCTCACAGTGCACTTGGGAGTCTGCACTGTAAACGGGAAGAATGACTCCCAGTTCCCCTGACTGGTCTCTCTCTCTCTCTCTCTCTCTCTCTCTCTCTCTCTCTCTCTCTCTCACACACACACACACACACACACACACACACACACACACACACACACTCGGGACCGGCCTGAGGTGGTGACAGGTGGTTTTTGTGTGGTTTTAGCCATGTGATTCGCGTTTGTGTGGCTTCTCACAGAGGGCGACCCCGCCGCGATCCTGTGGTTGTAGTTGCAGCTCCTAGTAAAATAGTGCCGCTTGGCGTCCGTGATCCCTGCAGCTGGGAGAGGGTAATGGGAGGACGGGAGTGACGGGGACAGACAGAGGCCGGGGGTGACAGGAAAGGAGCGATTTCGTGTTAGTTTTGGCCTCGGAGTGTAAAAACATCTGGGAAATAAAATGAGCCACGCTGACTGGAAATGTGAACGTTCGCCAAGATTATGTGAGGAAGGTGCAGCGAGGAGCTGGAGCAGACACTTTCCTGCCTGGCGCCGCCAGCTCGGAGATTTAAACAAGCAGCACCGGGGAAACCGTGCTGTTACACAGGGGGAAACTAGCTTATTTATAAGTGTTTTTATTCAGTTTGATTTTCCCCAGTTCCTCTTCTGTGGTACCAAGTTGGTTGCTTAGGAAAGTGGGTGGAGTTACCGTGTGATCTGAGGGGCTCAGAAATCAAAGTCTCAAGTCTTGAGATGTCAGAAATGTCCGGCTAGAGCCTAGGACAAGGTGTTTGGAGGATCAGATGGCACAAAAGAGGAAACAATAGGAGCAGGACTCAGGGAGCCTGAAGATTTAATAACAGAAGGAAGACGTATTCCTCGTCGGGTGGGGAATAACACCAGAGGCCTGAAGGAAAAGAAAAAGAAAAGATGTTGGATAAACACAGCCTCCCTGCGCTGTCAGCTGCTAATGATCCTGGGATGCGAGGTGGGGGCGCTGTGAGGTCAACTGCGTCCCTCTGGCAGGAAATAGAAGACGGGGCTGATGCAGCTGTGCTCCTCTGTTTCTGGTGTGGACCCTCCTTCCAGGCTGTCCTCGGGGCCTATCCTGTCCCCCGTCTCTGGGCTCTCTTCCTGTGGGATCTCCCCAACTTTCAGACAGCTGATCATGACCATTTGACTTAGCGCCCTCTTCCTACCCCTTCTCTTGTGCTCATCTCAGTTCTACTGCATCAGCCTTCAAACTTTTTGGACTGAATGTACCTATTAATAAAAGTTTTGAGTACTCATCTCCAGTATATGTTTATTTCCTTATAAACCACGTGCAAGAATTTTGTATACAGGTGTATAAATGTGAATGTATACATGAAATAAAAATGAATATAGAAGATAAAATATGAATTTAAAATATATAAGATAAAAATATTTAAAAAATAATAAAATGGAAGAGGTAAAAAACTTATTTAAGTGAATTTATGTTTTCTTCCTACAAGTCTGTCCATCAATTCCCTTGGAGAAAACTCAGAGTGTTCTGCCACTTTTTGGAGACCTCTGGGTGGAGCTGATTCCTGGCCACGCTTTGGGCTGAATCTGATCTCATAGTCATTTTCCTCACCGACCTCGGTTTCCTCCTAATTAGCTCCATCTTACTGACGCTCGGGACCTGGAGATACCGTAGCTTTAGGTCTCCAGTACCCAAGGTCAGGCTTACTTGAGATTCTTTAGCTAAGTCTTTCTGTCTTTCCCCCAGTACCGGAAGTCAAAGATAAATATCTGAATAATCTCAGACTGCCTCTGGTTGCTTCTCCAAAAAGGAGGAATTCTGTCAAATGCCAGCTCATTCAAGAGCAGATTTAGGAGTAGGAATGCCTCTAAGTAATAATGTGGTGGCACCCCCAGAGGCAGGAAATCCATGGCAACTGAGAAAGGCTGGGTCTCTGGGAAACCTGAGGCTACTGAAAATTTGGAGCAAGTTAGGAAATTCTATTGCTAATGAGTCATGGGCTCCAATTAAATGTATATGCAATTAAATCTATGTATAAGTCAAAACAAATTATGAAATGTTTCATCAATATTTGAGAGAAGATTAGAAATGAATCCTTGTAATTGATTGAAAATACTGTTCAAATTAGTATCAGATTTCTGAAAAAATTTTTATGGTTAGTTCCCTCATCTATTAATTTGCAAATAGCATCAGTTATATCAGGTCCCTCCCGGTCTTCAGTAGTATAACTAAATGATACTGATTTAGGCAGAGAAAATAGCCATGTGTTAGGCAGTTGAACAGCTGCTAAAGAGGACAGTATGTTACAGGGGTGAACCTTTTGCCATACCCACATGAGCTCATCTGGGAGCTGTAGCCGCGGCATCACCTTCTTAGCAGCTGTCAAGGAAGGCAAGTACTTCCACTGTTGAATGGCTGTGTTCCCCAATGGCATGACTGCCAACACAGGTTCAGATCATTCTAAACTCCCTTTTCTCTGTCCACTCTTGATTTTCCTTATAACCTGCAGTATCCCATTTAGGAAAGAGGTGAGCAAGGTCTCATTTTCAGTCTTTCCTTTCACTTCTCTATCACGAATACCTAAATCAACTTTTACATATTCATGTAAGAAAAGGCCTATCCCCCATCTTGGTGGGTATTAATGTTTTAGTACTTTAAAAGCATAGTTTTATGCATGAGATGGGGAAGTTGTAGTTGGATAGCAGTCCAGTGACAGTTAGTGATAAATTTGTGTTTTGAGTAGAGAAACAAGTGTACAATGATGTCAGGAATGCTTCTTGAATTACGGCCTAATTTTTGGCAGTTATCATATGTCCCTTGGCCAAAAAAAAAAAAAAAAAAAAAAAAGAAAGCTGTATGGAGATATTTTTTGTCTTCACTTTATATTATACTCTCTGGGAATTTTCTGCTTTGCTTCCTTTAATGTTAGAAACTCAACCTAGGAGGATAATTTATAGTGTTAAGCATTTTGTGTTTTGATTGGGTTTAAAGAAATGCTAGATTTAAGCTCTGAGTTAGTACTTTGTTTTAAATCTTGAAAAAGTAGATTAGTAACTGAGCTAGTGTTTTCGAATCTTCTTCTAAACATAAAGAGATATCACTCTGAATTGGAACATATATCTATATCTCTCTCTCTCTATATATATATATATATAATTGATTTATTTGATTTATTTCTTCAAGAAATATTTATTGACTGTTTGCCCTCTATCTGCCCTATTCTAGAAGCTGAGGAGATAGTGGTGAATAAGAAAAAAGGCCTGCCATATGGAATTTATTGTTATTTTTTTGTAGGGAGGAGAAGAGTCTTGATAATAAACCCCAGTAAGCAAATAAATGAATAAGATTATTTTAGATCTTAAGTACAAGAAGGAAAATAAAGCAGATATATTAACCAGGGTCTCAAGAAGACAGAGCATGCAAATTAGTATAATTTAAGAAAAGTTTAATAAAAGTTCTGTTTACAAGGGTAAGGGTAAGGGCATGGTAGGAAGCTATAAAGTAATGCAGTGCTTTGGGGTTAGTAACAGAAGTAAACCCTAAAGTGGAGGGCACAGTTATGTGAAGGACAGGGAGGCCAGGTAAGGAGGGCCATCTTATAGGGGTTCTGACCTTCAGTGAGGGCCTCAGCCAGCCCTTGGGTTTCTGCAGGGAAGGAACTGGAGAAGTAAGTACCCAAACTCACTGGCTCCCCCATTGGCCTAACCTACTGGAAGTCAGATGGTAAGGGAGCTGATGACATAATCCATCCCTACAGGTCAGCCTTCTGGGACACAGATCAAGTGGGAGAAAGGTGGAGCATGTGGCTCTGGAGCCACCTGGAGATATCCAGCATCAGAGAGAAATGAGATGTTATATAAAACTTGCATTTCTTGATGATCTAAAATGCAATGTCTCAAAGATGCTGACAGTTTATTTAAGGTGATCAAAAATAAATTCATGAAAATATAAGTAGCAATATAGAACTGGATATAGGTGACAAAAAGTGGTGTTCATCTACACCATAACTCTTAACATTTGAGAACAGGAAAAGATTGCTTCTACTTTGGAAGAAGAGGAAACATTTAATGGAGTGAGTATAATTGAAATTGGGCTTAAGGAATGGATAGATTGTTAATAGTTGGAAAGGAAGAAGGAAGCATGCCAGGAATACAAAATGTCATGGGCCAAAGTGCACAGATAGGACATGTTTTAGAAATAAATTGGCTCCAGTGGTTGGATGTTTCTATAATCCTTTCAGAATCAGACTTGTAATTAAAAATAAGCCTGCTCTCTTCTAACCTCCCTACCAGTGTAAAGATTATGTCTGTCAATGCTGGGTAGCTTCCTTCCTTCCTCCTCCTCTTCCTTTTCCTCTCTATTTCTCTTTCTCCTCTCTTCTTACTTCTGTGCTTTTCAACAAAAATTTATTGAGCGCCCATGATTTGCATAGTTGCAATAAGTAAGCAGTATGTCACTGTGTCGAACAAGACCATGTTTTCTACTTTATCAGGGAGTTTAGTTAGAATTTCAGCATTCCACAGGGTTTTTCAGTAATTCAACAAGGTAATAATAATACAAACACTTATGTGAACATTTGTTATATGCCAGATACTATTCTTATTCAAGGAGACTTGGTTTGTCTTAGGAAGAACGTATGAAAAGCTTAGAAGAAGGGATTACTGAAATGATCTCCCACATTTTAGTCCTATAAAGCTATGTTTGATTGTTTCAAAAGTGCTCGTTTGCTGAAATATTAAATTGACTGGACAACCTACTGCTTATCAAGTGTGAATAAGATTTCAGTTTTGCGTATATTATGGATGAGGAACATTTTCTCGGTGAGGGACCCATTGAAATTGAGTTTGGGTCCAGAGTGATATCCTTCCACTCAGTGGAAACATTTCCTTCTCTTCCTCTTTTTCTGGAATTCCAAATGTCTTGATGGTGGGGATGAGAAAGGCAGCTAGACTGAAAAGAGGATTACTCACTCTGAAGGCTCAGCTTGAGGACATGCTGAAATTGATGGGGGTAAAACGTTGTTGGGTCGTCTACAGAGGAGGTGAGAAAGAAGATTTTGCTCTGCGCTCAGAGAGATGCTTCTTTAGAGACATGCAGAGGTTTCTCTTTATTCCCAATGTTGACAAGAGAGAATTCACTTGGAAAAAGAGATCTTAGCAATTTTGTGCTTTTTTTCTCTCTCTCTTTGGGAACTGTATTTCCCTTATAACTATCTTTCTTCTTATAATTAAACCAAATCAAATTTATTTCATATTTGAGAATGCATGATACAGTAAATTAGTACATAGAATTCAGTTTTTAAAAATTATTTAAGCCCTATATTAAACTCTATTCCTCTGAAAGTAAACCCATAAACATTACATTATAAAATGTTAATTGGGTCAATTGCATGTAAGAATAATTCTGTGTTTTTACACTAAATAAATTGTGTTTTCTTTATTTCTATAAATAAAACCTTCAGGCTTTTTTAGAAAAATAAAATGTATTTTGTATATGTAAGGTGTACAGCATGATGTTATATGATACATATACTGTATATAGTAAAATTGTTACTGTAGTGGAACAAATTAACATTCATCATCTCACATAGTTATCCATTTCCCTTCACCTGGTGGCAAGAGCAGCTATAATCTACTCATTTAGCAAATATCCTGAATATAATACACTGTTATTAACTATAGCTTGTGTTGTAGATTAGGTCTTTTGACTTGTTCAGACTTGTTTATTCTTTTCTTTTTTTTTTGAGAGGGAGTCTCTGTCACTGAGGCTGGAGTCAGTGGTATAATCTTGGCTTATTGCAACCTCTGCCTCCCAGGTTCAAGCGATTCTTCTGCCTCAGCCTCCCGAGTAGCTGGGACTACAGGCACGCGCCACCACACCTGGCTAATTTTTGTATTTTTAGAAGAGACAGGGTTTCACCATATTGACCAGGCTGGTCTTGAACTCCTGTCCTTGTGATCCACCCACCTCGGCCTCCCAAAGTACTGGGATTATAGGAATGAGCCACAGTGCCCCGCCCCAGACTTGTTTATTCTTTTTATTTGCTACTTTGTATTCTTTGACCTACATCTCCTTATTTCTACCTGATAACCCATCCCTATTCTACCCTGATAACCACTGTTTTATTCTCTATCACTATGTATTTGACCTTTTAAAAAAGGATTTTGCATATAAGTGAGATCATGCAATATTTTTCTTTCTGTGTCTGACTTCTTTGATTTAGCATAATGTTCTCCAGGTTTATAGCAAATGGCATTTATAGCAAATGGCAGGATCTCCTCCATCATTTCTGAAGGACGTATTTCCTGTGTATAGTATTCTTGACTGACAGTTTTTGTTGTTTTTCCTTGTAGCATTTTGCGTATAACATCTCATTCTCTCCTGGTCTGCAAGGTTACTGCTGGAAATTCACTAGTAGTCTAGTGGGGATTCCTATATATGTCAATACTTGACACTTCTCTTGCTGCTTTAAAAATTCTTTGTCTTTGATTTTTGACTGGTTAATTATAATGTGCTTCAGAGAACACCCCTTTGAACTATTGAATCTATTTGGAGACTTTTGAACTTCATGGATGTCAATGTCTGTATCTCTTCTAAGACTTAAGAAACTTCTGGGAATTATTTCATTAAATAAGCTTCTGTCCCTATCTTTTTCTCTTCTCTTTCTGCAACTCTTATAATGTGAATGTCTGTTTGCTTATTGGTGTCCCATGAGTCCCATAGGCTGCCTTCATTTTTTTTTTTTTTTTTTTTTTTTTTTGAGATGGAGTCTTGCTCTGTCAAAGTACTGGGATTACAGGTGTGAGCCACCGTGCCCAGCTGTCTTCACTCTTTTTCATTATATTTTCTTTTTTTTTTTTTTTTGCCCTCTGGGTATTTTCAAAATACCTATCTTGAAGTTTAGAGATTCTTTTTTCTTCTTGATGTAGTCTACTGTTGAAATTCTCTATTTTATTTCTTATATTATTCGTTGAATGTTTCAGCTTCAAGATTTCTGCTTGGTTCTTTTGTATGATATCCATCTCTTTGCTGAATTTCTCATTAAAGTAATCAATTTTTTTCTTGATTTTATTGAATTTTCTATCTGTATTCTCTTGTATGTTGCTGAGTTTCCTTAAGATTATTATTTTAAATTTTTTTTCAGGCAATTTATAAATTTACTTTTCTTTGGGGTCAGTTACTAGACATTGTGTTCTTTTGGTGGTATCATGTTTCCTTGCTTTTTCATTCTTTTGTGGCCCTGCATTGCTGGCTGAGCATCTGGTGGAATAATCACTTCTTCCAAACTTTACGGAGTGGCTTTTGTAAGGAAAAACTTTCACTACAGGTGGGTCTTAGTGTGCCAGTTGGGAAGGGTGTGATGACTTTGGTTCCAAGTAGATGCAGTGGTATAGCATCTGTGCAGGTTCTTCAGCTGCAATCAATGTCAGTGATGACTATGGTGTTTCAGTGGGCTAGGCTACAGGAGTTTGTGGCAGTGGTGGCAAGAGCATAGGTTGTTAGGGTCCTCAGAGGTGAGGGCTTTTGGGACCTTTTCTTCTTGTTTTCCCTATAATGGGTAATCTTAGTTGAGGGGATCCCTCTTGGTGTCATGTCTGACATGACCCTTAAGCAACGGCATTGGTGCTGGGTTCCAGGACACAAATGCTCAGAGTGGCTGTGGAGCCAGAGTCCTGTGCTCAGGAGCTTATGAGCCTATTGTGGCACCAGGGTCTTGGGGTACAGGGTGAGTCTCCAAGGCATGTTTGGATGAAGATTACCCACAACGTTGGGATCTGTTACTCTGAGGAATCCCCTGTCAGCTCAGGCTCAGGAGGCCAGGTTGTAGCTGACCCTTGGGGACAGAGCACGGTACTGGCCTGTCTCTGGGAAAGAAGAGATTCTCTGGAGGTTTGAGTTCGGTGAACAGGGTACAATCACAATTTAGGAACCAGAACCAATAAGGCACAGTGGAAACTCAGGCCCCAGAAGATAAGACACTGCATAATGGTGACTCTGGACCCTGGGATGATGGGACATGGCAGTATCTCAGATTCTGTGGGGTCAAGTATGGCAGCAGCAAGGACTCTGGAATGGTGGAGCATAGCTGTCACTTGGGCCCTGGGAGGCAGGGGCAACACAGTAATGACTCCACTCCCTGGACTCAGCAGCCCAGACTCTACTCCACTTCCAGGGAAACAGGGTACTGCGGTCACTTGGCCTGTAGGACTAGGTGTCTGAGCTCAGCCAATGCTCGGTTTCTCTAGGACATGGGGCTCCACGTCAGCTTAGTCCTGAGATGCTTGACTGCTTGGCTTGTCCAAGGCACTGATTCCACAGGAGATGATGAGCTCCTTTATCTCAGGCCCATTTTGTGTGACTGCTCTGGGCATCCAAGGCATCATCTCCCCAGGGGAACTCCACGCAGCTCACTCATCTGGGCTTAGCCTCTGTGAGAACCTCAGATGTTCCCAGTGGTGAGGTCTGTAGGTGTCAAAAGTGGTGATGAGGACTGCTGGGGTCCCCTTGCTTACTTTTTCTCCGCAAAAAAAAGTACCTCCTAGTTCCAAGCTGATCCCAACTGGGTGATGGGGTGGTGGAGGCCAGATGTTTTCTTCTCTTTTCTTTGTGTCTGTCGTAGGTTACTGTGCTCCACAGGGTTTTTGCTATTCCTTTGATGTACTCCAGCACTCTCCTTTAGTTATTTTCATCAATATGTAGTTGTTTATTTTTTGTTTTGGCTGTATTTGTGTGGGAATGAGTGCTAAGGGCTTCTAGTTGGCTATCTTGCTTTATTGCATTTGACCTTTCCTCTCATAATTCTTAAATCTTTCCTTTTTAACTTTAAACTATTAAATTAAAAAATAAGTTATATACAAAATAATGATGGCCTATTTTAGGAAAAGCCAGTACATTTTATTTTCCGTGGTCAACATATACAAATTATAGATTGATCTCCTATGAAAGTTTTCCTCAAGGACTATTAAGCTTCTTGGATAGAGTTTCAGTGCTATTCTTATTAAATTTGCTCATTAAATATAGCTCTGGCACCATCATAATATTTAAATCAGAGTAATCATTGAGTGACAAATGAGATAATATGATTAATGTAATTTTAAAATGATCTGGCTGAATGTATTTCACACATGAGAGAAGTGTTTTAAATTTGCATTTTTATCACTAAAATTCTGGAACATAGGTATTGAGAAGTTAATTTTAAAGTTATATTAGTATTAACTTTCTCATTCTTAAACTTGTTTTCTAAGGTTAATTCCATATCAAATACGTACAGAGATGAAAGATACTATTTGAGCAGAAACCCAGAGAAACTTTCCATGACATGGGCAGTCTGAGGGTGAGAGGTGGACGGTACTTGGGGTGGGTGGGAGGAGCAGCAGGGAGGGTCTAGTTATAGAAACTTTTGCATTTGTAAGGAGATGAGGAGGAAAGGGGTCATGAAAAAAGAGAAAATGCAGGATTTAGTAAAGGGAATGCATATCTTTATGCAGGGCTTTTGCTCTGACCTACCAATAGAAAATGGTTTCCCAGGGACTGCCACTGTGGAGTTTGCCATTAAGCAGATATTTGCAAGCACTGGTGCAACTGCACCCTCCCAGACCCTGCAGGAACTTATGGGAAGCACTGTACCAAGACTGAGGGGGAGAGTCTCAGGGTTGTGTGGGGCACCTCACTGGCATAGTGGGGGATTTTCAGAGTCAGTGCTCTCAGCTGTGACAGAAAGCAACCAGGACTTTGTTTCTGGTGAAATGTGTGACTACTTTAAAACAAGTATGTGGAAAGGCAGAGCAGTCCTGGGATTTAGAAAAAAGTAGGACTTCCTGTCACAAGAAAAAGAAAAGGTTTTATGTGTATGTTCAGCTTGGAATGTCTACTTGGATGAGGGCTATGCAATAGTTCAGAGTTAACACATAACCTCTGCCTCCACCACATACCTGAGAGGCTCCAAGTTTTTGCTCTTGGTTAAGCAAGTTGGGGTTGATATAAAAAAGGAGGAGAACATAGAAACCTTTCAATAGCAAATTAACAGAGATCGTATACAAGATACCTGGGAGAAATAGAAGTTAAGGTCCATATGACTCAACCTTCTAAAGCCAGATTTGTAACAAGTAAGAAAATCCCCATGATGGTGAAGCAGCTAGAGAGCCCTCAATCCCAAGCGAAAGATGCCTGAGTCCCAGAATTTGGGCATTTCCTTGTGTATCCTGTCCTCCCTCATGTTGCCATAAAACAGATTTTTGTGAGCATTTATTCTTTGACTCATTGCAGACACCAGTATGTGTGGGACAGTCTCAGGATTGCCTAGAACTTGGGAGGGTGGCTGCTTTCATAGTTCTTGCAGTATTTGGTATCTCACTGCATTCATGAGGAAAATGATTGATAGATGTGGCATCTTTTTTCTTTTGTGAGAGAGACCCCAAGGAGGGGAAGATTGGAACATGATGCTGATAACTTCCTTTCCAACGCAGTCACTTATGTCTCAGTCCCAAGATTTGTTGGAAGAAACTGTGGGATATACAGTCAGATGCCATTGGGAAATTGACAATGTTGTCCAACACAATAGCAAAAGAAGAAAGGAAGGTAGGATCTATGCTGCAAGTCAGAAGAGATTTTCTTTCCACAAGTACATATAACATGTAAGTCCTCTGAGAGAAAACTGTGTAATAGATTTGTCAGGATTCCAAAAAACTTTCCTGGAGTAAGATGTAATGAGATGAAGGAATTTAGTCATTAACATTCTTGGGTGGGGTTGATTTTCACAAGAAAAACAATAAGAGCTATATCATTTGCACTTCGAGCTACAACAGAGTAGCCAATACTGGACTTGTCCTCCCACCATAAACAACTATAAAATCAGACAGAATATATGAGACAGATGTTTTCAGGTGTTGGACAATAGGCAGAGCAGGACTGGGATTCTTGAGAGAAGAGAACAGGAATGATACCTTTGTTGGCCCTGGCACTTTGATTCAGGGCGCCTTTCTAATTGCAGCAAAATGAGGCATAGTTTGAGGAGCAGTGTTCTTGCTGAACTGAGAGGCAGTGATTGGGACTTGAGGGCTGCTAAGCTTTGTGGGTAGAGTGCTAGAGAAAAGGAAGTTGCTTAGAGGGAAGTTCTGAGAATCTGCGTGGGTGTTTACCATAGGACCATGGCCTAGGCCTGGGCTGTGCATATGCTGGCCCAGACTCTGAGGTGCAGCAGAGAACAGATGCAGTTGGGAAGAGAGCTGACATGGAGAAGCCAGAGTTCATCCAGTGCTAGGAGATAATTGGTTTTCCATGACAGAGGTGAAGAGATTCGCTGTACAACTTGGGCATTCTTTTGAGATTACAGAAAACCCACACCTTAGCAATAAGGATTATGCCTTCAAGCAAGGGCTATCCCCTAAGGACAAAATGTCAACTCTTTAAAGGGAGACAACATAATTCAGGCTATTTACAATGTATCACTCACAATATTCAGCATACAATAAAAAAAACTTACGAGACATGTTAAGAAGCATGAAACTGTGTGACCCAACATCAAACCCTGAGAAATAACCCAAGTTGACACAAAGGTTAGATTTAGCAGACAAGGACTTTTAAACAGCTGCTAAAAAATGTGTTCGAGGACTTAAAGGACAGCATGTTTCTAATGAGAGAATATGTGGGAATGACAGTAGAAAATAAAAACTATGAAAATTAGCTAAGGAAATTCAGAAATGAAAAGGATAATATCTGAAATAAGTCTAATCTGTAGAATGAAAAGAAAAAAGATTTAAAAAATATTTTTAAAGCATTAGTAAACTCTGGCACAATATTTAGAAGTCTATCTTACATATAATTGGCATCCCTTAGGGAGAAGAGAGTGAATGGAGCAATGAAAATATATATATATATATATGAATAAATATGAATCAATAAGGGCTAATAATCTCCCAAATTTGGGAAAAAAAATCAGTGTCCATATCTAGGAACATTAGCAAATCCCAAACAGGGAAAATAAAAGGAAAAATACACTTCAGCAAATCATCCTCAAACTGCTGAAAAACCAAACAAAGATAAAGATAAAATTTTATTTTTTATTTTTATTTATTTATTTATTTTGAGATGGAGTTTTGCTCTGTTGCCCAGGATGGAGTGCAATGGCGTGATCTCAGCTCACTTGCAACCTCAACCTCCCAGGTTCAAGCGATTTTCCTGCCTCTGCCTCCCGAGCAGATGGGATTACAGGTGACCGCCACCAGGCCTGGCTAATTTTTTTTGTATTTTTAGTGGAGAGGGGGTTTCACCATGTTTGCCAAGCTGGTCTCAAACTCCTGACCTCAGGTGATCCAGCCACCTCAGCCTCCCAAACTGCTGGGATTACAGGCATGAGCCACCATGCCCATGCCAAGAGAAAATGTTTAAAGTGGGTGGACTCTGGGGGTAGAGGTGTGAGTGAAGGTAGGGGAAACACATTATGTAGCAGGGAATGACAGGTTAGCAAATACACTACCTAGACAATAAGCATGATAAAGCTGGTGTGGCTTTGTCTTTTCAGATGAAGTAGACTTCAAGACAAAAATTATTACCACAGATAAAGGAAGATATTTCATAACCATAAAAGGTCAATTAATCATTGGAGACATAATAAACCCAAATGCGCATGGACCTAATAATAGCTTCAAAATACTTGGGGAAAAATCTGATAAAAGTGCAGGGAGAAAGAATAAAACACATAAATTAGAGATGTTAACACCCTTCTTTAGTAGTTGATTGGTCAAGTAGGCAAAAGTACAAACAAAAAATCCAAGAATATAGATTTGAACAACTCTTTCCTCCACTTAACACAGTTGGCATTTACAGAACTTTCTATCTAACAGTTGCAGAACATATTGTTTTCAAGTACACATAGAATGTTCAGCATCATAGATCACGTGTTGGACCATGAAAAAGTACCAATGCACTTAAAGGATTGAAGTCATAGACTATGTTCTGTGATCATAATGGAATTAAATTAGAAATAAATAACCATAGGATTTCTAGAAAGAAGAAAACATCCCAAGTATTTGAAAATCAATCAATACTCCTCTAAATAATCCATGAGTCAAAGAAGAAATTAAAATGGAAATTAGAAAATATTTTGAATTGAATGGTAATAAAAATACAATATAAAAATTTGTGAACTTCAGTTAAATAATTATTAGAGGGAAATGTTTTACATATTTATATTAGAAAAGAAGAAAGAAAGAAGACAGAGCAAGGTAGAAAATAGAAGCAAAGAATTACAAAGAGGAAATCCTATGAAGTAGAACACAAATATTAGAGAAAATTACCATATGAAAGTTTTTTGAAAATACTAATAAAATTGATAAGCCCGTAGCAAGCATTATCAAGAAAAAAAGAGAGGGAAGATAAGTTATTAATAGCAGGAATGAAAGTGAGGATATAATGGCAGATCCCACATACCTTAAAAAGGGTATGTAAACTTGTTTCAGTAAATTTGACAACTTACATGAAATGGACAAATAACCAAGTTTACAAAACTGACACAAAAAGAAATGAAAAATCACAATAGCTCTGTATCTACTTAAGACATAGAATTTTTAATAATTACCCACTCTTTTTCCTTGAAATACCAGGCCCAAATAGTTTACTGGTACTAATGTCAGACAAACTCAGAAAATATAGGGCGACGGAATGTTTCCCAACTCATGTTATAAGGCCAGGATCATCCTAATATCACAACATGATCAAAGCATTACAGGTAAACAAAATTACAGCCAGTATCTCTAATGAACATAGACATAAAAATCCTCAGTAAAATATTAGGAAATCAAATCCAATCATGTATGAAAAGGATCATAAAACCAGGCGGAGTTTATCCCAGGAATATAAGTGGTTCAACATTTGAAAATCAATGTAAATTAGCCACATTACTAGAAAAAAAGAGAAAAATTTATATAATCATCTAAATAAATGCAGCAAAAGTATTTGAAAAAACAACACTTATTTGAGATTAAAATAAAACAGTTGTCAACAAACTGAAAATAGGACCTAATAAGGGCATCTACCCAAAATTTATAGCTAATTTTATACTTACATGAAACACTAAATGCTTTCCTCCTAAGATTAGGAAAAAGAAAAATGTGCTTTTCTCACCACTTCTAATCAGTATTGTAATATGAAGGTCCTTGTCAGAATAGTAAGGCAAGGAAAAGAAATAAAAGGCAAAATATTGGAAAGGATAAAATAAAATAATCTTTAGTCACAGATGACATGATTATGTTGAAAAGCCTAAGTAATCTATAATAATTTACAAATAAGTGAATTTAGCAAAATGTGAGGATACAAGGTCAATATACCACAAGCAATTGTTTTTCTATATGTTAGCATAAAAGTAGTAAATGAAATTTTAAAAATTGAGTTGTTAAATAGTATCAAAAATCAGATAACTAAGAATAAATTTAATAAAATGCACGAGGACTTGTACACTGGAAACTACAAAATTCTGCTGAGAGAAAATAAAGGAGATCTAAATAAATGGAGAGGTATATAATGTTCATGCATTAGTGTATATGTTTGGCTGTGTCCCCACCCCAAATCTCATGTCCCCACATTTCAAAACAAAGCACGCCTTCCCAACAGTTCCCCAAAGTCTTAACTTATTCTAGCATTAACTCAGAAGTCCAAGTCCAAACCCTCATTTGAGACAAGGCAAGTCCCTGCTGCCATGTAAGATGGGACTTTGCTCCTCATTCACCTTCTGACCTGATTGTGAGGCCTCCCCATCCATGTGGAACTGTGAGTCCATTAAGCCTCCTTCCTGTATACCAGTCTCAGGTATGTCTTTGTTAGCAGTGTGAGAACAGACTAATATGGTATACTTAGTACTTTTAAGATGTCACTACTTCCCAAATTGATCTATACCTTTATCACTGTCCCAATTGACATTTCCAACAAGCTCATTTTATAAAAGTTGTGAGTTGATTCTAAAATCTATATGGTAATATAGTGGATCTAGGACAGCCAAACATTTGGGGGTTGGGAGATGGGGAACTTTCCCTACTTGATTTAAAACCTTGTATAAAGCTATATTAATCAAGAGAGTGCAGAATAAGCATTAAGAAAGACAAATAATTCAGTGGAACAGAATTAGAGTGCAGAAAGATATCCTCACATTGAGTTTTGACAAGGGTACCAGGGCAATTTAGTGGTAAAAAGAAAGTCTTTTCAATAAATCATTCTGGAATGATTGGACATCTGTTTGGGGAAAAACTTTACAATCTCACACTGTACATGAAAATTAATTTGAGATTGCTTATAGACCCAAGATTAAAAGTTTCTTCAAAGCTTCTAGAAGACAACACAGCAGAATACCATTGCACTTTTTCTTTTCAGTTGCCCAGGCTGGAGTGAAGTTGCATGATCTCAGCTAACTGCAACCTCCACCTCCTGGGTTCAAGCGATTCTCTTGCCTCAGCTTCCCGAGTAGCTGGGACTATAGGCACGCACCACCATGCCAGAATAATTTTTTGTATTTTTAATAGAGATGGGGTTTCACCACGTTGACCAGGCTGGTCTTGAATTCCTGACCTCAAGTGATCCACCCGCCTTGGCCTCCCAAAGTGCTGGGATTACAGGCGTGAGCTACCACACCTGGCCACCATTGGCACTTTTGAGACAGTGCAGTTTTTGAGATAAAAGTATTTCTTGGAGAGGAAACAAAATGCCCAGACCATAAAAGAAAAAGAAGACTGCTAAAATTGAACTTCATCAAAATTTAAAAAATTTGCTCATCAAAAGACATCATTAAGAAAATAAAAAGGCCTGCTACATATTGGAAGAATATAGTCTGATAACACCAATGTTGATGAGGATGTGGAGCAGCAGCTGGAACTCATATGTTACTGGTAAAATACTTAGAAGTGTTTTGGTAGTTTCTGTAGCAGTTAGATGGGTACCCTATGACCCTCCAATTCTGCTCCTAGATTTTTACCCCCCCAAAATGAAAACATGTCTGCAAAAAGACTCATGCGATAATATTCATGGCAGCTTCACTCATAGTCACTCCAAAATGGAAATAACAGATGTCCGTGGTGAATGGATAAATAAATTATGGTGTATAGAGTTAATAGAATACTACTAAAACATGAAACAATAGGGATGAATCTCAAAAAACTTATGTTGAATGAAAAAAGAATCAAAAAAGCACATGTGTGATCTCATTATGTAAAGTTAAGGACGAGCAAAATTAATCTATGGTGATAGAAATGAAAGCTGTGGTTGCTTAGGGGCGTGGGAGTGACTGGGAGGAGGAACAAGGAAGCCTTCTGGGCTGATTTAAATGTTCTCTATTTTGATTGGTGTGTTGATTGCACATACACATTTCAAAACTCATCTAACTATACCTTAGGGTCATTGCATAACTCTGAATATAAATTTACTGCAATGAAAGTGATGAGAAAAGGCTTGGCTGAGAGAGTGGACTTCTTAATTTTCTGGAACTGCATGCAGTTGGCAGTTCCCAAGTTGGGAGCATGGAGTAGGTGGACAGAGAGCAAACTGGTGGGGACAGGGTAAAAAAAGAGCGAATGTGTGCAACGTTACATGAGAGAGAGGGAGGGATTTTGTAGCTAGCATGAGTGTGAAACCTTAGAGGAAAGAGAAGGATGTCTAAGGCAGATTTTAAGGAAGTTTTATTTGTTTGAAGCAGCATATAGATTCTCATTATCCCTTCAAGAAAACCCGAAGTGAAGAGCCGCATTCTTCTTTTTGGTGTTCAGAGTAGGTTCCTATTGCTTTTGAAAGTGTCACTATACCGAGGCTAGTTGTATGAGGACTCTGATTTGCAAGGGTGTCAGGTAGCATCCAACTCTCATTTAATCATCAAATAACTCAACCACCCTTACAGCATGGGGGGCGAGGGTCGATGGGTGGTTACTGAAGAGTGTAGTGTACATTTCTGATTTCCTGGATGAGAAGGACCCTGGAAAGACATTCTGCAGGGGTCCTTATATCATCAAACAATAAGGGCTAGTCTTGAAAGCCTACTTCCTTTTTTTTTTTTTTTGAGACGAAGTCTCGCTCTGTTGCCCAGGCTGGAGTGCAGTGGCGCAATCTCGGCTCCCTGCAGGCTCCGCCTCCCGGGTTCACACCATTCTCCTGCCTCAGCTTCCCGAGTAGCTGGGACTACAGGCACCCGCCACCACGCCCGGCTAATTTTTTGTATTTTTAGTAGAGACGGGGTTTTACCGTGTTAGCCAGGATGGTCTCGATCTCCTGACCTCGTGATCCGCCCGCCTCGGCCTCCCAAAGTGCTGGGATTACAGGCATGAGCCACCGCGCCCGGCCGTGAAAGCCTACTTACTTTTAAAGGAAAATCTTACTCTGGATTTATATGTGAAGAATCCTGGTGATTCCATCATGGGTTGCTTGAACAGAGCGAAATGCCCTATGGATTTATGCCCTCTCACAGCTCATTCACAGCAGCGTAGCATATCCTCTCTATTCGTTTGCTCCCAGAGGGATCCCCCTAGGTTTCCCTTGCTGTTCTGAAGCAACTTGAAATGCTGTGAAAACCTCAGCAGAATGTTCCGGGAGCTGCTGGAATTTACTTTCTTTATTCCTCAGCCACTATAGACCAACATTGGTTTCGGATTCTGCTTTGGTGCATGAATCCCTTTGTCACCAACTCCCTCTGCTGGTCTTGTATTTCCTTGAAATATTAAAGATAGCAACTCCAAACAAAAACAAGATGATGTTCACTTGCAAGTGAGCACTCAATGAAACTTACTTTATTATTCGCAGTTCTCATTTTCCTTCCCACTTTCCTGTTTTTAGCCATTACCTCCAGCCCTCTATGGTCATACTGTGTAGTTCTGTAGTTCTGAATCACCACGCCTCAACACATCGTTGTTGGGGTCACCAGTGAGGCATGTCTCAGATAATGTGCTCTTTCTTTTTAATGCAGAGTACTTAAAATATGTATTTCCATAAACTGTCTCTAACTCTTAACAGATTTGTACTCACTAGTTTTTTATATTTTTTGGCAGATTTGAATGTTAAACTCTTGCGTGGCATCTGATTTGGGGGAACGATTAAAAGCAAAGGGAGAGGGTGGGTAGGTAAAAGTTGAATTATTCTTAAAGGTTCTGGGAATGATACCATATTTTAAAACCAATCCAGAATGGAAAATGGAAGTTGCTCTCAGGCATGACAGTCTAGCATTTACAGCTCAGTTTCTGTTTCCAATTCTCCCAGAAGACAGATATCATGAAATTGTTCATGAAACTCCAAATCTCCTCTTAAGATGATGTTTTTTGGAGGCATGGAAAAAGCCCACAGACACGGAGGGCTCGTGCTGATCGTACTGTTCCCATTTTCCCTTAGACCTAGTGAGAAGGCGGGGGTGATGGGGAGCAGGGTCCTGCCTAATTTGAGCATGTCAAAGAAAAAACTGTCCTTTTAAAGCCTCTGCCAATGTTTTGGCTGGAGGGATATAGACCTGTAATCCTCTATTTAGTAGAATAACTTAGTGAGTTTTTGCTTATGCAGATTTAGACTCAGATCTTAGTTCTAAATAGGAATGGAGACTTAAGTCTCTTTATATAGTAAATGTGACTTTATTGGTTAGGGCCGGCAGTAAGTTTGGGGGAGAAGGTCCTACTTGAGAGCTCACTGGAATGTAAATGACTAAGAGTGATATTATCATGGGGATAGCTTTATAGGGATAGGAATTCAATAACATTTATTTTCCAAAAAACCATTCAAAAATTTTGGAAGTTATTCTATATCATAAGCACATTAGTTGAGGCATACCTCATTGCTGATCCCAACAATGATGTGTTGAGGTGTGGTGGTTGAGAATTATGGAACCATAGTGTCACAGTCAAAGGGCTGGGGCTGTGTTCTTTAAAGACAGGGAAGTTGGAAGGAAAATGAGAACAAGAATAATAACAGTAACTATGTTTTGTTGAGTGCTTAATATATGTCAGGCATTGGACACTTTCTGCACGTTATTTCACTGAATCTTTGCTGCGACC
Source organism: Homo sapiens (assembly GCF_000001405.40). Lineage (NCBI taxonomy): Eukaryota > Metazoa > Chordata > Mammalia > Primates > Hominidae > Homo > Homo sapiens. The sequence continues at coordinate 154,398,330 of NC_000004.12, read as the reverse complement.
CTGGGAAGTGGCTAATTAACTTTGATAAAGTTTGTACATGGTGAACCCAGGATTCAAACTCCTCTTTTCTACCCCTATAAGGGCATGGAGAGAATTTATGGGTACAATTCTTGATTTGAATGAAATTAAAATGAAATCAACAAATATCCATTGATCATAGTGTAAGGCCTTATGGCGACATAGATTTCAGAATCTCTTAGAAAACATAGAAGATAAACATGTACCAGATGGGATTTTTCCTCCTTAAAGCCAAAACAGAAACAAAAACAAAGTGTATCTACTTTCATGCCCATTATTGTCTCCTTTTCCAGTCTCAGTCCTTGGTCTATTTATTAACTCTTTCTTTTTATGCCTTCAAACTCTCCCCTCACTTGCCATTTTCCTTCTTTGTAGGTTTACTCTACCCAACACAGAGATGAGCAGATATTCTGAGATTTTGTGCCAGGTTTTCATTATTCATTTTTGGGGGAATGAGAGGAAGAAAAAACTACTGCTCAACCACCTCCCTCATCTCCTCATTTTGAGAAGCTGTTGCTCTGAAAGGAGCCCTTCGGAATTCATTGACAAATGGGAAATCTGGGTCTCAGGAAGTGCCATTTTTTAAAGTGAACTTGTAAAAAGTCAATTCTTTGCCTGTCCTTGGGAGAATTAACTATGGAATGGGTAAAACTCAGACTGTTAGGCACAGTCAGGTTAAAAAAGTAGGGAAAAGGTACCCACTAAGGAGGGATTGTTGTCTAGAAAAACCAGGGACACGGTATCTTGTAATTAAAGGGTGTCACAGTTTTGTGAAAAAGCAAGTAGTATTTGGTAAGAAGCATGAGAAGTATAAGTGAACTTTTTTATTTAATATGATGCAATATTTTACTTAAATTGAGCCCATATCCTAAATTGGGTCAATTTCAGGTATACAAATGGGCTCTCTTTTCAAATACAGAATAGGTATTCTAGACCTAGACTAAACTTACTTCAAACTTTTGGCCTAATTTGTAAAAGAAGTTAAGAAAAGAAATAGAGAAAACAATCACTCAGTAAGTCTTAGCCCAAATGGTATGTGTGAATGAAATAGATTTTGACAAATATGTAAGAATCTGTTTAGCCTGATAAATGCTTGCCCATGTTACTGTTTATGTCTCTTTCCCATGCTGACTTATGTTGGCTTTCTGTTGTCATTAGAATTAGTATAATTAGATTAGTGCGGTGTCCTTTTCTGCTCTTAGCTTATATTACATGCCCCTGTGCTTCCTGCACTCCACATGAACATGAGTTAGACATTCATGGGTCTTACTTTTTGCTCAGGCTGATTTCAACAAGGATGCCTTTCTTGTCTTAGGCTATTATTCCTACCAATTCCTTCAGATTCTGTTTGAAGAAGTTATATCAGGAAGGTTTAGGATATATAAGTAAATCAAATAGGAGATGGTCACTATCAGAATGATACAGAGAAGTAGCGCTGAGAATTCAGAGGAAGGGAAGATTACCTCAGCTGCGGGCATCTGGGAAGAGTTTTGGGAGTGGTAAAAATTGCATTGGGCCTTTGTATTCAAATAAATGAATTATGAGTAGCATTTTGTTATACTGAAGTAGAGTGGGAAATGGAATTTCATGCAAAGAGAACACCATGAGGCAAACACTGGAGTGAGGAGTGTGTGAAACAGTGGATTGTGTATTTTGGCAGGAACAGGCATTGCAAAAAATAAAAGAGAATAGGCTATAAAGGAGGTTAGAGACACCGTTGAAACTTTGAGCACAAAGTGTTGGCATTGGGAGCTCAATAAACTCTTTCCCTTCCTGAATTCAGAGCCAGTTAAGAGATTTTAGGTGTCAACAAATTGGAGTTATAATGCCATCATCAGTACTGTTAGAGCTGATTAGAGAATGGACTTTTAATTGGTGGCCAAGTGGGCTTATTCATACTCCACCCTTGCATTAGACAAAATTACTGGTCAACTGAAGGCCTCTCTTTTCTGGGCAGAACCTGTACCATGTGGCAGACATCAGAAATTGTTCAATTCCTTCCTTCTTCCCCCACCCTTCCTTCCATCTCCCATTTTTCCCTCCCTCCCTCCCTTCCTTTGTTTCTTCTTTTCTTCTATATATATTGAGTACCTATTATGTGCCAGGTACACTTCTACTGCTGAGAATAAAGTATTGAACAAGGAAGACATAAGACTTACATTTAAGAAAGAGTTCAAATCTTCTTAAGGCAGACCAGATCTGAAAAGAAAAATCCCAGAAAAGCCTCAGCTGATCATGCTCAATTTCTTCTCCTAAACTCAGGATGCTGTATAACCACAGAAATGACAAATGTTTACCTCGCTCAATTTCCTAACCTACAAAATGGTAATAAGAACTCTTCCCTTGAATAACTCTTCCATTTTTTAAGTCAAATGAAAGCACATTGAATATCTTAGCATACTGTTCACACATAGAGACAAGTTGAGTTAATAAACCTTATGTTTTCTTCCCTCTTCTTACTTAGCAACTCTTATTACCATAATTCCTCTTTGTCCTCTTATTCATTCGTCTACTTTCCTTCTTGCCTGCTTTTCTCCACTAAGGATATTTGAGGGCTTTCCAAGAAACCCACCCTTGAGTTTTATATAATAGTCTTATAGCTACTTTGCATTGGAAAGAAAATTTGCTTGTGCTTTGAAAATGCTTTAACTCATTATTTAAAGTTGATAAATTCTCAGTTTTACAAATAGAATTTGGTCAATGTGCTGAATCAAAAACCCTACTGGGCAGTGGGAACTAGCATTGAAGGATACAGAGATGGTCTCTCTCCTTGTAGATCTTATGGGCTATGGCAGGAGGCAGATCACAAGTGTGATGGCGGAGCAATCCAGGAGATAGGAGGATCAGTGGGAAGACCTGTATAAGGAAGTATTTTTTAAAGATTTAATCCAGAGTCTCCTAGATGGCATTCAGAGGGCCAAGAACCTTCAGCTGAAACAGTATAGAAAAATGTGTGTGCATGGTCACTGCAGAGGCACACACCTGTAGCTGCATGCTAGGTTGGCAGAAAAGTTCATCAGATTCTCCAGGTGGAGTGTGACCAAGCAGGTGTTCAGTGTTTAAATAAACGGTTTATGAATGTTGTGGAAAGACTATGTGGTACTCATACTTAATGATGTTATTAATAATGCCCTTAATGATATAAACAGCTAACATATTTTTACTTCTCTGCACTAGTGGCTAAGCATTGTGTTAGGAGCTTTACACAGATTATCTCATTTAAAACACAAAATAGCTTCCAGAAGATAGTGGCAGATCTAGTAGTTGCCTGTCCTACAGTCTCACGCCTTTTGTCCTTGCTACAGAGTCCCTGTTGTTTTTCACCTTTCTCCAAATGGGCACATTCTGGTTGGCTCTTTCTCAGTCCCTCCACTTGGAGTGAATTGTAATTGGTATAAACAAATCATAGTGGTCTAATTTGACTTGCCAAATAATTGGCTAGGCCTGGAAAGGCCATGCAGTTTTGAGACTTGAGGGAAACACTGTTGAGAATTTATGAGAAGAGTTTTCTTGCTCTAAAATATGGATGCCAGGTAAATATGTTGTCCTTTCTATCTGTGGATATTGTCATTGGCAAGTGATGTATAGCACCAAACAGCAACTTGGCCCAATTTGAGGACCAGGCTAAAGAGGATAAGCCAATGCATCAAGCATGGTCAGAGAATGGAAGGAGTGAGATATAAAGGACCTAGAACCCTGATAGGATTATCGAGCTACTGAATTAACCAGTCTTGGAACTGCCCACCCCACCACTGCCCAGATCTTGACAAAGAGGGATAATAAATGTCCTTATTGTTTAAGATATTCCTGTTGGATGTTCTGTTACTTGTAACCAAGAGAATGCCTAGAGATGAGTTATTCGGTTTCTACAAAATTGAAGCACAGAGAAGTTAAGTTACTGTCCAAGGTCACATAGCTGCTAAGAGGGAAAACCAGAGTCCAAAACCTGTCTGACTCCTGAGGGGGGCCTTGTGCCTAATGACCAGCTGTAATCCCTTTGCACTGACCTTGACATTTCAATTCTGTATGAGCAGAATAGTGCTGATTTAAGTGCATTGCATTTCAAGAATAAAAATTTGCTGTACGGTGTTGTTAGTCTGGCCTAGAGTAAGATTATTGGTGACCCTGAGGCCTCCCTGGACTGTGACTCCCTCATTGATAACAGTTATGAAGCAGCAGAAGAGAAATGTGATGGGTCCTCTCCTAGCCTTCCGCTCCACACCTCCTCTTTACCTGTGATTACTGATTTGAGAGAGAATCTATCCAATGGATGTGTAAAATTTTAGTTTTTGTCAACTGTGTTTTTAACTGCATGATAAATCTTACTTAGATTGATTCCTTGAATTCTTGCGTATGGATGTGTCTGAGACTGAGGAATTATCCCATATGTGCATCATAAATATTTATATACATAAATATTATTACTTGATGGTTTGTACCTGCCTGAGAATAAAGTCACCTTAAGAGTCAGTCCTCATCCTTGTAGAGACAGACACCATCAGGACATAATGTAATTAATTCTGGGAGTCTTTGGACATGCTGTTGGGAGTGGTGATGTGGCACATCTTAGACTTCAGGATCATGGACAAGAGCATGTCCAAGTCAGGCTGAAACAGCGAAAGAGTGGACTGGTGGGACATTTCTGGAAGACTGTAGAGATTAGACTAGCATATGACATAATGAAACATTCTATAGGGTACCTTGGCTGGAAAATCCTGCTTTTTGGCTTAAAAGTACCTTTTGGACATAGCCAGAATTTAGGCAGCACTTATGACATTGGGATGTTGAAGACATTGTGACTATCACACCATGAAATACAACATCTGATTAAACTATTACATAAAGAGGATCTTTTTAAAAGAATCACTTTATATCTCCATACTGTCTTTGTCTTAACTCCGTATGTGTTAAAATATGAAGCCCATTTTTTTTCCCCCAACCAAAAGCTTTCAAGCCCAATCATTGACTTGGAACACTGAGAGATTAGTTGAAGAGCCATGTGAATGGGACTTGAATCAACATGTAGAAGTTCTAACTTGCAAGGAATGGGCTTTGCACATAATTCATTTTAGTGGCATGTTTAGAGTTATCTGTTGGTCTCTTCTGGGCTGAAAACATTTCCTAGGTTTAAATTCTTTAATCAGGTATTAATCATATAGCTGTATGCTTGTAACATCCATTTCTGTTGGATACCATTTGTTAAGTTAATGTATTTTATTATCCATCTACTTAAAAATATAATATGAGCTACTAACAAAACTACAATAACTCAGTAAGATGAAGATAAAATTAAACAAATCAGGAAAAAAGTCAAGTGGAATAGTGAGATGAAATCAGGAAGCCTTAGTACATGGAAGTGGATTATGCAAGATTATGCACATGTATTAAAGCTGCATCAATGAAGTGATAAGACTCAAACAGTCCCCAAGTTAGAAACATTCCTAACTGATCAAGAGAAGCAGCATTGACTTTCCCTGACACTAAGCCCTGAGGAAATGTTTTTCCTGTAAGTCTTTATAAAGGGGACTCTAAAATGTAATAAGAAGTCCCCTAAATAGTATGTTTACAATAAATATACAGTTCTGTAAAAGTGATTATATTGGGAGCTGGTATACAAAACGGTGCATCCCACACTTCCATAGTTAGATCTATGTGCATGGTTTTCTCTTTTCCTCCATGAAGCAAAGCTGCTAAATTGAGAATAGGTTTCCAAACCTTAATATTTGCCCATTGTGACTATGACCCTTTTGCAGGTGTGAAAACTGAAGCAGTTAGCTATAGTGCAGTCAGTCACAGTCCATATTGGAAATCACAGCCCTTAAGGTTATATTGTGAACTTACTCACTTTGCCTCCCTACTCTTTGTCTTTTTCATTATATATTTTTTTAAAACGATGGGTTTCCCTTGAGTTTAGAGTGCACCTGTTCATGTTTATATCTGGGAATGCATCCTTCCACTGGGAAGACCTCTGTGCATAAATTCTGGGTATCTCTTTGTTTTACAAAACATATATGGGAAGGTACAGCTAAAAGATAAAAGTCAAATGATTCTGAATTATGATACTCATTCCCAAAAAAGAGGGAGATGCTTAAATGTGAATTGCTTGGAAAAAAATCAACAACCAGCTCTCCTCTCTGGACTTCATGGGCATTTCAATGTATCTTTGTGGGTGGAGTGGGAAGAGGCTGGCCCTTAACAATCATACCACGTGGAAGCTTTTGGTGTATATAAAGTAAATCAGGCTCAGTGTAAAACATTGTTTACAAAACGGTGTCATTTTATAAGTTAACTTTTCCCATGATTGTACCCCAAGAGAGAACACCTGTTAGTATATAGTATATAGTATATAGAATAACATAACCTGGGGTATGTTATTCAGATTTTTATTTTCTCTGGGAATACTAACATTTATGTAACTCTGCACAATGGTCTTCTATCTTGAGTTAGAATATTGGTCAAAAGGAATTGAGCTTTAGCTTTCAGCAGGTCAGGGCCATCACGTGGCCCATCGCCTTCATCTCCTGCTGTTCACATTGATGGAGTACAGGTGATTGCAGGGAGAAAAATATCTTGTTTTCTTCCTCTGCTGGGAACACACAGAACCCCCAAAACATTGAAAGTCACCTTTTACTTTGGATTCTTGCAATACAATCCAACCCATAAGGTGTCGAGAGGGTGTTGAGATGTCAGATGAGGTTGGCTGGCCCAGTTGCCCATCGCCTTGTCTTTTTGCCTGGACTTTTGTTGCCATTTGCATATGGTCCCTCTCCTAGAGAAGCACTCCTTTGCCTCAGTCTTTTTAACTCTTCCTCTTCTCCTTCAGCACTTTGCCTCCTCCTGCAAACTCAGCATCAGTGACTCTCTGATCTGCCTATTTTTAGTTTTGAACGCTTTCTTTATGCTGCAAGTGGAAAGTCATGGAGGTATTTCCATATGTGAACCTGTAGCACAAGGAAAGGGTTCATGCCAGAGACATGAAGTTGAAGCTACCCTCATATAGGAGATATTTAAAATCATGAGACTGGATGAGATAACGAAATCAGAGAATGAAGACGGAGAAAAGAAGATGTTTACTCAGCAGTTTGAAAGTACTGATGCCTGTGTATATGAGGTGTATGTGAAAATAAATTCCATTGTGAAATCTCAGAGGTAAGAACAAAAATTAAAAATAAGTATCAGCTTTTATAAGTCTGTTCCTTCTGCTAAATTACATATGAGATTCATACTGGCCAAAGAATTTACTTCTGAGCTTCAGGGAAATAAAGCCTTGGAAGAAATACTTAGCTAGGATCCTCTCATGAATTTGTTTGTCATTTAAAGTTTTATGGTATTAGACGTTATCAATATCTATGATAGACATATAGTATTTGTAATCCAAATTCATTTTTGGATAAATAAAATTTTCTAATCATATACTTTTTGTGTGTTTCCAGATACCTGTAAGAATACTATGAAAATATTCGGTCATGGATTGCTTTGTTGTTTACATATGGTTTCTTTCTCTTTATTTTATTATTGTTTGGTGATGAAGAATAGTACAAATGTATTTGAAAATGATTGTTGTCCTGAATAGTTAGAGTTGTACATGACAATGATCATATGAACCAGAACTAAGAGAACTTCACTTGTTACTAACACTGTTAATGCTAATAATAAACAGTTAAAAAGAGAATTTGAAGTCATATAGTAAGAACTTGGGAAAGTAGGCGTCATAACTTGTTTTTCAGGAGTATCTGGAAATGAAAGATGATGTAGGTGTATTTGGGCTAGTGTGTGTGTGTGCATGTGTGGGTGTGTGTGTGTGTGTGTGAATGACTTAGTGATATAAAAGTGAGGTAACTTTTGAGCATTAGTCAGCCAGTTACTTACAGTTGCTACCAGTATTTCCATGTATTCTTTGGCCACAGGATTAAGAGTATCAAACTATCGCAAGAACAAAAAACCAAACACCGCATATTCTCACTCATAGGTGGGAATTGAACAATGAGATCACATGGACACAGGAAGGGGAACATCACACTCTGGGGACTGTTGTGGGGTGGGGGGAGGGGGGAGGGATAGCATTGGGAGATATACCTAATGCTAGATGACGAGTTAGTGGGTGCAGCGCACCAGCGTGGCACATGTATACATATGTAACTAACCTGCACAATGTGCACATGTACCCTAAAACTTAAAGTATAATAATAAAAGAAAAAAAATAAAAAAATTTAAAAAAATAAAAAAAAAGAGTATCAACAGCCTAGGTCAGTTCACTGAAATAATTTAATAACTCAAAAGCAAGTAATCTAAAAAGATGTTGAAGTGCCAGTCCGTGGATCAGCTACCAGCAACCTAATTTTTATGCCATAAATATAAATTAATTATTCTCTTAAAGATGAGTATCTTACCTGTGAGGGCAGACAAGGCCTTATTGAAACAGGGTGTTTGGTAGAGAGGAGCTCTGGAATGAGAGCTCCTGTGCAGACACTCTATTCCTCTAACTTTAACTTCCTTCAACTTTAGCATAGGTACCATGGAGAGGTTTTTGTTTTGTTTGATTTGTGTGTGTGTTTTTCGAGGAGGGGTGGGGGTCGTGGAGTGTGATTAGATTTAAAGTTAAAAGGATCTCGATTAAAGAATTACTGGATCCTGTAATAAATCCATTTTCTGTTTTAGTTTTTCCAAAGACAAATGATTAAAATGAAATTTTTGTAAAATATAAAGTCATGATATAAAAATTTCACTCAGTGAAAGCATTTTGAAGTCAAATAGTTTAGGTCCTTTAAAAAAAGGTTATATATATATATATATATAACCTTTGTCTTTAGGAATAGAACATAGAGACAGCAATACATGGATAGTAAACCTGTCTGTGAGACCAGCTCAAATCCAGGATGTCAAACAAGCCCCTGATATGCACTGGACTGAGGTCATTCTGAAGTGGTATTCCTGGGCCTGAAGTGTTGACTCTGTTTTTCTAAAGATTACTTCTTATGCTTTAGATCAGGGGTTAGCAAACCATGGCACATGGCCCAGATCCAGCCTCCTGTCTGTTTTTGTACCACCTAGTACAAAAGGTAAGAATGGTTTTTACATTTTTAAATGGTTGAAAAAAGAGAGAGAGAAATAATATTTCATGACAATTGAAAGTGACATGAAATTCAAATATTGATATGTGTAAATAAAATTCTACTGGAACACAGCCATTCATTTACTTATTGTCCACGGCTCTTTCATGCTAAAATGGCAGAGTTGAGTAGTTGTAACAGAGACTTTATGGCTTGTGCAGCCTAAAATATTTACTGTCCGGCCCTTGCTCACCCCTGGTTTAGACATCAGTAATGCCTTCAGCCCTGTGACTCCTCCCCATCCGTGCTGTAGTGGGTCTTCAAGAACCCAGTACTGTGAAGATGCACTCATAATAGTTCAATAGACAGACGGCCAATGCCTATCAAATACAATTTTTTTTTAGGATTAATATTTTTTGATGCTCATCTTCTTTTTCATAATAATGTTTCCATAAAATTACATGTATTTGGCCGGGCGCAGTGGCTTACGCCTGTAATCCCAGCACTTTGGGAGGCCGAGGCGGGTGGATCACGAGGTCAGGAGATCGAGACCATCCTGGCTAACACGGTGAAACCCCATCTCTACTAAAAATAAAAAAAATTAGACAGCCGTGGTGATGTGCGCCTGTAATCCCAGCTACTCAGGAGGCTGAGGCAGGAGAATCACTTGAACCCAGAAGGCAGAGGTTGCAGTCAGCCGAGATCGCACCACTGCACTGCAGCCTGGGCGACAGAGGGAGACTCCATCTCAAAAAAAAAAAAAAAAAATTACATCTATTTTTGAAAATTTGGGAAAGAAATGAATGGAATAAAAAAAAATCACCTATTCCCCACATTAAATCACTTAACCCTTTGCTTATTTCCTTTCAGTTTTTAATTGTATACACTGAATTTTTTTGCATAAATGGGATTTTTATATGTAATTTTTAGTTACCTTTCTTTTTTTTTACTCACCTCAATATTTTGGACATTTTATTGTGTCTTTAAATATACAATTTTCATGCCTACATTGAATTCTCTCTTATGAATGAATTTTAATTTATTTAACAACTCTTTTCTGATTGGACATTTGGGTTTTAGAATAAATAATGCCACATTATATGTTTTTCATACAAATATCTTTCTATGTATATTCTTAGAAATATGCTAACAGAGTCAAAGGAGATGAATATTTTTAGATTTGGGAGAATGTTTAACATGTATATGTGGTAAACACAGAGTTACTTTTCAGATGGGCTGTAAGAATAAGCATATACTTAATACATCTTTCTACAACTTAATATATTATTTTAATGATTGCCAATTTGGAAGGCAAAAGTTTTATTTTATTTTTATTTATTTAATTACAAGTGAAGTTGAATATCTTAAATATATTTTTCTATGAATTGTCTGTTCATGTCCTTTGGCTATTTGTTTTTACTGGGAAATCTGTATTATTTTTATCTTTGAAGTCCTCTTTCTACATTAAGGACATTAACATTTTACTATATATTTGTTGCAGATATACCTCATTTGCCTTTAATATTTTGTGTATATTTTTGACATAATGGAGTTTAAGCCTTTATGTAGTCAATTTATTGACTTTTTCCTTTGTGATCTGCTTTAATTTTGAAATACTTCTTTGCTTTGAAATTTCTTTTCAATGTAAGGATCAGCCAAATATTTCTTTATATATTCTTTGTACTTTAAATGATTTCATTATTTACATTTAACATATTGGTGTAGAATCTCTTTTGGTCTGAGGTTAATATCAATCCTGATTTTTCCTCATGTACTTTGCCAATTTTTCTAGCAATTTATGTGAATAAACCCACATTCTTCAGTGGTTTTCTTTGTTATATACACTTTTAGTTTTAGTAGGATCTGTTTCAGGTCTTGCTTTTGTGTTCTATTGATCTGCCTGCCAATTCTTTTATTAGATCACACTATTTTAATTGTTTATTTTATAACACCTTATAGGACAAGTTACTTTCCATTCCCCTAAACCCCACTGGTCTCCTTTCACAAAATTTCCTTAGACTGCTTTTTTGAGGTGGGAAGAAAGGACAATAATTAAGTAGTAGAATTCGTGGTTGCTTAAACTCATTCTTCAATTAAGGCAATAAAAACATGCTATTGTAACAACTTTTTCAGGCTGTAACTTGAGGATATGTATTCAGCCTATTCATCTAATAGCTGTGAGAGTCTCTCTTAACATACATTTTAAAAGGTTAAACCTTTTAAAAGATGTTCTGATTCCAACATCTTAATAGTTCCACATGCTTTGAGATAGTTTTCTTTTCTTTTTGCCTAGCTGATTTTAGTTGTAGCATTTAGTGGCTTTGAAAAAGTATTATGGATCTTATTGTATGATAATATAGCTTCGTTAATAGATAGTGTTTTATGAGTAAAAATATTATTTCTCAATGAGTGTTTGATGAGTGTCACGAACCATCTTGTTCTTATGTGTTTCCTCTGAAGGGCAAATAGAGAGAATAGTCATAAAGTTTATTTCTTAAACGTGCTTGTATCCTATACACAGTATTAGATTCATTAATTCATGCAACAAACATTTCTAGCACCTCAATATGAACTAGGCACCAGTGCTATGGCTGCTGGAGATGCAGCAGGGGTGGTTAGGGGTGGGGCGAGATCAGTGTAATGGTTGTCCCGAAGCTTAAATTCCAGTGGGGAAGACATGTTATTATCAATATACAAATAAATAAAAATATATAATGCAACATAACTTGGAGATAAGTTCTCTGAAGAAAGCAAAGCAGGGTTAAGAAAAAAAAGGTGAGACAGAGGTAAAGTGACTCTTGACTAGAGCATCAATCAAGGCCTGTGTGATTAGGTGTACAAAGAGTAAAGAGATGTGAGCATGTTATACTAAAGGCTGGAGGAAAGGCCTTGCAGGCACAGAGAACACCAAGTACAAGGCCCTAAGGTGGGAACAAGCCAGTGTTTTCCAGGACTGTCGAGGAGACCACTGTGTCCAGAGGGGAGTGAAAGAGTCGGACAGGAGTGGAGGATGAGGTCAGAGAAGTAGCCAGGGGTCAGATTAAAGACTTGGATTATGTTGGGTAGGATGGGAAGTTGTTGAAAGATTCTTAGCAAGAGAGTAATAGGATTTGGTGTCATTTTAGACAGTATCTCTCTGACTGTGTGTAGCAGAAAGTGAATGGTAGTATCGTTCACTAAAAAGACCGGGAGGGTAGCAGACTGTGGGGTGGAGTGGGGTGGGAATCAGGAGTTCCCTTTGAGCAGGTTGCATTTGAGATGCCAATTAGTCACTTAAGACGTGTGAGGTGTGAGTTGGCATAGGAGGATGCAGAGTCTGGAGCCCAGATGGAGATTTAGAATTGGGGAGTCATTGGCACAGAGATTGGTGTAGTGTCGTGGGCTGGTCAGACCACTCAGGGAGTGTGTTAATTTCCTAGGGCTGCAGTAACAAATTACCAAGAATTTGGTGGCTTAAAACAGCAGAAATTGGGCTGGGCGTGGTGGCTCACACCTTTAATCCTAGCACTTTGGGAGCCTGAGGTAGGTGGGTCACGAGGTCAAGAGATCGAGACTATCCTGGCCAACGTGGTGAAACCTCATCTCTACTAAAAATGCAGAAAAAAAAAAGTAATTGAGCATGATGGCCTGCACCTGTAGTCTCAGCACTTGGGAGGCTAAGTCAGGAGAATCGCTTGAACCCAGGAGGCGGAGGTTGCAGTGAGCCGAGATTGTGCTACTGCACTCCAGCCTGGAGATGGAGTTCAACCATTGTGGAAGTCAGTGTGGCGATTCCTCAGGGATCTAGAACTAGAAAAGCCATTTGACTCAGCCATCCCATTACTGGGTATATACCCAAAGGATTATAAACATGCTGCTATAAAGACACACGTACATGTATGTTTATTGGGGGCACTATTCACAATAGCAAAGACTTGGAACCAACCCAAATGTTCAACAATGATAGACTGGATTAAGAAAATGTGGCACATATACACAATGGAATACTATGCAGCCATAAAAAAGGATGAGTTCATGTCCTTTGTAAGGACATGGATGAAGCTGGAAACCATCATTCTCAGCAAACTATTGCAAGGACAAAAAACCAAACGCCGCATGTTCTCACTCATAGGTGGGAATTGAACAATGAGAACACATGGACACAGGAGGGGAACATCACACACTGGGGCCTGTTGTGGGGTGGGGGGAGGGGGAAGGGATAGCATTAGAAGATATACCTAATGTTAAATGATGAGTTAATGGGTGCAGCACACCAACATGGCACATGTATACATATGTAACAAACATGCACATTGTGCACATGTACCCTAAAACTTAAAGTATAATAAAAATAAAAATAAAAATAAAAAACATTTCCATATTAAAAAAAACAGCGGAAATTATTCTTTCACACAGTTCTGGAGACTAGAAGTCTGCAATCCAGCAGGGCTGTGCTCCTTCTGGGGGCTCTGGGGTCAATCCATTCTTTATCTCCTCCAGCTTCTGGTGGCTGTCGGTGTTCCTTGACTTGTGGCCACATCCCTTCAATCTCTGCTTCCCTGGTCACATTGCCTCCTCCTCTTCTGTTGGGCAGACCTTCCTCTGTCTATCTCTTGTGAGGACATTTGTTGGATATAGGACCCACCCAGATAAGCAAGGATAAGATTCTCCTCTCAAAATCCTCAACTTAATCATGTCTGTTGCCATATAAGGTAGTACTCACTACTTTATCAAATAAGAGAATAGTCATAGGTTCTGGGGATTAGAACATTGACAGAGGTTTTTTGGAGGCCAGCATTCAGTCCCCTACAAGCAGTCAGTGTGGATTGAAAAGAGGTAGTCCCGAGACTGAGCTCTGGGGTGCTATAGTGTTCAGAAGCCAGGAAGAGAACGCAAAACCAGTGAAGGAAACTGAGGTGAGGTCAGTCAGGTGGTGCATGAGGAGGAGGGCCATAACATGGTGTCTGATGAAGGATGTTTCAATAAGGAGGCAATGACTAGCTGTGTGAACGGCTGCCAAATAATTCAGAAAATAAAGATCAAGCCTCGATCATTAGACTTTGGAACTTGGTGAACTTGCCAAGTGGTGTTCAGAGAGTGGCATACTTGCATTAGTTGTGGGCCCCAATGCTGATTCCAAGTTCCACTGGAATATTATAGTCCTATTTCAGCTGCAGGATCAGTGGTTGTCCAGTGCTTCAAATGTAAAACGTTATTTAATGATTTTTTTCTTCTTTTCTATGTAAAGTTCTATGTGTGTGTTGTGTTAATAACTTTGTTTCTTCAAACAAATTGTTAAATGCTCATGGATAGAAAAACTGGAAATTGTAATAAGAAAAAAATTAAAGTGGGCTATTTCATTTTGAATTTCATCTTAAGTGCTGCTATTTTTTTTTCCACTAGAACTCCTGTTTTATTGCTCTTTTTTACTGGGCTCTGAGACGTTTTTATTTTTTTTCACAAATTTTGCTGAGTTGAGTGTACAATTGCTTAGGAGTAGACAGAGGAATTATGGCCAACCCTGTTACATCATGCCTTTTGGGTGGAGTCTGGCTGATATAAATGGCTGGACTGACCACTGATGTTGAAGGGGAGGAAGCCCTATTATCCTGATGAGGGGGATGTAAGCAGATCCATTCCACTTGTAGAACATCCAAAAACCATGGAAACATGCCTTCAAGGGCCAGTGATTTCAATTTGTCTCCTGTCTTCATGACACATTCATAGGGAGGAATTCTTACCTAGATGTTAATATGAAGGAAGTAATAAAAATTATTTATTTGTATTTTACTTTATTTTTTGTAATTTCAACCTTTATTTTAGATTCAAGGGGTACATGTGCAGATTTGTCATGTGAGTGTATTGTGTGATGCTGAGGTTTGGGGTACAATTGATCCCATCGCCCAGGCAATGAGCATTGCAACCAATGGGTAGACTTTCAACCCTCTTCCAACCTCCCCCTTCTAGTAGTTTCCTGTGTTTATTGTCCCCATCTTTATACCCATAACTCCCACTTATGAGTGAGAACTGCAGTATTTGGTTTTCTGTTCCTGTGTTAATTCCCTTAAGATAATGGCAGCCAGCTGCATTCATGTTTCTGCAAAGGACATGATATTTTTCTTGTTTATGGCTGTGTAGCATTCCATAGTGCATATGTTCCACATTTTCTTTGTCTAATCCACCATTGATGGGTCCCTAGGTTGATTCTATGTTTTTGCTATTGTGAATAGCACTGTGATGAATATGCAAGTGCATGTGTCTTTTTGGTAGAATAATTTATTTTCCTTTGGATATTTACTCAGTAATTGGATTATTGTTCGAATGGTAGTTCTTTAATAAATCTCCATCCTTCTTTCCACAGTGGCTGAACTAATTTGCATTCTCACCAAGAGTGTATTTAAGTGTCCACTTTTCTTCATAGCCTCATCAGCATCTGTTATTTTTTGACTTTTCAATAATAGCTATTCTGACTGGTGCAAGATGACATCTCATTGTGGTATTGATTTGCATTTCTCTGATGATTAGTGATATTGAGCATTTTTTTCATATGTTTCTTGGCTGCTTGTATGTCGTCTTTTGAGAAGTGTCTGTTAATGTCTTTTGCCCACTTTTTAATGGGGTTATTTGTTTTTCGCTGGTTGAATTATTTAAGTTCCTTATAGACTCTGGATATTAGACCTTTGTCAGATATATAGTTTGTGATTATTTTTTCCCATTCTGAGGGGTTGTCTGTTTACTCTGTTGGGATTTTCTTATACTGTGCAGAAGCTCTTTAGTTTAATTCGATTCCACTTGTCAATTTTTGTTTTGGTTGCAATTGCTTTTGAGGACTTAGTAATAAATTTTTTTCCAAGGCCAATGTCCAGAATGTTGTTTCCTAGGTTTTCTTCTAGGATTCTTATAGTTTGAGGTCTTATATTTAAATATTTAATCCATTTAAATATTTGTATATTGTGAATTATTGTGTATTAAAATTAAAATTCATCTAGTTGAAATTAAAATTCATTTAATTTTTGTATATGGTGAAAGGTGGGCAACCAGTTTCAATCCTCTGTATATGGCTAGCCAGCTACCCCAGCACCATTTATTGATTAAGGAGTCCTTTCCTTATTGCTTATTCAACTTTGTCAAAGATCAGATGGCTGTAGGTGTGATGTTTTATTTCTGGGTTCTCTCTTCTGTTCCATTGGTCTATGTTTCTGTTTTCGTACCAGTACCATGCTGTTTTGGTTACTGTAGCCCTATAGTATAATTTGAAGTTGGATAATGTGATGCCTCCAACTTTGTTCTTTTTGCTTAGGATTACTTTGACTATTTGGGCATTTTTTCAGTTCCGTATGAATTTTAGAATGGTTTTTTATAATTCTGTGTAAAATTACATTGGTAGTTTGATAGGAATGGCATTGAATCTATAGATTGCTTTAGACAGTCTGGCCATTTTAACAATATTGATTCTTCTAATCAATGAGCATGGAATGTTTTTCCATTTGTTTGTGTCGTCTGTGATTTCTTTCAGCAGTGTTTTGTAGTTCTCCTTGTAGAGATCTTTTACCTCCTTGGTTAGATTTATTCCTAGGTATTTTATTTTTTGGTGGCTATTGTAAATGGGATTGTGTTCTTGATTTGGCTCTCAGCTTGAACATTATTGCTGTATAGGAATGCTACTGATTTTTGTATATTGATTTCATATCTTGAAACTTTACTGAAGTTGTTTATCAGTTCCAGGAGCCTTTTGGCAGAGTCTTACGAATTCTCTAGCTATAGAATTATATTGTCAGTAAAGAGAGATAGTTTGGCTTCTTTTCCTATTTGGATGCTTTTTATTTCTTTCTGTTGCCCGATTGCTCTGGCTAGGACTTCCCGTACTGTGTTGAATAGGAGTGGCGAAAGTGTATATCCTTGTCTGATAAAAATTATTTAAATCTCAGAAAGCTAACAATGGAATCAGGGGGATTTTAATAATATATTGATATTTTGCATTTTTATAATGTTTCCATCAAACTTGTGAAAGATAGACTTGGGGAGAACAATTCTGAGTTGGAAGAAGTTTACAGTGAAAAGTATCAGATTCATCTCTGTCTAAAATAGGTAAATTGAGATTAGGATGAAGAACACAGGAATGTTATTTAGAGTGCTGTAATGTGGCTCAATAAGTAGACGTAGGGATAAAATCCTCTTGAGATATCCTCTGATGCTCAATCAGCACCATAAGATTGCGATAATGGAGTTGGCCAGGTGCCTCTTGCTTCAATTTAAACAATCATCTTTGGAGAAAGGGCCCATGGAGCTTATTAACTAAGCAAGATTTCCTCTTGAAGCTTTGACAAAGCCATTTCCATTTTCTATTACTCAATTTGCCTAAATTTTATGTGTCAGTCAATGGATATTGGAAAATATAAATCTTAGAAAGATGTCAAATTAATTCTAGGCATTCAAGACCCAATATTAATTCTAGGCATTCAAGACCCAATAGGTGGGATATGTTGTTGAGAATACTAGGTCAATATTTTTAGGTATTTTGGTCACAACAGGAAGAAAAACATTCTTATGTTACGATTCTGAAACTCAGAATATGAATTGCTAACATAAATTGAGATCAATACTTTTATCCTACTTTTGTCTCCTTACATTTTGCTTTGCCAAAAGTCCAGATGAGAAAAAGGTCTTGAAAGTGGAAGTAAGGAAATTTGTTTTATATAAGCTGAATCACTTATTAATATGTACTATTAAAGGCTAAGAATGAATTTTAAAATTTAAAAGTTCATTGTATGTGTCTTTCAATGAAGCCAAAGTTATTGAGAATACCATATGGCTTTAGAAGATATATTTGGTGTCTTCAGGAACTTGAAGCTTCTAAATTATTAACAGCTGTCAGAATAGAATAGACCAAATGTATTTGGAGTTTAGTTCTTTGTAGTGGGGAAATTTGTGGATTTCCTGCTTCAGCCCAACTGATGAGAAGAATCACAATATGAGAAGAAGTGATGAGAAGAACTTATAAATATGTTAGATGGTTGCACAGGATGAATAATTTTGCTACAGAATATGAGATAGATGAGAGAAAAGATAAATTTAAAGGCTGTATCATCAGTTTAAGAAATAGACAATTAAAGCAGGAAAATAACACTGCCAATTGGTAGGAGTTTCATCATGCCCAGGGGTTCTCAGTCTAGGCACTACTAACATTTCGGGTCAGATAATTCTTTGTTGTGAAGTCTATCTTATGCATTGTAGGATGTTATATAATACATTGCAGCAGTATCTCTCGAATTAACCCATTAAATTAACCCATTAAATGAAAGTAGAAACCCTTCCCCAGTTGTGACAACCAAAAGTGTCTCTAGACATACTAAATGTCTTCTTGGGGGGCAAACTTGTCCCTAGTTGAGAACCACTAAGCTAGACTACTTCAAAATAGCTCCAAAAGTCACATTCTGGTTATATGCTCAAGATGGAACAGGATGAAGGAGAAGGTTTATTGAGAACTTTGTTGAACATGTTGTCAGGATGAAGCTTTATTTGGGAAGTACTGTAATTAAGTTGTAGCTCCTGCATGTATATTATATTGATGAAAAGCTTATTATTTTGTTTTCAGTCCAGAGTTAAATGAGTATAATAAGAGCACAAATATTGTAGGTGATGAAATTGTCTTTTATTTTTGCCTCCCTCCTAAAAGGCTTACAAATATATGCAAGACAGCCAGAATTACTTTCCAAAACTAAATCTATAGTAGAGTGGCACTGGGTAGCCATTTCTGGGTATAACTTTCCTCGTGCTTAAGTTTCACTACATCTACTTGGAGACCTACATAATCTTATGTGCCTGTCTTCACATATTCTAGACTAAATGATATGTATGACAAAGACTATTTGTATGCACCAAATATCCTCATGCTCCTCTCCTTTTCTCAGCCTCCCTTGCAGCTAAGCTGGGGACATATAACTGGTTCTGCCCAGTGGAATGTGAGCTGAGCACGGCTTCTGGGCCAAAGAAGTTAAAAGCCAGAATGCCTCTTCCATCTCTCTCCTTCCCTGTCAGAGTGACTTTGGGGACCTTGCATGTATGTGTCCTTGTGAACCAAAGAAATAGCTGCTCCTTTGCTCCTTTTTTTTCCATTTTATCTGTTTTCTCTTCTCTTTTTCTGTGATGTCCATTAGTGGGAAGTTGGACTTTCTGAATTAATCTGCTTAATTCTCTTTTATTTCCAATTGTCATCACTTTATATTTCTGCATTCTGGAACCCATTTGGAATTTGATCACATGGAATAGAAGGTTCAGCTAAGACTTAAGAGCACAGGCACCACTACTAGTTGCCTTTCTTCATGTTAATGATATTATGGTGAGAAACAACATATACCTGGGGTAAACATTTACTTGGAATGGTGCTACACATAATCTAGCACATTCTGCATCAGAGGAAGGTCAGGAGATTTGGGGTCTGATTTTTCTGTAAATAAAGGATTATATGACAAGGTGTCAGACTTGGGAGGCAGCACATAGATCATGGTCATTAGAGCATGCCCTCTGCTGCCAATTGTATGGATAAGAATTTCAGTTTTGACACTTATTCGTTATGTGACCTTTGGCCCGTTACATAAACTCTCTGAGCCTGACTTGTCTGATCTGAAGAGTGAACGTTAGTACCTATAGGTTGTAAGTATGTGATGTACTTTAAGCTCTTATAAGAGTACGTGTTCTGTAGCACGGAATCCTTCCTACCTTCCTTCCTTCCTTCCTTCCTTCCTTCCTTCCTTCCTTCCTTCTTTCCTTCCTTCCTTCCTTCCCACCCTCCCTCCCTCCTTCCTTCTTTCCTTCCTTCCTCCCTTCCTTCCTTCCCTCCTCCTCTTTTCCTCTCTTTCTTTCTGTCTTCCCTTAAAGTGCTGCTTTTATTGTAAGTGCTATGTAGGTGTTTGCTCTTACTGTTAGTTGGGTTGTAAATTAAAAGCATTATCTATCATGAGCCTATGAGCTTGAGAATTTTTTGAGTTCTATAGAGCCTGTTGTATTTCTCACTATATACTCCCACAGTTAGTATAAATAAGTTAAGTGCTTTCATAATTTCACTTGCTTCATCTTTTCTATCAGGCACAGGATTGCTGGTAACATAAGTGGTACGTATGGCAAAATAAGACGGTGCCTTTTCCTCTGGGCATGTCAGTGTTTGTGCCTGTTTTGGCGAGCACAGCATGGGCTGGATTTCATTCCCCATGTACCTACAGGCACCTGCAGACTGAATGCTACACCACTGTGCAGGGCCCTGATTGAGACATTACTCCCAGAAGGAAAGCTGGCCAGGGAGACTCAACTCTCACATTCCAGTGTGAATTCTGTCACTGGGATTGGGTTTCTAGTAATGGTGGCATTTACTGTCTTGATTTCTTGGCCCTCCCCTTGCTGCTCTCAAAGGTGGGGGGCATCAAGCCTATCACTTGAAGGCCTAGGTATGAGAGGGAATCAACAGCTTGGCTGTCAAGTCCTTAATCCTATGGGTATTCTTAAATCTTTGAGATTGGATGAGATTAGTTACGTATAGTGAATGAAATAAGAAGACTATAAGTGAATGAAATAAGGTCCTTAGGGACCTCAAACTTTCAGAGATCATCTGAAAAGATAGGAGTGGGCAAGAGATATTGAAAAGGAGAACTCACAAAGAAAGGAGAAAAGTGAAGGGGGAATTATCACAGAAGGTAAGCGAGGAGAGAGATATGAAACCAAAGCCTAGGCTTTGTGAATAGCTATGGGGGTTATGTGGTTGTGCAAATTGTTTTAATAATTCATGACTGACTGAAAAGTAATGCTAGCATTTCTGTTTCCTCCTGATCACCCTCCTGTCTCACAGGTGACAGCCTCTGATGCAGATTCAGGACTCTATGGCTTTATTGAATATTCTCTTTATGATGGATTCCTGAGCTATGAAGCACCTCAGGCATTCCGGATCGACCCTCATGATGGGCAAATCTGTGTTTCTCAAGATATCGACAGGGAAAGGGATCCAGCTACCTATGATCTCCTGGTGGAAGCTAAGGATGGGGTAAGTTTTTATGTATGAAGTTTATTTTAAACATAATCACAAGTGAGCCACTGTGTATACATCACAGAGGACCAATGATGATCAACAATTGGGTCATTCTGTTTCATGTGTCACTACCTCTTTCCTTTGCTGAAGTTTTTTGAAGCAAATATCCAGCATGTTATTTCACCCATAAATAATTCAAGAATATCTCTAAAAATGACTTTAAAAACACAGAACTACAAAACATTAACAATAATGCTTTAATGATATCTTATATCCTTTCTATGTTAAATTTTCTTGATTATCAAAACATGTCTTTTATAGTTGGTTTCTTTGAATGAAGATCCAAATAAGTTCACAATTGATTTGATCGATATATTCTTTAAGTTTCCATCTGTAACAGTCAGGCCTCTTACCTGTTCTCCTATGGCTTTTTTAAAAAACCAAGTCATTTGTCCGGTAGATTTTCCACATGCTAAATGTGGCTGATTACATCCTTGGGATTCATTTACTGTGTTCTTCCATTCCCTCTATTTCCTATAAACTAGCATTAGAGACAGAGAGCTGATTGTTTTCAGATTCATTTAGGTGATGCCATTTGCTTCTTATTGCATCAGCAGACACATACCATTATTTTCTTAGAGGTTGAAAAATGGTAGCTTTTGAATTCTATTATTCCTTTTGCATTTATTATCTGGAATTCTTCAACTAAGGAAAATGTTCTCACAACAACTATTTGATTACTCTTAAGTATAATTCATACAGGAATTGCAGGATAAGGCTTGATTATTTGTTTTTATTTTACCAGTTTTTTTTAATAGTAACTTGCTGTCTTAATTATCTCCAAAGGTAAACAATAATGTCTTTTTCCTAATTTGAGTATAAATTCCTGGATTTTAAAAAATTTGATGTATTTCAATACATTGCTGACCCTATCCTTTCTGATGTTCTCATTGGCCCATTCTTGATCAGTGAAGGCACCTTCAGTTTGATTCCTTTGTCTTTTTTTGTTGTTAAACTTTTTAATTGACATATAAAATGCATACAGAGAAATGCACAAATAATAAGTGTATAGCTCAATGGATTTCTGCAAAATCAACAGACCCATAAAAGCAAATGAGAAAACGTTACCGGAACCCAGAAGCCCCCTCTTTGCATCTTGTTGTAACTGTCCTCCATCCACCCCTCCATGCCCCCATCCCTGCCTTTTTAGAAACCACTGTTGACTTCTAACACCAAGCATTAGTATACCAATTTTTTTAACTTTCAGTGAATGGAATCATACAGTATGTGTTTCTGTCGAGTTTCTTTTGCTGAAAATTATTTGCCGGAATCATTTATGCT